>NC_000018.10:15914337-16246132 GCF_000001405.40 Homo sapiens
TAAATAAAGCCCAAGAAGTGGCAAATTTAATTTATTGTGATGGAAATTGTTAGAACAGTGGTTGCCCCTGGAAGGCGACAGGGTTGTGTGAAAGGGCTATGAAAGAATTTTCCAGGGCCATAGAAACATTCTAAATTTTGTTTGGCATGATGGTTGTGTGGGTGTATACAAGTCAAAACCCATTAAATTGAATGCTTAAGATCTGTGCATTTTAATGTATATATTCTTTAAATCACATAGAACACACAAGTCCACCTATCTCAAACTCAGTCCCGTCTGCCCTATGCAAAATATTCAATTTGTCAACATTCTCATTACCATTTTTATTGCTTTTTTTCTGCCTCTTTTCCTTTGTTTCTCCCAACAAGCCAACCTCTAACATACCAGGCAGTCTTCATGAATGTTTTCAGCCAAGTTGTGAAGAATCAAACTCTACATAGAAGAGAAGTGAAATGAAAGAAATGAAAGAAAGGAAGGGAAGAAAGGAGGGAGGGATGGGGGAGGCGTGGGAGCGCCCCTTTTGTAGTATCTGGAACTGGACTTTTGGAGCGATTTCAGGGCTAAGGTGAAAAAGGAAATATCTTCCCATAAAAACTGGACAGAAGAGCATTCTCAGAAACTTGGTTATGCTGTATCTACTCAACTAACAAAGTTGAACCTTTCTTTTGATAGAGCAGTTTTGAAATGGTCTTTTTGTGGAATCTGCAAGTGGATATTTGGCTAGTTTTGAGGATTTCGTTGGAAGCGGGAATTCATACAAATTGCAGACTGCAGCGTTCTGAGAAACATCTTTGTGATGTTTGTATTCAGGACACAGAGTTGAACATTCCCTATCATAGAGCAGGTTGGAATCACTCCTTTTGTAGTATCTGGAAGTGGACATTTGGAGCGCTTTCAGGCCTATTTTGGAAAGGGAAATATCTTCCCGTAACAACTATGCAGAAGCATTCTCAGAAACTTGTTTGTGATGTGTGCCCTCTACTGACAGAGTTGAACCTTTCTTTTCATAGAGCAGTTTTGAAACACTCTTTTTGTAGAATCTGCAAGAGGATATTTGCATAGCTTTGAGGATTTCGTGGGAAACGGGATTGTCTTCAGGTAAAATCTAGACAGAAGCATTCTCAGAAACTTCTTTGGGATGTTTGCATTCAAGTCACAGAGTAGAACATTCCCTTTGGTAGAGCAGGTTTGAAACACTCTTTTTGTAGTATCTGGAAGTGGACATTTGGAGCGCTTTCAGGCCCATGTTGGAAAGGGAAATATCTTCCCGTAACAACTAGGCAGAAGCATTCTCAGAAACTTATTTGAGATGTGTGTACTCAACTAAGAGAGTTGAACCACCGTTTTGAAGGAGCAGTTTTGAAACACTCTTTTTCTGGAATCTGCAAGAGTATATTTGCCTAGCCTTGAGGATTTCGTTGGAAACGGGATTGTCTTCAGAGAAAATCTAGACAGAAGCATTCTCAGAAACTTCTTTGGGATGTTTGCATTCAAGTCACAGAGTAGAACATTCCCTTTGGTAGAGCAGGTTTGAAACACTCTTTTTTTAGTATATGGAAGTGGACATTTGGATCGCTTTCAGGCCTACGTTGGAAAAGGAAATATCTTCCCATAACAACTAGACAGAAGCATTCTCAGAAACTAGTTTCTGATGTGTGTCCTCAACTAACACAGTTGAACATTTCTTTAGACAGAACAGTTTTGAAACTCTCTTTTTGTGGAATCTGCAAGTGGCTGTTTGGCTAGATTTGAGGATTTCGTTGGAAACGGGATTACATATAAAAAGCAGACAGCAAGCATTCTCAGTAAACTTCTTTGGGATGTTTGCATTCAAGTCACAGAGTAGAACATTCCCTTTGGTAGAGCAGGTTTGAAACACTCTTTTTGTAGTGTGTGTAAGTGGACATTTGGAGCGCTTTCCGGCCTAAGGTGAACAAGGAAATATCTTCCCATAAAAACTAGACAGAAGCATTCTCAGAAACTTACTCGTGATGTGTGTCCTCAACTAAAGGAGTAGAACCTTTCTTTTCATAGAGAAGTTTTGAAATGCTCTTTTTGTGGAATCTGCAAGTGGATATTTGGCTAGTTTTGAGGATTTCGTTGGAAGCGGGAATTCATACAAATTGCAGACTGCAGCATTCTCAGAAACTTGTTTATGCTGTATCTACTCAACTAACAAAGTTGAACCTTTCTTTTGATAGAGCAGTTTTGAAATGCTCTTTTTGTGGAATCTGCAAGTGGATATTTGGCTAGTTTTGAGGATTTCGTTGGAAGCGGGAATTCATACAAATTGCAGACTGCAGCGTTCTGAGAAACATCTTTGTGATGTTTGTATTCAGGACAGAGAGTTGAACATTCCCTATCATAGAGCAGGTTGGAATCACTCCTTTTGTAGTATCTGGAAGTGGACATTTGGAGCGCTTTCAGGCCTATGTTGAAAAAGGAAATATCTTCCCATAACAACTAGACACAAGCATTCTCAGAAGCTTATTTGAGATGTGTGTACTCAACTAAGAGAATTGAACCACCGTTTTGAAGGTCCAGTTTTGAAACACTCTTTTTCTGGAATCTGCTAGAGGATATTTGCCTAGCTTTGAGGATTTCGTTGGAAACGGGATTGTCTTCAGATAAAATCTAGACAGAAGCATTCTCAGAAACTTCTTTGGGATGTTTGCATTCAAGTCACAGAGTAGAACATTCCCTTTGGTAGAGCAGGTTTGAAACACTCTTTTTGTAGTATCTGGAAGTGGACATTTGGAGCGCTTTCAGGCGTATGTTGGAAAGGGAAATATCTTCCCGTAACAACTAGGCAGAAGCATTCTCAGAAAGTTATTTGAGATGTGTGTACTCAACTAAGAGAATTGAACCACCGTTTTCAAGGAGCAGTTTTGAAACACTCTTTCTCTGGAATCTGCAAGAGGATATTTGCCTAGCCTTGAGGATTTCGTTGGAAACGGGATTGTCTTCAGATCAAATCTAGACAGAAGCATTCTCAAAAACTTCTTTGGGATGTTTGCATTCAAGTCACAGAGTAGAACATTCCCTTTGGTAGAGCAGGTTTGAAACACTCTTTTTTTAGTATATGGAAGTGGACATTTGGAGCGCTTTCAGGCCTACGTTGGAAATGGAAATATCTTCCCATAACAACTAGACAGAAGCATTCTCAGAAACTAGTTTCTGATGTGTGTCCTCAACTAACACAGTTGAACATTTCTTTAGACAGAACAGTTTTGAAACTCTCTTTTTGTGGAATCTGCAAGTGGCTATTTGGCTAGATTTGAGGATTTCGTTGGAAACGGGATTACATATAAAAAGCAGACAGCAGCATTCTCAGAAAGTTCTTTGTGATGATTGCATTCAAGTCACAGAATTGAACATTCCCTTTCACAGAGCAGGTTTGAAACACTCTTTTTGTAGTGTGTGTAAGTGGACATTTGGAGCACTTTCCGGCCTAAGGTGAGAAAGGAAATATCTTCCCATAAAAACTAGACAGAAGCATTCTCAGAAACTTACTCGTGATGTGTGTCCTCAACTAAAGGAGTAGAACCTTTCTTTCATACAGAAGTTTCGAAACGCTCTTTTTGTGGAATCTGCAAGTGGATATTTGGCTAGTTTGGAGGATTTCGTTGGAAGGGGGAATTCATACAAATTGCAGACTGCAGCGTTCTGAGAAACATCTTTGTGATGTTTGTATTCAGGACACAGAGTTGAACATTCCCTATCATAGAGCAGGTTGGAATCACTCCTTTTGTAGTATCTGGAAGTGGACATTTGGAGCGCTTTCAGGCCTACGTTGGAAAACGAAATATCTTCCCATAACAACTAGACAGAAGCATTCTCAGAAACTAGTTTCTGATGTGTGTCCTCAACTAACACAGTTGAACATTTCTTTAGACAGAACAGTTTTGAAACACTCTTTTTGTGGAATCTGCAAGTGGCTATTTGGCTAGATTTGAGGATTTCGTTGGAAACGGGATTACATATAAAAAGCAGACAGCAGCATTCTCAGAAAGTTCTTTGTGATGATTGCATTCAAGTCACAGAATTGAACATTCCCTTTCACAGAGCAGGTTTGAAACACTCTTTTTGTAGTGTGTGTAAGTGGACATTTGGAGCACTTTCCGGCCTAAGGTGAAAAAGGAAATATCTTCCCATAAAAACTAGACAGAAGCACTCTCAGAAACTTACTCGTGATGTGTGTCCTCAACTAAAGGAGTAGAACCTTTCTTTTCATAGAGAAGTTTTGAAACGCTCTTTTTGTGGAATCTGCAAGTGGATATTTGGCTAGTTTGGAGGATTTCGTTGGAAGCGGGAATTCATACAAATTGCAGACTGCAGCGTTCTGAGAAACATCTTTGTGATGTTTGTATTCAGGACACAGAGTTGAACGTTCCCTATCATAGAGCAGGTTTGAATCACTCCTTTTGTAGTATCTGGAAGTGGACATTTGGAGCGCTTTCCGGCCTCAGGTGAAAAAGGAAATATCTTCCCATAAAAACTAGACAGAAGCATTCTCAGAAACTTATTTGAGATGTGTGTACTCAACTAAGAGAATTGAACCACCGTTTTGAAGGAGCAGTTTTGAAACACTCTTTTTCTGGAATCTGCAAGTGGATATTTGGCTAGCTTTGGGGATTTCGCTGGAGGCGGGAATACATATAAAAAGCACACAGCAGCGTTCTGAGAAACTGCTTTCTGATGTTTGCATTCAAGTCAAAAGTTGAACACTCCCTTTCATAGTGCAGTCTGAAACACTCCTTTTGTAGTATCTGGAACTGGACTTTTGGAGCGCTTTCAGGGCTAAGGTGAAAAAGGAAATATCTTCCCATAAAAACTGGACAGAAGCATTCTCAGAAACTTGTTTATGCTGTATCTACTCAACTAACAAAGTTGAACCTTTCTTTTGATAGAGCAGTTTTGAAATGCTCTTTTTGTGGAATCTGCAAGTGGATATTTGGCTAGTTTTGAGGATTTCTTTGGAAGCGGGAATTCATACAAATTGCAGACTGCAGCGTTCTGAGAAACATCTTTGTGATGTTTGTATTCAGGACACAGAGTTGAACATTCCCTATCATAGAGCAGGTTGGAATCACTCCTTTTGTAGTATCTGGAAGTGGACATTTGGAGCGCTTTCAGGCCTATTTTGGAAAGGGAAATATCTTCCCGTAACAACTATGCAGAAGCATTCTCAGAAACTTGTTTGTGATGTGTGCCCTCTACTGACAGAGTTGAACCTTTCTTTTCATAGAGCAGTTTTGAAACACTCTTTTTGTAGAATCTGCAAGAGGATATTTGCATAGCTTTGAGGATTTCGTGGGAAACGGGATTGTCTTCAGGTAAAATCTAGACAGAAGCATTCTCAGAAACTTCTTTGGGATGTTTGCATTCAAGTCACAGAGTAGAACATTCCCTTTGGTAGAGCAGGTTTGAAACACTCTTTTTGTAGTATCTGGAAGTGGACATTTGGAGCGCTTTCAGGCCCATGTTGGAAAGGGAAATATCTTCCCGTAACAACTAGGCAGAAGCATTCTCAGAAACTTATTTGAGATGTGTGTACTCAACTAAGAGAATTGAACCACCGTTTTGAAGGAGCAGTTTTGAAACACTCTTTTTCTGGAATCTGCAAGAGTATATTTGCCTAGCCTTGAGGATTTCGTTGGAAACGGGATTGTCTTCAGAGAAAATCTAGACAGAAGCATTCTCAGAAACTTCTTTGGGATGTTTGCATTCAAGTCACAGAGTAGAACATTCCCTTTGGTAGAGCAGGTTTGAAACACTCTTTTTTTACTATATGGAAGTGGACATTTGGATCGCTTTCAGGCCTACGTTGGAAAAGGAAATATCTTCCCATAACAACTAGACAGAAGCATTGTCAGAAACTAGTTTCTGATGTGTGTCCTCAACTAACACAGTTGTACATTTCTTTAGACAGAACAGTTTTGAAACACTCTCTTTGTGGAATCTGCAAGTGGATATTTGGCTAGATTTGAGCATTTCGTTGGAAACGGGATTACATAGAAAAAGCAGACAGCGGCATTCTCAGAAAGTTCTTTGTGATGATTGCATTCAAGTCACAGAATTGAACATTCCCTTTCACAGAGCAGGTTTGAAACACTCTTTTTGTAGTGTGTGTAAGCGGACATTTGCAGCGATTTCCGGCCTAAGGTGAAAAAGGAAATATCTTCCCATAAAAACTAGACAGAAGCATTCTCAGGAACTTACTCGTGATGTGTGTACTCAACTAAAGGAGTAGAAACTTTCTTTTCATAGAGAAGTTTTGAAACGCTCTTTTTGTGGAATCTGCAAGTGGATATTTGGCTAGTTTTGAGGATTTCGTTGGAAGCGGGAATTCATACAAATTGCAGAATGCAGCGTTCTGAGAAACATCTTTGTGATGTTTGTATTCAGGACACAGAGTTGAACATTCCCTATCATAGAGCAGGTTTGAATCACTCCTTTTGTAGTATCTGGAAGTGGACATTTGGAGCGCTTTCAGGCCTATGTTGGAAAAGGAAATATCTTCCCATAAAAACTAGACAGAAGCATTCTCAGAAACTTATTTGAGATGTGTGTACTCAACTAAGAGAATTGAACCACCGTTTTGAAGGAGCAGTTTTGAAACTCTCTTTTTCTGGAATCTGCAAGTGGATATTTGGCTAGCTTTGGGGATTTCGCTGGAAGCGGGAATACATATAAAAAGCACACAGCAGCGTTCTGAGAAACTGCTTTCTGATGTTTGCATTCAAGTCAAAAGTTGAACACTCCCTTTCATAGAGCAGTCTTGAAACACCCCTTTTGTAGTATCTGGAACTGGACTTTTGGAGCGATTTCAGGGCTAAGGTGAAAAAGGAAATATCTTCCCATAAAAACTGGACAGAAGCATTCTCAGAAACTTGGTTATGCTGTATCTACTCAACTAACAAAGTTGAACCTTTCTTTTGATAGAGCAGTTTTGAAATGGTCTTTTTGTGGAATCTGCAAGTGGATATTTGGCTAGTTTTGAGGATTTCGTTGGAAGCGGGAATTCATACAAATTGCAGACTGCAGCGTTCTGAGAAACATCTTTGTGATGTTTGTATTCAGGACACAGAGTTGAACATTCCCTATCATAGAGCAGGTTGGAATCACTCCTTTTGTAGTATCTGGAAGTGGACATTTGGAGCGCTTTCAGGCCTATTTTGGAAAGGGAAATATCTTCCCGTAACAACTATGCAGAAGCATTCTCAGAAACTTGTTTGTGATGTGTGCCCTCTACTGACAGAGTTGAACCTTTCTTTTCATAGAGCAGTTTTGAAACACTCTTTTTGTAGAATCTGCAAGAGGATATTTGCATAGCTTTGAGGATTTCGTGGGAAACGGGATTGTCTTCAGGTAAAATCTAGACAGAAGCATTCTCAGAAACTTCTTTGGGATGTTTGCATTCAAGTCACAGAGTAGAACATTCCCTTTGGTAGAGCAGGTTTGAAACACTCTTTTTGTAGTATCTGGAAGTGGACATTTGGAGCGCTTTCAGGCCCATGTTGGAAAGGGAAATATCTTCCCGTAACAACTAGGCAGAAGCATTCTCAGAAACTTATTTGAGATGTGTGTACTCAACTAAGAGAATTGAACCACCGTTTTGAAGGAGCAGTTTTGAAACACTCTTTTTCTGGAATCTGCAAGAGTATATTTGCCTAGCCTTGAGGATTTCGTTGGAAACGGGATTGTCTTCAGAGAAAATCTAGACAGAAGCATTCTCAGAAACTTCTTTGGGATGTTTGCATTCAAGTCACAGAGTAGAACATTCCCTTTGGTAGAGCAGGTTTGAAACACTCTTTTTTTAGTATATGGAAGTGGACATTTGGAGCGCTTTCAGGCCTACGTTGGAAAAGGAAATATCTTCCCATAACAACTAGACAGAAGCATTCTCAGAAACTAGTTTCTGATGTGTGTCCTCAACTAACACAGTTGAACATTTCTTTAGACAGAACAGTTTTGAAACACTCTTTTTGTGGAATCTGCAAGTGGCTATTTGGCTAGATTTGAGGATTTCTTTGGAAACGGGATTACATATAAAAAGCTGACAGCAGCATTCTCAGAAAGTTCTTTGTGATGATTGCATTCAAGTCACAGAATTGAACATTCCCTTTCACAGAGCAGGTTTGAAACACTCTTTTTGTAGTGTGTGTAAGTGGACATTTGGAGCACTTTCCGGCCTAAGGTGAAAAAGGAAATATCTTCCCTTAAAAACTAGACAGAAGCATTCTCAGAAACTTACTCGTGATGTGTGTCCTCAACTAAAGGAGTAGAACCTTTCTTTTCATAGAGAAGTTTTGAAACGCTCTTTTTGTGGAATCTGCAAGTGGATATTTGGCTAGTTTTGAGGATTTCGTTGGAAGCGGGAATTCATACAAATTGCAGACTGCAGCGTTCTGAGAAACATCTTTGTGATGTTTGTATTCAGGACAGAGAGTTGAACATTCCCTATCATAGACCAGGTTGGAATCCCTCCTTTTGTAGTATCTGGAAGTGGACATTTGGAACGCTTTCAGGCCTATGTTGGAAAAGGAAATATCTTCCCATAACAACTAGACACAAGCATTCTCAGAAACTTGTTTGTGATGTGTGCCCTCTACTGACAGAGTTGAACCTTTCTTTTCATAGAGCAGTTTTGAAACACTCTTTTTGTAGAATCTGCAAGAGGATATTTGCATAGCTTTGAGGATTTCGTGGGAAACGGGATTGTCTCAGGAAAAATCTAGACAGAAGCATTCTCAGAAACTTCTTTGGGATGTTTGCATTCAAGTCACAGAGTAAGAACATTCCCTTTGGTAGAGCAGGTTTGAAACACTCTTTTTGTAGTATCTGGAAGTGGACATTTGGAGCGCTTTCAGGCCCATGTTGGAAAGGGAAATATCTTCCCGTAACAACTAGGCAGAAGCATTCTCAGAAACTTATTTGAGATGTGTGTACTCAACTAAGAGAATTGAACCACCGTTTTGAAGGAGCAGTTTTGAAACACTCTTTTTCTGGAATCTGCAAGAGTATATTTGCCTAGCCTTGAGGATTTCGTTGGAAACGGGATTGTCTTCAGAGAAAATCTAGACAGAAGCATTCTCAGAAACTTCTTTGGGATGTTTGCATTCAAGTCACAGAGTAGAACATTCCCTTTGGTAGAGCAGGTTTGAAACACTCTTTTTTTAGTATATGGAAGTGGACATTTGGAGCGCTTTCAGGCCTACGTTGGAAAAGGAAATATCTTCCCATAACAACTAGACAGAAGCATTCTCAGAAACTAGTTTCTGATGTGTGTCCTCAACTAACACAGTTGAACATTTCTTTAGACAGAACAGTTTTGAAACACTCTTTTTGTGGAATCTGCAAGTGGCTATTTGGCTAGATTTGAGGATTTCGTTGGAAACGGGATTACATATAAAAAGCAGTCAGCAGCATTCTCAGAAAGTTCTTTGTGATGATTGCATTCAAGTCACAGAATTGAACATTCCCTTTCACAGGGCAGGTTTGAAACACTCTTTTTGTAGTGTGTGTAAGTGGACATTTGGAGCACTTTCCGGCCTAAGGTGAAAAAGGAAATATCTTCCCATAAAAACTAGACAGAAGCATTCTCAGAAACTTATTTGAGATGTGTGTACTCAACTAAGAGAATTGAACCACCGTTTTGAAGGAGCAGTTTTGAAACACTCTTATTCTGGAATCTGCAAGTGGATATTTGGCTAGCTTTGGGGATTTCGCTGGAAGCGGGAATACATATAAAAAGCACACAGCCGCATTCTCAGAAAGTTCTTTCTGATGTTCGCATTCAAGTCAAAAGTTGAACACTCCCTTTCATAGAGCAGTCTTGAAACTCCCCTTTTGTGGTATCTGGAAGTGGACATTTGGAGTGCTTTCAGGGCTAAGGTGAAAAAGGAAATATCTTCCCATAAAAACTGGACAGAAGCATTCTCAGAAACTTATTTGAGATGTGTGTACTCAACTAAGAGAATTGAACCACCGTTTTGAAGGAGCAGTTTTGAAACACTCTTTTTCTGGAATCTGCAAGTGGATATTTGGCTAGCTTTGGGGATTTCGCTGGAAGCGGGAATACATATAAAAAGCACACAGCAGCGTTCTGAGAAACTGCTTTCTGATGTTTGCATTCAAGTCAAAAGTTGAACACTCCCTTTCATAGAGCAGTCTTGAAACACCCCTTTTGTAGTATCTGGAACTGGACTTTTGGAGCGCTTTCAGGGCTAAGGTGAAAAAGGAAATATCTTCCCATAAAAACTGGACAGAAGCATTCTCAGAAACTTGTTTATGCTGTATCTACTCAACTAACAAAGTTGAACCTTTCTTTTGATAGAGCAGTTTTGAAATGCTCTTTTTGTGGAATCTGCAAGTGGATATTTGGCTAGTTTTGAGGATTTCGTTGGAAGCGGGAATTCATACAAATTGCAGACTGCAGCGTTCTGAGAAACATCTTTGTGATGTTTGTATTCAGGACAGAGAGTTGAACATTCCCTATCATAGAGCAGGTTGGAATCACTCCTTTTGTAGTATCTGGAAGTGGACATTTGGAGCGCTTTCAGGCCTATGTTGAAAAAGGAAATATCTTCCCATAACAACTAGACACAAGCATTCTCAGAAACTTGTTTGTGATGTGTGCCCTCTACTGACAGAGTTGAACCTTTCTTTTCATAGAGCAGTTTTGAAACACTCTTTTTGTAGAATCTGCAAGAGGATATTTGCATAGCTTTGAGGATTTCGTGGGAAACGGGATTGTCTTCAGGTAAAATCTAGACAGAAGCATTCTCAGAAACTTCTTTGGGATGTTTGCATTCAAGTCACAGAGCAGAACATTCCCTTTGGTAGAGCAGGTTTGAATCACTCCTTTTGTAGTATCTGGAAGTGGACATTTGGAGCGCTTTCAGGCCCATGTTGGAAAGGGAAATATCTTCCCGTAACAACTAGGCAGAAGCATTCTCAGAAACTTATTTGAGATGTGTGTACTCAACTAAGAGAATTGAACCACCGTTTTGAAGGAGCAGTTTTGAAACACTCTTTTTCTGGAATCTGCAAGAGGATATTTGCCTAGCCTTGAGGATTTCGTTGGAAACGGGATTGTCTTCAGATCAAATCTAGACAGAAGCATTCTCAGAAACTTCTTTGGGATGTTTGCATTCAAGTCACAGAGTAGAACATTCCCTTTGGTAGAGCAGGTTTGAAACACTCTTTTTTTAGTATATGGAAGTGGACATTTGGAGCGCTTTCAGGCCTACGTTGGAAAAGGAAATATCTTCCCATAACAACTAGACAGAAGCATTCTCAGAAACTAGTTTCTGATGTGTGTCCTCAACTAACACAGTTGAACATTTCTTTAGACAGAACAGTTTTGAAACACTCTTTTTGTGGAATCTGCAAGTGGCTATTTGGCTAGATTTGAGGATTTCGTTGGAATCGGGATTACATATAAAAAGCAGACAGCAGCATTCTCAGAAAGTTCTTTGTGATGATTGCATTCAAGTCACAGAATTGAACATTCCCTTTCACAGAGCAGGTTTGAAACACTCTTTTTGTAGTGTGTGTAAGTGGACATTTGGAGCACTTTCCGGCCTAAGGTGAAAAAGGAAATATCTTCCCTTAAAAACTAGACAGAAGCATTCTCAGAAACTTACTCGTGATGTGTGTCCTCAACTAAAGGAGTAGAACCTTTCTTTTCATAGAGAAGTTTTGAAACGCTCTTTTTGTGGAATCTGCAAGTGGATATTTGGCTAGTTTTGAGGATAACGTTGGAAGCTGGAATTCATACAAATTGCAGACTGCAGCGTTCTGAGAAACATCTTTGTGATGTTTGTATTCAGGACAGAGAGTTGAACATTCCCTATCATAGAGCAGGTTGGAATCACTCCTTTTGTAGTATCTGGAAGTGGACATTTGGAGCGCTTTCAGGCCTATGTTGAAAAAGGAAATATCTTCCCATAACAACTAGACACAAGCATTCTCAGAAACTTGTTTGTGATGTGTGCCCTCTACTGACAGAGTTGAACCTTTCTTTTCATAGAGCAGTTTTGAAACACTCTTTTTGTAGAATCCGCAAGAGGATATTTGCATAGCTTTGAGGATTTCGTGGGAAACGGGATTGTCTTCAGGTAAAATCTAGAAAGAAGCATTCTCAGAAACTTCTTTGGGATGTTTGCATTCAAGTCACAGAGTAGAACATTCCCTTTGGTAGAGCAGGTTTGAAACACTCTTTTTGTAGTATCTGGAAGTGGACATTTGGAGCGCTTTCAGGCCCATGTTGGAAAGGGAAATATCTTCCCGTAACAACTAGGCAGAAGCATTCTCAGAAACTTATTTGAGATGTGTGTACTCAAGTAAGAGAACTGAACCACCGTTTTGAAGGAGCAGTTTTGAAACACTCTTTTTCTGGAATCTGCAAGAGTATATTTGCCTAGCCTTGAGGATTTCGTTGGAAACGGGATTGTCTTCAGACAAAATCTAGACAGAAGCATTGTCAGAAACTTCTTTGAGATGTTTGCATTCAAGTCACAGAGTAGAACATTCCCTTTGGTAGAGTAGGTTTGAAACACTCTTTTTTTAGTATATGGAAGTGGACATTTGGAGCGCTTTCAGGCCTACGTTGGAAAAGGAAATATCTTCCCATAACAACTAGACAGAAGCATTCTCAGAAACTAGTTTCTGATGTGTGTCCTCAACTAACACAGTTGTACATTTCTTTGTACAGAACAGTTTTGAAACACTCTTTTTGTGGAATCTGCAAGTGGATATTGGGCTAGATTTGAGGATTTCGTTGGAAACGGGATTACATATAAAAAGCAGTCAGCAGCATTCTCAGAAAGTTCTTTGTGATGATTGCATTCAAGTCACAGAATTGAACATTCCCTTTCATAGAGCAGGTTTGAAACACTCTTTTTGTAGTGTGTGTAAGTGGACATTTGGAGCGCTTTCCGGCCTAAGGTGAAAAAGGACATATCTTCCCATAAAAACTAGACAGAAGCATTCTCAGAAACTTACTCGTGATGTGTGTCCTCAACTAAAGGAGTAGAACCTTTCTATTCATAGAGAAGTTTTGAAACGCTCTTTTTGTGGAATCTCCAAGTGGATATTTGGCTAGTTTTGAGGATTTCGTTGGAAGCGGGAATTCATACAAATTGCAGACTGCAGCGTTCTGAGAAACATCTTTGAGATGTTTGTATTCAAGACACAGAGATGAACATTCCCTATCATAGAGCATGTTGGAATCACTCCTTTTGTAGTATCTGGAAGTGGACATTTGGAGCGCTTTCAGGCCTATGTTGAAAAAGGAAATATCTTCCCATAACAACTAGACACAAGCATTCTCAGAAACTTGTTTGTGATGTGTGCCCTCTACTGACAGATTTGAACCTTTCTTTTCATAGAGCAGTTTTGAAACACTCTTTTATAGAATCCGCAAGAGGATATTTGCATAGCTTTGAGGATTTCGTGGGAAACGGGATTGTCTTCAGGTAAAATCTAGACAGAAGCATTCTCAGAAACTTCTTTGGGATGTTTGCATTCAAGTCACAGAGTAGAACATTCCCTTTGGTAGAGCAGGTTTGAAACACTCTTTTTGTAGTATCTGGAAGTGGACATTTGGAGCGCTTTCAGGCCCATGTTGGAAAGGGAAATATCTTCCCGTAACAACTAGGCAGAAGCATTCTCAGAAACTTATTTGAGATGTGTGTACTCAACTAAGAGAATTGAACCACCGTTTTGAAGGAGCAGTTTTGAAAGCCTCTTTTTCTGGAATCTGCAAGAGTATATTTGCCTAGCCTTGAGGATTTCGTTGGAAACGGGATTGTCTTCAGATAAAATCTAGACAGAAGCATTCTCAGAAACTTCTTTGGGATGTTTGCATTCAAGTCACAGAGTAGAACATTCCCTTTGGTAGAGCAGGTTTGAAACACTCTTTTTTTAGTATATGGAAGTGGACATTTCGAGCGCTTTCAGGCCTACGTTGGAAAAGGAAATATCTTCCCATAACAACTAGACAGAAGCATTCTCAGAAACTAGTTTCTGATGTGTGTCCTCAACTAACACAGTTGTACATTTCTTTAGACAGAACAGTTTTGAAACACTCTTTTTGTGGAATCTGCAAGTGGATATTGGGCTAGATTTGAGGATTTCGTTGGAAACGGGATTACATATAAAAAGCAGTCAGCAGCATTCTCAGAAAGTTCTTTGTGATGATTGCATTCAAGTCACAGAATTGAACATTCCCTTTCACAGAGCAGGTTTGAAACACTCTTTTTGTAGTGTGTGTAAGTGGACATTTGGAGCGCTTTCCGGCCTAAGGTGAAAAAGGACATATCTTCCCATAAAAACTAGACAGAAGCATTCTCAGAAACTTACTCGTGATGTGTGTCCTCAACTAAAGGAGTAGAACCTTTCTATTCATAGAGAAGTTTTGAAACGCTCTTTTTGTGGAATCTCCAAGTGGATATTTGGTTAGTTTTGAGGATTTCGTTGGAAGCGGGAATTCATACAAATTGCAGACTGCAGCGTTCTGAGAAACATCTTTGTGATGTTTGTATTCAGGACACAGAGATGAACATTCCCTATCATAGAGCAGGTTGGAATCACTCCTTTTGTAGTATCTGGAAGTGGACATTTGGAGCGCTTTCAGGCCTATGTTGAAAAAGGAAATATCTTCCCATAACAACTAGACACAAGCATTCTCAGAAACTTGTTTGTGATGTGTGCCCTCTACTGACAGAGTTGAACCTTTCTTTTCATAGAGCAGTTTTGAAACACTCTTTTATAGAATCCGCAAGAGGATATTTGCATAGCTTTGAGGATTTCGTGGGAAACGGGATTGTCTTCAGGTAAAATCTAGACAGAAGCATTCTCAGAAACTTCTTTGGGATGTTTGCATTCAAGTCACAGAGTAGAACATTCCCTTTGGTAGAGCAGGTTTGAAACACTCTTTTTGTAGTATCTGGAAGTGGACATTTGGAGCGCTTTCAGGCCCATGTTGGAAAGGGAAATATCTTCCCGTAACAACTAGGCAGAAGCATTCTCAGAAACTTATTTGAGATGTGTGTACTCAAGTAAGAGAACTGAACCACCGTTTTGAAGGAGCAGTTTTGAAACCCTCTTTTTCTGGAATCTGCAAGAGTATATTTGCCTAGCCTTGAGGATTTCGTTGGAAACGGGATTGTCTTCAGATAAAATCTAGACAGAAGCATTCTCAGAAACTTCTTTGGGATGTTTGCATTCAAGTCACAGAGTAGAACATTCCCTTTGGTAGAGCAGGTTTGAAACACTCTTTTTTTAGTATATGGAAGTGGACATTTGGAGCGCTTTCAGGCCTACGTTGGAAAAGGAAATATCTTCCCATAACAACTAGACAGAAGCATTCTCAGAAACTAGTTTCTGATGTGTGTCCTCAACTAACACAGTTGTACATTTCTTTAGACAGAACAGTTTTGAAACACTCTTTTTGTGGAATCTGCAAGTGGATATTGGGCTAGATTTGAGGATTTCGTTGGAAACGGGATTACATATAAAAAGCAGACAGCAGCATTCTCAGAAAGTTCTTTGTGATGATTGCATTCAAGTCACAGAATTGAACATTCCCTTTCACAGAGCAGGTTTGAAACACTCTTCTTGTAGTGTGTGTAAGTGGACATTTGGAGCGCTTTCCGGCCTAAGGTGAAAAAGGAAATATCTTCCCATAAAAACTAGACAGAAGCATTCTCAGAAACTTACTCGTGATGTGTGTCCTCAACTAAAGGAGTAGAACCTTTCTATTCATAGAGAAGTTTTGAAACGCTCTTTTTGTGGAATCTCCAAGTGGATATTTGGCTAGTTTTGAGGATTTCGTTGGAAGCGGGAATTCATACAAATTGCAGACTGCAGCGTTCTGAGAAACATCTTTGTGATGTTTGTATTCAGGACACAGAGATGAACATTCCCTATCATAGAGCAGGTTGGAATCACTCCTTTTGTAGTATCTGGAAGTGGACATTTGGAGCGCTTTCAGGCCTATGTTGAAAAAGGAAATATCTTCCCATAACAACTAGACACAAGCATTCTCAGAAACTTGTTTGTGATGTGTGCCCTCTACTGACAGAGTTGAACCTTTCTTTTCATAGAGCAGTTTTGAACCACTCTTTTATAGAATCCGCAAGAAGATATTTGCATAGCTTTGAGGATTTCGTGGGAAACGGGATTGTCTTCAGGTAAAATCTAGACAGAAGCATTCTCAGAAACTTCTTTGGGATGTTTGCATTCAAGTCACAGAGTAGAACATTCCCTTTGGTAGAGCAGGTTTGAAACACTCTTTTTGTAGTATCTGGAAGTGGACATTTGGAGCGCTTTCAGGCCCATGTTGGAAAGGGAAATATCTTCCCGTAACAACTAGGCAGAAGCATTCTCAGAAACTTATTTGAGATGTGTGTACTCAACTAAGACAATTGAACCACCGTTTTGAAGGAACAGTTTTGAAACACTCTTTTGCTGGAATCTGCAAGAGTATATTTGCCTAGCCTTGAGGATTTCGTTGGAAACGGGATTGTCTTCAGATAAAATCTAGACAAAAGCATTCTCAGAAACTTCTTTGAGATGTTTGCATTCAAGTCACAGAGTAGAACATTCCCTTTAGTAGAGCAGGTTTGAAACACTCTTTTTTTAGTATATGGAAGTGGACATTTGGAGCGCTTTCAGGCCTACGTTGGAAAAGGAAATATCTTCCCATAACAACTAGACAGAAGCATTCTCAGAAACTAGTTTCTGATGTGTGTCCTCAACTAACACAGTTGAACTTTTCTTTAGACAGAACAGTTTTGAAACACTCTTTTTGTGGAATCTGCAAGTGGATATTGGGCTAGATTTGAGGATTTCGTTGGAAACGGGATTACATATAAAAAGCAGACAGCAGCATTCTCAGAAAGTTCTTTGTGATGATTGCATTCAAGTCACAGAATTGAACATTCCCTTTCACAGAGCAGGTTTGAAACACTCTTTTTGTAGTGTGTGTAAGTGGACATTTGGAGCGCTTTCCGGCCTAAGGTGAAAAAGGACATATCTTCCCATAAAAACTAGACAGAAGCATCCTCAGAAACTTACTCGTGATGTGTGTCCTCAACTAAAGGAGTAGAACCTTTCTATTCATAGAGAAGTTTTGAAACGCTCTTTTTGTGGAATCTCCAAGTGGATATTTGGCTAGTTTTGAGGATTTCGTTGGAAGCGGGAATTCATACAAATTGCAGACTGCAGCGTTCTGAGAAACATCTTTGTGATGTTTGTATTCAGGACACAGAGATGAACATTCCCTATCATAGAGCAGGTTGGAATCACTCCTTTTGTAGTATCTGGAAGTGGACATTTGGAGCGCTTTCAGGCCTATGTTGAAAAAGGAAATATCTTCCCATAACAACTAGACACAAGCATTCTCAGAAACTTGTTTGTGATGTGTGCCCTCTACTGACAGAGTTGAACCTTTCTTTTCATAGAGCAGTTTTGAAACACTCTTTTTGTAGAATCTGCAAGAGGATATTTGCATAGCTTTGAGGATTTCGTGGGAAACGGGATTGTCTTCAGGTAAAATCTAGACAGAAGCATTCTCAGAAACTTCTTTGGGATGTTTACATTCAAGTCACAGAGTAGAACATTCCCTTTGGTAGAGCAGGTTTGAAACCCTCTTTTTGTAGTATCTGGAAGTGGACATTTGGAGCGCTTTCTGGCCCATGTTGCAAAGGGAAATATCTTCCCGTAACAACTAGGCAGAAGCATTCTCAGAAACTTATTTGAGATGTGTGTACTCAACTAAGAGAATTGAACCACCGTTTTGAAGGAGCAGTTTTGAAACACTCTTTTTCTGGAATCTGCAAGAGGATATTTGCCTAGCCTTGAGGATTTCGTTGGAAACGGGATTGTCTTCAGATCAAATCTAGACAGAAGCATTCTCAGAAACTTCTTTGGGATGTTTGCATTCAAGTCACAGAGTAGAACATTCCCTTTGGTAGAGCAGGTTTGAAACACTCTTTTTTTAGTATATGGAAGTGGACATTTGGAGCGCTTTCAGGCCTACGTTGGAAAAGGAAATATCTTCCCATAACAACTAGACAGAAGCATTCTCAGAAACTAGTTTCTGATGTGTGTCCTCAACTAACACAGTTGAACATTTCTTTAGACAGAACAGTTTTGAAACACTCTTTTTGTGGAATCTGCAAGTGGCTATTTGGCTAGATTTGAGGGATTTCGTTGGAAACGGGATTACATATAAAAAGCAGACAGCAGCATTCTCAGAAACTTCTTTGTGATGATTGCATTCAAGTCACAGAATTGAACATTCCCTTTCACAGAGCAGGTTTGAAACACTCTTTTTGTAGTGTGTGTAAGTGGACATTTGGAGCACTTTCCGGCCTAAGGTGAAAAAGGAAATATCTTCCCATAAAAACTAGACAGAAGCATTCTCAGAAACTTACTCGTGATGTGTGTCCTCAACTAAAGGAGTAGAACCTTTCTTTTCATAGAGAAGTTTTGAAACGCTCTTTTTGTGGAATCTGCAAGTGGATATTTGGCTAGTTTTGAGGATTTCGTTGGAAGCGGGAATTCATACAAATTGCAGACTGCAGCGTTCTGAGAAACATCTTTGTGATGTTTGTATTCAGGACACAGAGTTGAACATTCCCTATCATAGAGCAGGTTTGAATCACTCCTTTTGTAGTATCTGGAAGTGGACATTTGGAGCGCTTTCAGGCCTATGTTGGAAAAGGAAATATCTTCCCATAACAACTAGACAGAAGCATTCTCAGAAACTTATTTGAGATGTGTGTACTCAACTAAGAGAATTGAACCACCGTTTTGAAGGAGCAGTTTTGAAACACTCTTTTTCTGGAATCTGCAAGTGGATATTTGGCTAGCTTTGGGGATTTCGCTGGAAGCGGGAATACATATAAAAAGCACACAGCAGCTTTCTGAGAAACTGCTTTCTGATGTTTGCATTCAAGTCAAAAGTTGAACACTCCCTTTCATAGAGCAGTCCTGAAACACTCCTTTTGTAGTATCTGGAACTGGACTTTTGGAGCGCTTTCAGGGCTAAGGTGAAAAAGGAAATATCTTCCCATAAAAACTGGACAGAAGCATTCTCAGAAACTTGTTTATGCTGTATCTACTCAACTAACAAAGTTGAACCTTTCTTTTGATAGAGCAGTTTTGAAATGCTCTTTTTGTGGAATCTGCAAGTGGATATTTGGCTAGTTTTGAGGATTTCGTTGGAAGCGGGAATTCATACAAATTGCAGACTGCAGCGTTCTGAGGAAACATCTTTGTGATGTTTGTATTCACGACACAGAGTTGAACATTCCCTATCATAGAGCAGGTTTGAATCACTCCTTTTGTAGTATCTGGAAGTGGACATTTGGAGCGCTTTCAGGCCTATGTTGGAAAAGGAAATATCTTCCCATAACAACTAGACAGAAGCATTCTCAGAAACTTGTTTGTGATGTGTGCCCTCTACTGACAGAGTTGAACCTTTCTTTTCATAGAGCAGTTTTGAAACACTCTTTTTGTAGAATCTGCAAGAGGATATTTGCATAGCTTTGAGGATTTCGTGGGAAACGGGATTGTCTTCAGGTAAAATCTAGACAGAAGCATTCTCAGAAACTTCTTTGGGATGTTTGCATTCAAGTCACAGAGCAGAACATTCCCTTAGGTAGAGCAGGTTTGAAACACTCTTTTTGTAGTATCTGGAAGTGGACATTTGGAGCGCTTTCAGGCCTATGTTGGAAAGGGAAATATCTTCCCGTAACAACTAGGCAGAAGCATTCTCAGAAACTTATTTGAGATGTGTGTACTCAACTAAGAGAATTGAACCACCGTTTTGAAGGAGCAGTTTTGAAACACTCTTTTTCTGGAATCTGCAAGAGGATATTTGCCTAGCCTTGAGGATTTCGTTGGAAACGGGATTGTCTTCAGATCAAATCTAGACAGAAGCATTCTCAGAAACTTCTTTGGGATGTTTGCATTCATGTCACAGAGTAGAACATTCCCTTTGGTAGAGCAGGTTTGAAACACTCTTTTTTTAGTATATGGAAGTGGACATTTGGAGCGCTTTCAGGCCTACGTTGGAAAAGGAAATATCTTCCCATAACAACTAGACAGAAGCATTCTCAGAAACTAGTTTCTGATGTGTGTCCTCAACTAACACAGTTGAACATTTCTTTAGACAGAACAGTTTTGAAACACTCTTTTTGTGGAATCTGCAAGTGGCTATTTGGCTAGATTTGAGGATTTCGTTGGAAACGGGATTACATATAAAAAGCAGACAGCAGCATTCTCAGAAAGTTCTTTGTGATGATTGCATTCAAGTCACAGAATTGAACATTCCCTTTCACAGAGCAGGTTTGAAACACTCTTTTTGTAGTGTGTGTAAGTGGACATTTGGAGCACTTTCCGGCCTAAGGTGAAAAAGGAAATATCTTCCCATAAAAACTAGACAGAAGCATTCTCAGAAACTTACTCGTGATGTGTGTCCTCAACTAAAGGAGTAGAACCTTTCTTTTCATAGAGAAGTTTTGAAACGCTCTTTTTGTGGAATCTGCAAGTGGATATTTGGCTAGTTTTGAGGATTTCGTTGGAAGCGGGAATTCATACAAATTGCAGACTGCAGCGTTCTGAGAAACATCTTTGTGATGTTTGTCTTCAGGACACAGAGTTGAACATTCCCTATCATAGAGCAGGTTTGAATCACTCCTTTTGTAGTATCTGGAAGTGGACATTTGGAGCACTTTCAGGCCTATGTTGGAAAAGGAAATATCTTCCCATAACAACTAGACACAAGCATTCTCAGAAACTTATTTGAGATGTGTGTACTCAACTAAGAGAATTGAACCACCGTTTTGAAGGAGCAGTTTTGAAACACTCTTTTTCTGGAATCTGCAAGTGGATATTTGGCTAGCTTTGGGGATTTCGCTGGAAGCGGGAATACATATAAAAAGCACACAGCAGCGTTCTGAGAAACTGCTTTCTGATGTTTGCATTCAAGTCAAAAGTTGAACACTCCCTTTCATAGAGCAGTCCTGAAACACCCCTTTTGTAGTATCGGGAACTGGACATTTGGAGCGCTTTCAGGGCTAAGGTGAAAAAGGAAATATCTTCCCATAAAAACTGGACAGAAGCATTCTCAGAAACTTGTTTATGCTGTATCTACTCAACTAACAAAGTTGAACCTTTCTTTTGATAGAGCAGTTTTGAAATGCTCTTTTTGTGGAATCTGCAAGTGGATATTTGGCTAGTTTTGAGGATTTCGTTGGAAGCGGGAATTCATACAAATTGCAGACTGCAGCGTTCTGAGAAACATCTTTGTGATGTTTGTATTCAGGACAGAGAGTTGAACATTCCCTATCATAGAGCAGGTTGGAATCACTCCTTTTGTAGTATCTGGAAGTGGACATTTGGAGCGCTTTCTGGCCTATGTTGAAAAAGGAAATATCTTCCCATAACAACTAGACACAAGCATTCTCAGAAACTTGTTTGTGATGTGTGCCCTCTACTGACAGAGTTGAACCTTTCTTTTCATAGAGCAGTTTTGAAACACTCTTTTTGTAGAATCTGCAAGAGGATATTTGCATAGCTTTGAGGATTTCGTGGGAAACGGGATTGTCTTCAGGTAAAATCTAGACAGAAGCATTCTCAGAAACTTTTTTGGGATGTTTGCATTCAAGTCACAGAGTAGAACATTCCCTTTGGTAGAGCAGGTTTGAAACACTCTTTTTGTAGTATCTGGAAGTGGACATTTGGAGCACTATCAGGCCCATGTTGGAAAGGGAAATATCTTCCCGTAACAACTAGGCAGAAGCATTCTCAGAAACTTATTTGAGATGTGTGTACTCAACTAAGAGAATTGAACCACCGTTTTGAAGGAGCAGTTTTGAAACACTCTTTTTCTGGAATCTGCAAGAGGATATTTGCCTAGCCTTGAGGATTTCGTTGGAAACGGGATTGTCTTCAGATCAAATCTAGACAGAAGCATTCTCAGAAACTTCGTTGGGATGTTTGCATTCAAGTCACGGAGTAGAACATTCCCTTTGGTAGAGCAGGTTTGAAACACTCTTTTTTTAGTATATGGAAGTGGACATTTGGAGCGCTTTCAGGCCTACGTTGGAAAAGGAAATATCTTCCCATAACAACTAGACAGAAGCATTCTCAGAAACTAGTTTCTGATGTGTGTCCTCAACTAACACAGTTGAACATTTCTTTAGACAGAACAGTTTTGAAACACTCTTTTTGTGGAATCTGCAAGTGGCTATTTGGCTAGATTTGAGGATTTCGTTGGAAACGGGATTACATATAAAAAGCAGACAGCAGCATTCTCAGAAACTTCTTTGTGATGATTGCATTCAAGTCACAGAATTGAACATTCCCTTTCACAGAGCAGGTTTGAAACACTCTTTTTGTAGTGTGTGTAAGTGGACATTTGGAGCACTTTCCCGCCTAAGGTGAAAAAGGAAATATCTTCCCATAAAAACTAGACAGAAGCATTCTCAGAAACTTACTCGTGATGTGTGTCCTCAACTAAAGGAGTAGAACCTTTCTTTTCATAGAGAAGTTTTGAAACACTCTTTTTGTGGAATCTGCAAGTGGCTATTTGGCTAGATTTGAGGATTTCGTTGGAAACGGGATTACATATAAAAAGCAGACAGCAGCATTCTCAGAAAGTTCTTTGTGATGATTGCATTCAAGTCACAGAATTGAACATTCCCTTTCACAGAGCAGGTTTGAAACACTCTTTTTGTAGTGTGTGTAAGTGGACATTTGGAGCACTTTCCGGCCTAAGGTGAAAAAGGAAATATCTTCCCATAAAAACTAGACAGAAGCATTCTCAGAAACTTACTCGTGATGTGTGTCCTCAACTAAAGGAGTAGAACCTTTCTTTTCATAGAGAAGTTTTGAAACGCTCTTTTTGTGGAATCTGCAAGTGGATATTTGGCTAGTTTTGAGGATTTCGTTGGAAGCGGGAATTCATACAAATTGCAGACTGCAGCGTTCTGAGAAACATCTTTGTGATGTTTGTATTCAGGACACAGAGTTGAACATTCCCTATCATAGAGCAGGTTTGAATCACTCCTTTTGTAGTATCTGGAAGTGGACATTTGGAGCGCTTTCAGGCCTATGTTGGAAAAGGAAATATCTTCCCATAACAACTAGACAGAAGCATTCTCAGAAACTTATTTGAGATGTGTGTACTCAACTAAGAGAATTGAACCACCGTTTTGAAGGAGCAGTTTTGAAACTCTCTTTTTCTGGAATCTGCAAGTGGATATTTGGCTAGCTTTGGGGATTTCGCTGGAAGCGGGAATACATATAAAAAGCACACAGCAGCGTTCTGAGAAACTGCTTTCTGATGTTTGCATTCAAGTCAAAAGTTGAACACTCCCTTTCATAGAGCAGTCTTGAAACACCCCTTTTGTAGTATCTGGAACTGGACTTTTGGAGCGATTTCAGGGCTAAGGTGAAAAAGGAAATATCTTCCCATAAAAACTGGACAGAAGCATTCTCAGAAACTTGTTTATGCTGTATCTACTCAACTAACAAAGTTGAACCTTTCTTTTGATAGAGCAGTTTTGAAATGGTCTTTTTGTGGAATCTGCAAGTGGATATTTGGCTAGTTTTGAGGATTTCGTTGGAAGCGGGAATTCATACAAATTGCAGACTGCAGCGTTCTGAGAAACATCTTTGTGATGTTTGTATTCAGGACACAGAGTTGAACATTCCCTATCATAGAGCAGGTTGGAATCACTCCTTTTGTAGTATCTGGAAGTGGACATTTGGAGCGCTTTCAGGCCTATTTTGGAAAGGGAAATATCTTCCCGTAACAACTATGCAGAAGCATTCTCAGAAACTTGTTTGTGATGTGTGCCCTCTACTGACAGAGTTGAACCTTTCTTTTCATAGAGCAGTTTTGAAACACTCTTTTTGTAGAATCTGCAAGAGGATATTTGCATAGCTTTGAGGATTTCGTGGGAAACGGGATTGTCTTCAGGTAAAATCTAGACAGAAGCATTCTCAGAAACTTCTTTGGGATGTTTGCATTCAAGTCACAGAGTAGAACATTCCCTTTGGTAGAGCAGGTTTGAAACACTCTTTTTGTAGTATCTGGAAGTGGACATTTGGAGCGCTTTCAGGCCCATGTTGGAAAGGGAAATATCTTCCCGTAACAACTAGGCAGAAGCATTCTCAGAAACTTATTTGAGATGTGTGTACTCAACTAAGAGAATTGAACCACCGTTTTGAAGGAGCAGTTTTGAAACACTCTTTTTCTGGAATCTGCAAGAGTATATTTGCCTAGCCTTGAGGATTTCGTTGGAAACGGGATTGTCTTCAGAGAAAATCTAGACAGAAGCATTCTCAGAAACTTCTTTGGGATGTTTGCATTCAAGTCACAGAGTAGAACATCCCCTTTGGTAGAGCAGGTTTGAAACACTCTTTTTTTAGTATATGGAAGTGGACATTTGGAGCGCTTTCAGGCCTACGTTGGAAAAGGAAATATCTTCCCATAACAACCAGACAGAAGCATTCTCAGAAACTAGTTTCTGATGTGTGTCCTCAACTAACACAGTTGAACATTTCTTTAGACAGAACAGTTTTGAAACACTCTCTTTGTGGAATCTGCAAGTGGATATTTGGCTAGATTTGAGCATTTCGTTGGAAACGGGATTACATATAAAAAGCAGACAGCGGCATTCTCAGAAAGTTCTTTGTGATGATTGCATTCAAGTCACAGAATTGAACATTCCCTTTCACAGAGCAGGTTTGAAACACTCTTTTTGTACTGTGTGTAAGCGGACATTTGGAGCGCTTTCCGGCCTAAGGTGAAAAAGGAAATATCTTCCCATAAAAACTAGACAGAAGCATTCTCAGAAACTTACTCGTGATGTGTGTCCTCAACTAAAGGAGTAGAACCTTTCTTTTCATAGAGAAGTTTTGAAACGCTCTTTTTGTGGAATCTGCAAGTGGATATTTGGCTAGTTTTGAGGATTTCGTTGGAAGCGGGAATTCATACAAATTGCAGACTGCAGCGTTCTGAGAAACATCTTTGTGATGTTTGTATTCAGGACACAGAGTTGAACATTCCCTATCATAGAGCAGGTTTGAATCACTCCTTTTGTAGTATCTGGAAGTGGACATTTGGAGCGCTTTCAGGCCTATGTTGGAAAAGGAAATATCTTCCCATAACAACTAGACAGAAGCATTCTCAGAAACTTATTTGAGATGTGTGTACTCAACTAAGAGAATTGAACCACCGTTTTGAAGGAGCAGTTTTGAAACACTCTTTTTCTGGAATCTGCAAGTGGATATTTGGCTAGCTTTGGGGATTTCGCTGGAAGCGGGAATACATATAAAAAGCACACAGCAGCGTTCTGAGAAACTGCTTTCTGATGTTTGCATTCAAGTCAAAAGTTGAACACTCCCTTTCATAGAGCAGTCTTGAAACACCCCTTTTGTAGTATCTGGAACTGGACTTTTGGAGCGATTTCAGGGCTAAGGTGAAAAAGGAAATATCTTCCCATAAAAACTGGACAGAAGCATTCTCAGAAACTTGTTTATGCTGTATCTACTCAACTAACAAAGTTGAACCTTTCTTTTGATAGAGCAGTTTTGAAATGGTCTTTTTGTGGAATCTGCAAGTGGATATTTGGCTAGTTTTGAGGATTTCGTTGGAAGCGGGAATTCATACAAATTGCAGACTGCAGCGTTCTGAGAAACATCTTTGTGATGTTTGTATTCAGGACACAGAGTTGAACATTCCCTATCATAGAGCAGGTTGGAATCACTCCTTTTGTAGTATCTGGAAGTGGACATTTGGAGCGCTTTCAGGCCTATTTTGGAAAGGGAAATATCTTCCCGTAACAACTATGCAGAAGCATTCTCAGAAACTTGTTTGTGATGTGTGCCCTCTACTGACAGAGTTGAACCTTTCTTTTCATAGAGCAGTTTTGAAACACTCTTTTTGTAGAATCTGCAAGAGGATATTTGCATAGCTTTGAGGATTTCGTGGGAAACGGGATTGTCTCAGGAAAAATCTAGACAGAAGCATTCTCAGAAACTTCTTTGGGATGTTTGCATTCAAGTCACAGAGTAAGAACATTCCCTTTGGTAGAGCAGGTTTGAAACACTCTTTTTGTAGTATCTGGAAGTGGACATTTGGAGCGCTTTCAGGCCCATGTTGGAAAGGGAAATATCTTCCCGTAACAACTAGGCAGAAGCATTCTCAGAAACTTATTTGAGATGTGTGTACTCAACTAAGAGAATTGAACCACCGTTTTGAAGGAGCAGTTTTGAAACACTCTTTTTCTGGAATCTGCAAGAGTATATTTGCCTAGCCTTGAGGATTTCGTTGGAAACGGGATTGTCTTCAGAGAAAATCTAGACAGAAGCATTCTCAGAAACTTCTTTGGGATGCTTGCATTCAAGTCACAGAGTAGAACATTCCCTTTGGTAGAGCAGGTTTGAAACACTCTTTTTTTAGTATCTGGAAGTGGACATTTGGAGCGCTTTCAGGCCTACGTTGGAAAAGGAAATATCTTCCCATAACAACTAGACAGAAGCATTCTCAGAAACTAGTTTCTGATGTGTGTCCTCAACTAACACAGTTGAACATTTCTTTAGACAGAACAGTTTTGAAACACTCTTTTTGTGGAATCTGCAAGTGGCTATTTGGCTAGATTTGAGGATTTCGTTGGAAACGGGATTACATATAAAAAGCAGACAGCAAGCATTCTCAGAAAGTTCTTTGTGATGATTGTATTCAAGTCACAGAATTGAACATTCCCTTTCACAGAGCAGGTTTGAAACACATTTTTTGTAGTATGTGTAAGTGGACATTTGGAGCGCTTTCCGGCCTAAGGTGAAAAAGGAAATATCTTCCCATAAAAACTAGACAGAAGCATTCTCAGAAACTTACTCGTGATGTGTGTCCTCAACTAAAGGAGTAGAACCTTTCTATTCGTAGAGAAGTTTTGAAATGCTCTTTTTGTGGAATCTCCAAGTGGATATTTGGCTAGTTTTGAGGATTTCGTTGGAAGCGGGAATTCATACAAATTGCAGACTGCAGCGTTCTGAGAAACATCTTTGTGATGTTTGTATTCAGGACACAGAGAGGAACATTCCCTATCATAGAGCAGGTTGGAATCACTCCTTTTGTAGTATCTGGAAGTGGACATTTGGAGCGCTTTCAGGCCTATGTTGAAAAAGGAAATATCTTCCCATAACAACTAGACACAAGCATTCTCAGAAACTTGTTTGTGATGTGTGCCCTCTACTGACAGAGTTGAACCTTTCTTTTCATAGAGCAGTTTTGAAACACTCTTTTTGTAGAATCTGCAAGAGGATATTTGCATAGCTTTGAGGATTTCGTGGGAAACGGGATTGTCTTCAGGTAAAATCTAGACAGAAGCATTCTCAGAAACTTCTTTGGGATGTTTGCATTCAAGTCACAGAGTAGAACATTCCCTTTGGTAGAGCAGGTTTGAAACACTCTTTTTGTAGTATCTGGAAGTGGACATTTGGAGCGCTTTCAGGCCTATGTTGGAAAGGGAAATATCTTCCCGTAACAACTAGGCAGAAGCATTCTCAGAAACTTATTTGAGATGTGTGTACTCAACTAAGAGAATTGAACCACCGTTTTGAAGGAGCAGTTTTGAAACACTCTTTTTCTGGAATCTGCAAGAGTATATTTGCCTAGCCTTGAGGATTTCGTTGGAAACGGGATTGTCTTCAGAGAAAATCTAGACAGAAGCATTCTCAGAAACTTCTTTGGGATGTTTGCATTCAAGTCACAGAGTAGAACATTCCCTTTGGTAGAGCAGGTTTGAAACACTCTTTTTTTAGTATATGGAAGTGGACATTTGGAGCGCTTTCAGGCCTACGTTGGAAAAGGAAATATCTTCCCATAACAACTAGACAGAAGCATTCTCAGAAACTAGTTTCTGATGTGTGTCCTCAACTAACACAGTTGAACATTTCTATAGACAGAACAGTTTTGAAACACTCTTTTTGTGGAATCTGCAAGTGGCTATTTGGCTAGATTTGAGGATTTCGTTGGAAACGGGATTACATATAAAAAGCATTCAGCAGCATTCTCAGAAAGTTCTTTGTGATGATTGCATTCAAGTCACAGAATTGAACATTCCCTTTCACAGAGCAGGTTTGAAACACTCTTTTTGTAGTGTGTGTAAGTGGACATTTGGAGCACTTACCGGCCTAAGGTGAAAAAGGAAATATCTTCCCATAAAAACTAGACAGAAGCATTCTCAGAAACTTACTCGTGATGTGTGTCCTCAACTAAAGGAGTAGAACCTTTCTTTTCATAGAGAAGTTTTGAAACGCTCTTTTTGTGGAATCTGCAAGTGGATATTTGGCTAGTTTTGAGGATTTCGTTGGAAGCGGGAATTCATACAAATTGCAGACTGCAGCGTTCTGAGAAACATCTTTGTGATGTTTGTATTCAGGACACAGAGTTGAACATTCCCTATCATAGAGCAGGTTGGAATCACTCCTTTTGTAGTATCTGGAAGTGGACCTTTGGAGCGCTTTCAGGCCTATGTTGGAAAAGGAAATATCTTCCCATAACAACTAGACAGAAGCATTCTCAGAAACTTATTTGAGATGTGTGTACTCAACTAAGAGAATTGAACCACCGTTTTGAAGGAGCAGTTTTGAAACACTCTTTTTCTGGAATCTGCAAGTGGATATTTGGCTAGCTTTGGGGATTTCGCTGGAAGCGGGAATACATATAAAAAGCACACAGCAGCGTTCTGAGAAACTGCTTTCTGATGTTTGCATTCAAGTCAAAAGTTGAACACTCCCTTTCATAGAGCAGTCTTGAAACACCCCTTTTGTAGTTTCTGGAACTGGACTTTTGGAGCGCTTTCAGGGCTAAGGTGAAAAAGGAAATATCTTCCCATAAAAACTGGACAGAAGCATTCTCAGAAACTTGTTTATGCTGTATCTACTCAACTAACAAAGTTGAACCTTTCTTTTGATAGAGCAGTTTTGAAATGCTCTTTTTGTGGAATCTGCAAGTGGATATTTGGCTAGTTTTGAGGATTTCGTTGGAAGCGGGAATTCATACAAATTGCAGACCTCAGCGTTCTGAGAAACATCTTTGTGATGTTTGTATTCAGGACACAGAGTTGAACATTCCCTATCATAGAGCAGGTTGGAATCACTCCTTTTGTAGTATCTGGAAGTGGACATTTGGAGCGCTTTCAGGCCTATGTTGAAAAAGGAAATATCTTCCCATAACAAGTAGACACAAGCATTCTCAGAAACTTGTTTGTGATGTGTGCCCTCTACTGACAGAGTTGAACCTTTCTTTTCATAGAGCAGTTTTGAAACACTCTTTTTGTAGAATCTGCAAGAGGATATTTGCATAGCTTTGAGGATTTCGTGGGAAACGGGATTGTCTTCAGGTAAAATCTAGACAGAAGCATTCTCAGAAACTTCTTTGGGATGTTTTGCATTCAAGTCACAGAGTAGAACATTCCCTTTGGTAGAGCAGGTTTGAAACACTCTTTTTGTAGTATCTGGAAGTGGACATTTGGAGCGCTTTCAGGCCTATGTTGGAAAGGGAAATATCTTCCGGTAACAACTAGGCAGAAGCATTCTCAGAAACTTATTTGAGATGTGTGTACTCAACTAAGAGAATTGAACCACCGTTTTGAAGGAGCAGTTTTGAAACACTCTTTTTCTGGAATCTGCAAGAGGATATTTGCCTAGCTTTGAGGATTTCGTTGGAAACGGGATTGTGTTCAGATCAAATCTAGACAGAAGCATTCTCAGAAACTTCTTTGGGATGTTTGCATTCAAGTCACAGAGTAGAACATTCCCTATGGTAGAGCAGGTGTGAAACACTCTTTTTTTAGTATATGGAAGTGGACATTTGGAGCGCTTTCAGGCCTACGTTGGAAAAGGAAATATCTTCCCATAACAACTAGACAGAAGCATTCTCAGAAACTAGTTTCTGATGTGTGTCCTCAACTAACACAGTTGAACATTTCTTTAGACAGAACAGTTTTGAAACTCTCTTTTTGTGGAATCTGCAAGTGGCTATTTGGCTAGATTTGAGGATTTCGTTGGAAACGGGATTACATATAAAAAGCAGACAGCAGCATTCTCAGAAAGTTCTTTGTGATGATTGCATTCAAGTCACAGAATTGAACATTCCCTTTCACAGAGCAGGTTTGAAACACTCTTTTTGTAGTGTGTGTAAGTGGACATTTGGAGCACTTTCCGGCCTAAGGTGAGAAAGGAAATATCTTCCCATAAAAACTAGACAGAAGCATTCTCAGAAACTTACTCGTGATGTGTGTCCTCAACTAAAGGAGTAGAACCTTTCTTTCATAGAGAAGTTTTGAAACGCTCTTTTTGTGGAATCTGCAAGTGGATATTTGGCTAGTTTGGAGGATTTCGTTGGAAGCGGGAATTCATACAAATTGCAGACTGCAGCGTTCTGAGAAACATCTTTGTGATGTTTGTATTCAGGACACAGAGTTGAACATTCCCTATCATAGAGCAGGTTGGAATCACTCCTTTTGTAGTATCTGGAAGTGGACATTTGGAGCGCTTTCAGGCCTATGTTGGAAAAGGAAATATCTTCCCATAACAACTAGACAGAAGCATTCTCAGAAACTTATTTGAGATGTGTGTATTCAACTAAGAGAATTGAACCACCGTTTTGAAGGAGCAGTTTTGAAACACTCTTTTTCTGGAATCTGCAAGTGGATATTTGGCTAGCTTTGGGGATTTCGCTGGAGGCGGGAATACATATAAAAAGCACACAGCAGCGTTCTGAGAAACTGCTTTCTGATGTTTGCATTCAAGTCAAAAGTTGAACACTCCCTTTCATAGAGCAGTCCTGAAACACTCCTTTTGTAGTATCTGGAACTGGACTTTTGGAGCGCTTTCAGGGCTAAGGTGAAAAAGGAAATATCTTCCCATAAAAACTGGACAGAAGCATTCTCAGAAACTTGTTTATGCTGTATCTACTCAACTAACAAAGTTGAACCTTTCTTTTGATAGAGGAGTTTTGAAATGCTCTTTTTGTGGAATCTGCAAGTGGATATTTGGCTAGTTTTGAGGATTTCGTTGGAAGCGGGAATTCATACAAATTGCAGACTGCAGCGTTCTGAGAAACATCTTTGTGATGTTTGCATTCAGGACAGAGAGTTGAACATTCCCTATCATAGAGCAGGTTGGAATCACTCCTTTTGTAGTATCTGGAAGTGGACATTTGGAGCGCTTTCAGGCCTATGTTGAAAAAGGAAATATCTTCCCATAACAACTAGACACAAGCATTCCCAAAAACTTATTTGAGATGTGTGTACTCAACTATGAGAATTGAACCACCGTTTTGAAGGAGCAGTTTGGAAACACTCTTTTTCTGGAATCTGCAAGTGGATATTTGGCTAGCTTTGGGGATTTCGCTGGAAGCGGGAATATATATAAAAAGCACACAGCAGCGTTCTGAGAAACTGCTTTCTGATGTTTGCATTCAAGTCAAAAGTTGAACACTCCCTTTCATAGAGCAGTCTTGAAACACCCCTTTTGTAGTATCTGGAACTGGACATTTGGAGCGCCTTCAGGGCTAAGGTGAAAAAGGAAATATCTTCCCATAAAAACTGGACAGAAGCATTCTCAGAAACTTGTTTATGCTGTATCTACTCAACTAACAAAGTTGAACCTTTCTTTTGATAGAGCAGTTTTGAAATGCTCTTTTTGTGGAATCTGCAAGTGGATATTTGGCTGGTTTTGAGGATTTCGTTGGAAGCGGGAATTCATACAAATTGCAGACTGCAGCGTTCTGAGAAACATCTTTGTGATGTTTGTATTCAAGACACAGAGATGAACATTCCCTATCATAGAGCAGGTTGGAATCACTCCTTTTGTAGTATCTGGAAGTGGACATTTGGAGCGCTTTCAGGCCTATGTTGAAAAAGGAAATATCTTCCCATAACAACTAGACACAAGCATTCTCAGAAACTTGTTTGTGATGTGTGCCCTCTACTGACAGAGTTGAACCTTTCTTTTCATAGAGCAGTTTTGAAACACTCTTTTTGTAGAATCCGCAAGAGGATATTTGCATAGCTTTGAGGATTTCGTGGGAAACGGGATTGTCTTCAGGTAAAATCTAGACAGAAGCATTCTCAGAAACTTCTTTGGGATGTTTGCATTCAAGTCACAGAGTAGAACATTCCCTTTGGTAGAGCAGGTTTGAAACACTCTTTTTGTAGTATCTGGAAGTGGACATTTGGAGCGCTTTCAGGCCCATGTTGGAAAGGGAAATATCTTCCCGTAACAACTAGGCAGAAGCATTCTCAGAAACTTATTTGAGATGTGTGTACTCAACTAAGAGAATTGAACCACCGTTTTGAAGGAGCAGTTTTGAAACCCTCTTTTTCTGGAATCTGCAAGAGTATATTTGCCTAGCCTTGAGGATTTCGTTGGAAACGGGATTGTCTTCAGATAAAATCTAGACAGAAGCATTCTCAGAAACTTCTTTGGGATGTTTGCATTCAAGTCACAGAGTAGAACATTCCCTTTGGTAGAGCAGGTTTGAAACACTCTTTTTTTAGTATATGGAAGTGGACATTTGGAGCGCTTTCAGGCCTACGTTGGAAAAGGAAATATCTTCCCATAACAACTAGACAGAAGCATTCTCAGAAACTAGTTTCTGATGTGTGTCCTCAACTAACACAGTTGAACTTTTCTTTAGACAGAACAGTTTTGAAACACTCTTTTTGTGGAATCTGCAAGTGGATATTGGGCTAGATTTGAGGATTTCGTTGGAAACGGGATTACATATAAAAAGCAGACAGCAGCATTCTCAGAAAGTTCTTTGTGATGATTGCATTCAAGTCACAGAATTGAACATTCCCTTTCACAGAGCAGGTTTGAAACACTCTTTTTGTAGTGTGTGTAAGTGGACATTTGGAGCGCTTTCCGGCCTAAGGTGAAAAAGGACATATCTTCCCATAAAAATTAGACAGAAGCATTCTCAGAAACTTACTCGTGATGTGTGTCCTCAACTAAAGGAGTAGAACCTTTCTATTCATAGAGAAGTTTTGAAACGCTCTTTTTGTGGAATCTCCAAGTGGATATTTGGCTAGTTTTGAGGATTTCGTTGGAAGCGGGAATTCATACAAATTGCAGACTGCAGCGTTCTGAGAAACATCTTTGTGATGTTTGTATTCAAGACACAGAGATGAACATTCCCTCTCATAGAGCATGTTGGAATCACTCCTTTTGTAGTATCTGGAAGTGGACATTTGGAGCGCTTTCAGGCCTATGTTGAAAAAGGAAATATCTTCCCATAACAACTAGACAGAAGCATTGCTCAGAAACTTATTTGAGATGTGTGTACTCAACTAAGAGAATTGAACCACCGTTTTGAAGGAGCAGTTTTGAAACTCTCTTTTTCTGGAATCTGCAAGTGGATATTTGGCTAGCTTTGGGGATTTCGCTGGAAGCGGGAATACATATAAAAAGCACACAGCAGCGTTCTGAGAAACTGCTTTCTGATGTTTGCATTCAAGTCAAAAGTTGAACACTCCCTTTCATAGAGCAGTCTTGAAACACCCCTTTTGTAGTATCTGGAACTGGACTTTTGGAGCGATTTCAGGGCTAAGGTGAAAAAGGAAATATCTTCCCATAAAAACTGGACAGAAGCATTCTCAGAAACTTGTTTATGCTGTATCTACTCAACTAACAAAGTTGAACCTTTCTTTTGATAGAGCAGTTTTGAAATGGTCTTTTTGTGGAATCTGCAAGTGGATATTTGGCTAGTTTTGAGGATTTCGTTGGAAGCGGGAATTCATACAAATTGCAGACTGCAGCGTTCTGAGAAACATCTTTGTGATGTTTGTATTCAGGACACAGAGTTGAACATTCCCTATCATAGAGCAGGTTGGAATCACTCCTTTTGTAGTATCTGGAAGTGGACATTTGGAGCGCTTTCAGGCCTATTTTGGAAAGGGAAATATCTTCCCGTAACAACTATGCAGAAGCATTCTCAGAAACTTGTTTGTGATGTGTGCCCTCTACTGACAGAGTTGAACCTTTCTTTTCATAGAGCAGTTTTGAAACACTCTTTTTGTAGAATCTGCAAGAGGATATTTGCATAGCTTTGAGGATTTCGTGGGAAACGGGATTGTCTTCAGGTAAAATCTAGACAGAAGCATTCTCAGAAACTTCTTTGGGATGTTTGCATTCAAGTCACAGAGTAGAACATTCCCTTTGGTAGAGCAGGTTTGAAACACTCTTTTTGTAGTATCTGGAAGTGGACATTTGGAGCGCTTTCAGGCCCATGTTGGAAAGGGAAATATCTTCCCGTAACAACTAGGCAGAAGCATTCTCAGAAACTTATTTGAGATGTGTGTACTCAACTAAGAGAATTGAACCACCGTTTTGAAGGAGCAGTTTTGAAACACTCTTTTTCTGGAATCTGCAAGAGTATATTTGCCTAGCCTTGAGGATTTCGTTGGAAACGGGATTGTCTTCAGAGAAAATCTAGACAGAAGCATTCTCAGAAACTTCTTTGGGATGCTTGCATTCCAGTCACAGAGTAGAACATTCCCTTTGGTAGAGCAGGTTTGAAACACTCTTTTTGTAGTATCTGGAAGTGGACATTTGGAGCGCTTTCAGGCCTACGTTGGAAAAGGAAATATCTTCCCATAACAACTAGACAGAAGCATTCTCAGAAACTAGTTTCTGATGTGTGTCCTCAACTAACACAGTTGAACATTTCTTTAGACAGAACAGTTTTGAAACACTCTTTTTGTGGAATCTGCAAGTGGCTATTTGGCTAGATTTGAGGATTTCGTTGGAAACGGGATTACATATAAAAAGCAGTCAGCAGCATTCTCAGAAAGTTCTTTGTGATGATTGCATTCAAGTCACAGAATTGAACATTCCCTTTCACAGAGCAGGTTTGAAACACTCTTTTTGTAGTGTGTGTAAGTGGACATTTGGAGCACTTACCGGCCTAAGGTGAAAAAGGAAATATCTTCCCATAAAAACTAGACAGAAGCATTCTCAGAAACTTACTCGTGATGTGTGTCCTCAACTAAAGGAGTAGAACCTTTCTTTTCATAGAGAAGTTTTGAAACGCTCTTTTTGTGGAATCTGCAAGTGGATATTTGGCTAGTTTTGAGGATTTCGTTGGAAGCGGGAATTCATACAAATTGCAGACTGCAGCGTTCTGAGAAACATCTTTGTGATGTTTGTATTCAGGACACAGAGTTGAACATTCCCTATCATAGAGCAGGTTGGAATCACTCCTTTTGTAGTATCTGGAAGTGGACATTTGGAGCGCTTTCAGGCCTATGTTGGAAAAGGAAATATCTTCCCATAACAACTAGACAGAAGCATTCTCAGAAACTTATTTGAGATGTGTGTACTCAACTAAGAGAATTGAACCACCGTTTTGAAGGAGCAGTTTTGAAACTCTCTTTTTCTGGAATCTGCAAGTGGATATTTGGCTAGCTTTGGGGATTTCGCTGGAAGCGGGAATACATATAAAAAGCACACAGCAGCGTTCTGAGAAACTGCTTTCTGATGTTTGCATTCAAGTCAAAAGTTGAACACTCCCTTTCATAGAGCAGTCTTGAAACACCCCTTTTGTAGTATCTGGAACTGGACTTTTGGAGCGATTTCAGGGCTAAGGTGAAAAAGGAAATATCTTCCCATAAAAACTGGACAGAAGCATTCTCAGAAACTTGTTTATGCTGTATCTACTCAACTAACAAAGTTGAACCTTTCTTTTGATAGAGCAGTTTTGAAATGGTCTTTTTGTGGAATCTGCAAGTGGATATTTGGCTAGTTTTGAGGATTTCGTTGGAAGCGGGAATTCATACAAATTGCAGACTGCAGCGTTCTGAGAAACATCTTTGTGATGTTTGTATTCAGGACACAGAGTTGAACATTCCCTATCATAGAGCAGGTTGGAATCACTCCTTTTGTAGTATCTGGAAGTGGACATTTGGAGCGCTTTCAGGCCTATTTTGGAAAGGGAAATATCTTCCCGTAACAACTATGCAGAAGCATTCTCAGAAACTTGTTTGTGATGTGTGCCCTCTACTGACAGAGTTGAACCTTTCTTTTCATAGAGCAGTTTTGAAACACTCTTTTTGTAGAATCTGCAAGAGGATATTTGCATAGCTTTGAGGATTTCGTGGGAAACGGGATTGTCTTCAGGTAAAATCTAGACAGAAGCATTCTCAGAAACTTCTTTGGGATGTTTGCATTCAAGTCACAGAGTAGAACATTCCCTTTGGTAGAGCAGGTTTGAAACACTCTTTTTGTAGTATCTGGAAGTGGACATTTGGAGCGCTTTCAGGCCCATGTTGGAAAGGGAAATATCTTCCCGTAACAACTAGGCAGAAGCATTCTCAGAAACTTATTTGAGATGTGTGTACTCAACTAAGAGAATTGAACCACCGTTTTGAAGGAGCAGTTTTGAAACACTCTTTTTCTGGAATCTGCAAGAGTATATTTGCCTAGCCTTGAGGATTTCGTTGGAAACGGGATTGTCTTCAGATAAAATCTAGACAGAAGCATTCTCAGAAACTTCTTTGGGATGTTTGCATTCAAGTCACAGAGTAGAACATTCCCTTTGGTAGAGCAGGTTTGAAACAGTCTTTTTTTAGTATATGGAAGTGGACATTTGGAGCGCTTTCAGGCCTACGTTGGAAAAGGAAATATCTTCCCATAACAACTAGACAGAAGCATTCTCAGAAACTAGTTTCTGATGTGTGTCCTCAACTAACACAGTTGTACATTTCTTTAGACAGAACAGTTTTGAAACACTCTTTTTGTGGAATCTGCAAGTGGATATTGGGCTAGATTTGAGGATTTCGTTGGAAACGGGATTACATATAAAAAGCAGTCAGCAGCATTCTCAGAAAGTTCTTTGTGATGATTGCATTCAAGTCACAGAATTGAACATTCCCTTTCACAGAGCAGGTTTGAAACACTCTTTTTGTAGTGTGTGTAAGTGGACATTTGGAGCGCTTTCCGGCCTAAGGTGAAAAAGGACATATCTTCCCATAAAAACTAGACAGAAGCATTCTCAGAAACTTACTCGTGATGTGTGTCCTCAACTAAAGGAGTAGAACCTTCCTATTCATAGAGAAGTTTTGAAACGCTCTTTTTGTGGAATCTCCAAGTGGATATTTGGCTAGTTTTGAGGATTTCGTTGGAAGCGGGAATTCATACAAATTGCAGACTGCAGCGTTATGAGAAACATCTTTGTGATGTTTTTATTCAGGACACAGAGATGAACATTCCCTATCATAGAGCAGGTTGGAATCACTCCTTTTGTAGTATCTGGAAGTGGACATTTGGAGCGCTTTCAGGCCTATGTTGAAAAAGGAAATATCTTCCCATAACAACTAGACACAAGCATTCTCAGAAACTTATTTGAGATGTGTGTACTCAACTAAGAGAATTGAACCACCGTTTTGAAGGAGCAGTTTTGACACACTCTTTTTCTGGAATCTGCAAGTGGATATTTGGCTAGCTTTGGGGATTTCGCTGGAAGCGGGAATACATATAAAAAGCACACAGCAGCGTTCTGAGAAACTGCTTTCTGATGTTTGCATTCAAGTCAAAAGTTGAACACTCCCTTTCATAGAGCAGTCTTGAAACACCCCTTTTGTAGTATCTGGAACTGGACTTTTTGAGCGATTTCAGGGCTAAGGTGAAAAAGGAAATATCTTCCCATAAAAACTGGACAGAAGCATTCTCAGAAACTTGTTTATGCTGTATCTACTCAACTAACAAAGTTGAACCTTTCTTTTGATAGAGCAGTTTTGAAATGGTCTTTTTGTGGAATCTGCAAGTGGATATTTGGCTAGTTTTGAGGATTTCGTTGGAAGCGGGAATTCATACAAATTGCAGACTGCAGCGTTCTGAGAAACATCTTTGTGATGTTTGTATTCAGGACACAGAGTTGAACATTCCCTATCATAGAGCAGGTTGGAATCACTCCTTTTGTAGTATCTGGAAGTGGACATTTGGAGCGCTTTCAGGCCTATTTTGGAAAGGGAAATATCTTCCCGTAACAACTATGCAGAAGCATTCTCAGAAACTTGTTTGTGATGTGTGCCCTCTACTGACAGAGTTGAACCTTTCTTTTCATAGAGCAGTTTTGAAACACTCTTTTTGTAGAATCTGCAAGAGGATATTTGCATAGCTTTGAGGATTTCGTGGGAAACGGGATTGTCTTCAGGTAAAATCTAGACAGAAGCATTCTCAGAAACTTCTTTGGGATGTTTGCATTCAAGTCACAGAGTAGAACATTCCCTTTGGTAGAGCAGGTTTGAAACACTCTTTTTGTAGTATCTGGAAGTGGACATTTGGAGCGCTTTCAGGCCTATGTTGGAAAGGGAAATATCTTCCCGTAACAACTAGGCAGAAGCATTCTCAGAAACTTATTTGAGATGTGTGTACTCAACTAAGAGAATTGAACCACCGTTTTGAAGGAGCAGTTTTGAAACACTCTTTTTCTGGAATCTGCAAGAGGATATTTGCCTAGCCTTGAGGATTTCGTTGGAAACGGGATTGTCTTCAGATAAAATCTAGACAGAAGCATTCTCAGAAAACTTCTTTGGGATGTTTGCATTCAAGTCACAGAGTAGAACATTCCCTTTGGTAGAGCAGGTGTGAAACACTCTTTTTTTAGTATATGGAAGTGGACATTTGGAGCGCTTTCAGGCCTACGTTGGAAAAGGAAATATCTTCCCATAACAACTAGACAGAAGCATTCTCAGAAACTAGTTTCTGATGTGTGTCCTCAACTAACACAGTTGAACTTTTCTTTAGACAGAACAGTTTTGAAACACTCTTTTTGTGGAATCTGCAAGTGGATATTTGGCTAGATTTGAGGATTTCGTTGGAAACGGGATTACATATAAAAAGCAGACAGCAGCATTCTCAGAAAGTTCTTTGTGATGATTGCATTCAAGTCACAGAATTGAACATTCCCTTTCACATAGCAGGTTTGAAACACTCTTTTTGTAGTGTGTGTAAGTGGACATTTGGAGCGCTTTCCGGCCTAAGGTGAAAAAGGAAATATCTTCCCATAAAAACTAGACAGAAGCATTCTCAGAAACTTACTCGTGATGTGTGTCCTCAACTAAAGGAGTAGAACCTTTCTATTCATAGAGAAGTTTTGAAATGCTCTTTTTGTGGAATCTCCAAGTGGATATTTGGCTAGTTTTGAGGATTTCGTTGGAAGCGGGAATTCATACAAATTGCAGACTGCAGCGTTCTGAGAAACATCTTTGTGATGTTTGTATTCAGGACACAGAGATGAACATTCCCTATCATAGAGCAGGTTGGAATCACTCCTTTTGTAGTATCTGGAAGTGGACATTTGGAGCGCTTTCAGGCCTATGTTGAAAAAGGAAATATCTTCCCATAACAACTAGACACAAGCATTCTCAGAAACTTGTTTGTGATGTGTGCCCTCTACTGACAGAGTTGAACCTTTCTTTTCATAGAGCAGTTTTGAAACACTCTTTTTGTAGAATCTGCAAGAGGATATTTGCATAGCTTTGAGGATTTCGTGGGAAACGGGATTGTCTTCAGGTAAAATCTAGACAGAAGCATTCTCAGAAACTTCTTTGGGATGTTTACATTCAAGTCACAGAGTAGAACATTCCCTTTGGTAGAGCAGGTTTGAAACCCTCTTTTTGTAGTATCTGGAAGTGGACATTTGGAGCGCTTTCTGGCCCATGTTGCAAAGGGAAATATCTTCCCGTAACAACTAGGCAGAAGCATTCTCAGAAACTTATTTGAGATGTGTGTACTCAACTAAGAGAATTGAACCACCGTTTTGAAGGAGCAGTTTTGAAACACTCTTTTTCTGGAATCTGCAAGAGGATATTTGCCTAGCCTTGAGGATTTCGTTGGAAACGGGATTGTCTTCAGATCAAATCTAGACAGAAGCATTCTCAGAAACTTCTTTGGGATGTTTGCATTCATGTCACAGAGTAGAACATTCCCTTTGGTAGAGCAGGTTTGAAACACTCTTTTTTTAGTATATGGAAGTGGACATTTGGAGCGCTTTCAGGCCTACGTTGGAAAAGGAAATATCTTCCCATAACAACTAGACAGAAGCATTCTCAGAAACTAGTTTCTGATGTGTGTCCTCAACTAACACAGTTGAACATTTCTTTAGACAGAACAGTTTTGAAACACTCTTTTTGTGGAATCTGCAAGTGGCTATTTGGCTAGATTTGAGGATTTCGTTGGAAACGGGATTACATATAAAAAGCAGTCAGCAGCATTCTCAGAAAGTTCTTTGTGATGATTGCATTCAAGTCACAGAAATTGAACATTCCCTTTCACAGAGCAGGTTTGAAACACTCTTTTTGTAGTGTGTGTAAGTGGACATTTGGAGCGCTTTCCGGCCTAAGGTGAAAAAGGAAATATCTTCCCATAAAAACTAGACAGAAGCATTCTCAGAAACTTACTCGTGATGTGTGTCCTCAACTAAAGGAGTAGAACCTTTCTTTTCATAGAGAAGTTTTGAAACGCTCTTTTTGTGGAATCTGCAAGTGGATATTTGGCTAGTTTGGAGGATTTCGTTGGAAGCGGGAATTCATACAAATTGCAGACTGCAGCGTTCTGAGAAACATCTTTGTGATGTTTGTATTCAGGACACAGAGTTGAACATTCCCTATCATAGAGCAGGTTGGAATCACTCCTTTTGTAGTATCTGGAAGTGGACATTTGGAGCGCTTTCAGGCCTATGTTGGAAAAGGAAATATCTTCCCATAACAACTAGACAGAAGCATTCTCAGAAACTTATTTGAGATGTGTGTACTCAACTAAGAGAATTGAACCACCGTTTTGAAGGAGCAGTTTTGAAACACTCTTTTTCTGGAATCTGCAAGTGGATATTTGGCTAGCTTTGGGGATTTCGCTGGAAGCGGGAATACATATAAAAAGCACACAGCAAGCGTTCTGAGAAACTTCTTTCTGATGTTCGCATTCAAGTCAAAAGTTGAACACTCCCTTTCATAGAGCAGTCTTGAAACTCCCCTTTTGTGGTATCTGGAAGTGGTCATTTGGAGTGCTTTCAGGGCTAAGGTGAAAAAGGAAATATCTTCCCATAAAAACTGGACAGAGAAGCATTCTCAGAAACTTGTTTATGCTGTATCTACTCAACTAACAAAGTTGAACCTTTCTTTTGATAGAGCAGTTTTGAAATGGTCTTTTTGTGGAATCTGCAAGTGGATATTTGGCTAGTTTTGAGGATTTCGTTGGAAGCGGGAATTCATACAAATTGCAGACTGCAGCGTTCTGAGAAACATCTTTGTGATGTTTGTATTCAGGACACAGAGTTGAACATTCCCTATCATAGAGCAGGTTGGAATCACTCCTTTTGTAGTATCTGGAAGTGGACATTTGGAGCGCTTTCAGGCCTATTTTGGAAAGGGAAATATCTTCCCGTAACAACTATGCAGAAGCATTCTCAGAAACTTGTTTGTGATGTGTGCCCTCTACTGACAGAGTTGAACCTTTCTTTTCATAGAGCAGTTTTGAAACACTCTTTTTGTAGAATCTGCAAGAGGATATTTGCATAGCTTTGAGGATTTCGTGGGAAACGGGATTGTCTTCAGGTAAAATCTAGACAGAAGCATTCTCAGAAACTTCTTTGGGATGTTTGCATTCAAGTCACAGAGTAGAACATTCCCTTTGGTAGAGCAGGTTTGAAACACTCTTTTTGTAGTATCTGGAAGTGGACATTTGGAGCGCTTTCAGGCCCATGTTGGAAAGGGAAATATCTTCCCGTAACAACTAGGCAGAAGCATTCTCAGAAACTTATTTGAGATGTGTGTACTCAACTAAGAGAATTGAACCACCGTTTTGAAGGAGCAGTTTTGAAACACTCTTTTTCTGGAATCTGCAAGAGTATATTTGCCTAGCCTTGAGGATTTCGTTGGAAACGGGATTGTCTTCAGAGAAAATCTAGACAGAAGCATTCTCAGAAACTTCTTTGGGATGTTTGCATTCAAGTCACAGAGTAGAACATTCCCTTTGGTAGAGCAGGTTTGAAACACTCTTTTTTTAGTATATGGAAGTGGACATTTGGATCGCTTTCAGGCCTACGTTGGAAAAGGAAATATCTTCCCATAACAACTAGACAGAAGCATTCTCAGAAACTAGTTTCTGATGTGTGTCCTCAACTAACACAGTTGTACATTTCTTTACACAGAACAGTTTTGAAACACTCTTTTTGTGGAATCTGCAAGTGGATATTGGGCTAGATTTGAGGATTTCGTTGGAAACGGGATTACATATAAAAAGCAGTCAGCAGCATTCTCAGAAAGTTCTTTGTGATGATTGCATTCAAGTCACAGAATTGAACATTCCCTTTCACAGAGCAGGTTTGAAACACTCTTTTTGTAGTGTGTGTAAGTGGACATTTGGAGCACTTACCGGCCTAAGGTGAAAAAGGAAATATCTTCCCATAAAAACTAGACAGAAGCATTCTCAGAAACTTACTCGTGATGTGTGTCCTCAACTAAAGGAGTAGAACCTTTCTTTTCATAGAGAAGTTTTGAAACGCTCTTTTTGTGGAATCTGCAAGTGGATATTTGGCTAGTTTTGAGGATTTCGTTGGAAGCGGGAATTCATACAAATTGCAGACTGCAGCGTTCTGAGAAACATCTTTGTGATGTTTGTATTCAGGACACAGAGTTGAACATTCCCTATCATAGAGCAGGTTGGAATCACTCCTTTTGTAGTATCTGGAAGTGGACATTTGGAGCGCTTTCAGGCCTATGTTGGAAAAGGAAATATCTTCCCATAACAACTAGACAGAAGCATTCTCAGAAACTTATTTGAGATGTGTGTACTCAACTAAGAGAATTGAACCACCGTTTTGAAGGAGCAGTTTTGAAACTCTCTTTTTCTGGAATCTGCAAGTGGATATTTGGCTAGCTTTGGGGATTTCGCTGGAAGCGGGAATACATATAAAAAGCACACAGCAGCGTTCTGAGAAACTGCTTTCTGATGTTTGCATTCAAGTCAAAAGTTGAACACTCCCTTTCATAGAGCAGTCTTGAAACACCCCTTTTGTAGTATCTGGAACTGGACTTTTGGAGCGATTTCAGGGCTAAGGTGAAAAAGGAAATATCTTCCCATAAAAACTGGACAGAAGCATTCTCAGAAACTTGTTTATGCTGTATCTACTCAACTAACAAAGTTGAACCTTTCTTTTGATAGAGCAGTTTTGAAATGGTCTTTTTGTGGAATCTGCAAGTGGATATTTGGCTAGTTTTGAGGATTTCGTTGGAAGCGGGAATTCATACAAATTGCAGACTGCAGCGTTCTGAGAAACATCTTTGTGATGTTTGTATTCAGGACACAGAGTTGAACATTCCCTATCATAGAGCAGGTTGGAATCACTCCTTTTGTAGTATCTGGAAGTGGACATTTGGAGCGCTTTCAGGCCTATTTTGGAAAGGGAAATATCTTCCCGTAACAACTATGCAGAAGCATTCTCAGAAACTTGTTTGTGATGTGTGCCCTCTACTGACAGAGTTGAACCTTTCTTTTCATAGAGCAGTTTTGAAACACTCTTTTTGTAGAATCTGCAAGAGGATATTTGCATAGCTTTGAGGATTTCGTGGGAAACGGGATTGTCTTCAGGTAAAATCTAGACAGAAGCATTCTCAGAAACTTCTTTGGGATGTTTGCATTCAAGTCACAGAGTAGAACATTCCCTTTGGTAGAGCAGGTTTGAAACACTCTTTTTGTAGTATCTGGAAGTGGACATTTGGAGCGCTTTCAGGCCCATGTTGGAAAGGGAAATATCTTCCCGTAACAACTAGGCAGAAGCATTCTCAGAAACTTATTTGAGATGTGTGTACTCAACTAAGAGAATTGAACCACCGTTTTGAAGGAGCAGTTTTGAAACACTCTTTTTCTGGAATCTGCAAGAGGATATTTGCCTAGCCTTGAGGATTTCGTTGGAAACGGGATTGTCTTCAGAGAAAATCTAGACAGAAGCATTCTCAGAAACTTCTTTGGGATGCTTGCATTCAAGTCACAGAGTAGAACATTCCCTTTGGTAGAGCAGGTTTGAAACACTCTTTTTGTAGTATCTGGAAGTGGACATTTGGAGCGCTTTCAGGCCTACGTTGGAAAAGGAAATATCTTCCCATAACAACTAGACAGAAGCATTCTCAGAAACTCGTTTCTGATGTGTGTCCTCAACTAACACAGTTGAACATTTCTTTAGACAGAACAGTTTTGAAACACTCTTTTTGTGGAATCTGCAAGTGGCTATTTGGCTAGATTTGAGGATTTCGTTGGAAACGGGATTACATATAAAAAGCAGTCAGCAGCATTCTCAGAAAGTTCTTTGTGATGATTGCATTCAAGTCACAGAATTGAACATTCCCTTTCACAGAGCAGGTTTGAAACACTCTTTTTGTAGTGTGTGTAAGTGGACATTTGGAGCACTTACCGGCCTAAGGTGAAAAAGGAAATATCTTCCCATAAAAACTAGACAGAAGCATTCTCAGAAACTTACTCGTGATGTGTGTCCTCAACTAAAGGAGTAGAACCTTTCTTTTCATAGAGAAGTTTTGAAACGCTCTTTTTGTGGAATCTGCAAGTGGATATTTGGCTAGTTTTGAGGATTTCGTTGGAAGCGGGAATTCATACAAATTGCAGACTGCAGCGTTCTGAGAAACATCTTTGTCATGTTTGTATTCAGGACACAGAGTTGAACATTCCCTATCATAGAGCAGGTTTGAATCACTCCTTTTGTAGTATCTGGAAGTGGACATTTGGATTGCTTTCAGGCCTATGTTGGAAAAGGAAATATCTTCCCATAACAACTAGACAGAAGCATTCTCAGAAACTTATTTGAGATGTGTGTACTCAACTAAGAGAATTGAACCACCGTTTTGAAGGAGCAGTTTTGAAACTCTCTTTTTCTGGAATCTGCAAGTGGATATTTGGCTAGCTTTGGGGATTTCGCTGGAAGCGGGAATACATATAAAAAGCACACAGCAGCGTTCTGAGAAACTGCTTTCTGATGTTTGCATTCAAGTCAAAAGTTGAACACTCCCTTTCATAGAGCAGTCTTGAAACACCCCTTTTGTAGTATCTGGAACTGGACTTTTGGAGCGATTTCAGGGCTAAGGTGAAAAAGGAAATATCTTCCCATAAAAACTGGACAGAAGCATTCTCAGAAACTTGTTTATGCTGTATCTACTCAACTAACAAAGTTGAACCTTTCTTTTGATAGAGCAGTTTTGAAATGGTCTTTTTGTGGAATCTGCAAGTGGCTATTTGGCTAGTTTTGAGGATTTCGTTGGAAGCGGGAATTCATACAAATTGCAGACTGCAGCGTTCTGAGAAACATCTTTGTGATGTTTGTATTCAGGACACAGAGTTGAACATTCCCTATCATAGAGCAGGTTGGAATCACTCCTTTTGTAGTATCTGGAAGTGGACATTTGGAGCGCTTTCAGGCCTATTTTGGAAAGGGAAATATCTTCCCGTAACAACTATGCAGAAGCATTCTCAGAAACTTGTTTGTGATGTGTGCCCTCTACTGACAGAGTTGAACCTTTCTTTTCATAGAGCAGTTTTGAAACACTCTTTTTGTAGAATCTGCAAGAGGATATTTGCATAGCTTTGAGGATTTCGTGGGAAACGGGATTGTCTTCAGGTAAAATCTAGACAGAAGCATTCTCAGAAACTTCTTTGGGATGTTTGCATTCAAGTCACAGAGTAGAACATTCCCTTTGGTAGAGCAGGTTTGAAACACTCTTTTTGTAGTATCTGGAAGTGGACATTTGGAGCGCTTTCAGGCCCATGTTGGAAAGGGAAATATCTTCCCGTAACAACTAGGCAGAAGCATTCTCAGAAACTTATTTGAGATGTGTGTACTCAACTAAGAGAATTGAACCACCGTTTTGAAGGAGCAGTTTTGAAACACTCTTTTTCTGGAATCTGCAAGAGGATATTTGCCTAGCTTTGAGGATTTCGTTGGAAACGGGATTGTGTTCAGATCAAATCTAGACAGAAGCATTCTCAGAAACTTCTTTGGGATGTTTGCATTCAAGTCACAGAGTAGAACATTCCCTTTGGTAGAGCAGGTTTGAAACACTCTTTTTTTAGTATATGGAAGTGGACATTTGGAGCGCTTTCAGGCCTACGTTGGAAAAGGAAATATCTTCCCATAACAACTAGACAGAAGCATTCTCAGAAACTAGTTTCTGATGTGTGTCCTCAACTAACACAGTTGAACATTTCTTTAGACAGAACAGTTTTGAAACTCTCTTTTTGTGGAATCTGCAAGTGGCTATTTGGCTAGATTTGAGGATTTCGTTGGAAACGGGATTACATATAAAAAGCAGACACCAGCATTCTCAGAAAGTTCTTTGTGATGATTGCATTCAAGTCACAGAATTGAACATTCCCTTTCACAGAGCAGGTTTGAAACACTCTTTTTGTAGTGTGTGTAAGTGGACATTTGGAGCACTTTCCGGCCTAAGGTGAGAAAGGAAATATCTTCCCATAAAAACTAGACAGAAGCATTCTCAGAAACTTACTCGTGATGTGTGTCCTCAACTAAAGGAGTAGAACCTTTCTTTCATAGAGAAGTTTTGAAACGCTCTTTTTGTGGAATCTGCAAGTGGATATTTGGCTAGTTTGGAGGATTTCGTTGGAAGCGGGAATTCATACAAATTGCAGACTGCAGCGTTCTGAGAAACATCTTTGTGATGTTTGTATTCAGGACACAGAGTTGAACATTCCCTATCATAGAGCAGGTTTGAATCACTCCTTTTGTAGTATCTGGAAGTGGACATTTGGAGCGCTTTCAGGCCCTATGTTGGAAAAGGAAATATCTTCCCATAACAAATAGACAGGAAGCATTCTCAGAAACTTATTTGAGATGTGTGTACTCAACTAAGAGAATTGAACCACCGTTTTGAAGGAGCAGTTTTGAAACACTTTTTCTGGAATCTGCAAGTGGATATTTGGCTAGCTTTGGGGATTTCGCTGGAAGCGGGAATACATATAAAAAGCATACAGCAGCGTTCTGAGAAACTGCTTTCTGATGTTTGCATTCAAGTCAAAAGTTGAACACTCCCTTTCATAGTGCAGTCCTGAAACACTCCTTTTGTAGTATCTGGAACTGGACTTTTGGAGCGCTTTCAGGGCTAAGGTGAAAAAGGAAATATCTTCCCATAAAAACTGGACAGGAAGCATTCTCACAAACTTATTTGAGATGGGTGTAGTCAACTAAGAGAATTGAACCACCGTTTTCAAGGAGCAGTTTTGAAACGCTCTTTTTCTGGAATCTGCAAGTGGATATTTGGCTAGCTTTGGGGATTTCGCTGGAAGCGGGAATACATATAAAAAACACACAGCAGCGTTCTGAGAAACTGCTTTCTGATGTTTGCATTCAAATCAAAAGTTGAACACTCCCTTTCATAGAGCAGTCTTGAAACACCCCTTTTGTAGTATCTGGAACTGGACATTTGGGGCGCTTTCAGGGCTAAGGTGAAAAAGGAAATATCTTCCCATAAAAACTGGACAGAAGCATTCTCAGAAACTTGTTTATGCTGTATCTACTCAACTAACAAAGTTGAACCTTTCTTTTGATAGAGCAGTTTTGAAATGGTCTTTTTGTGGAATCTGCAAGTGGATATTTGGCTAGTTTTGAGGATTTCGTTGGAAGCGGGAATTCATACAAATTGCAGACTGCAGCGTTCTGAGAAACATCTTTGTGATGTTTGTATTCAGGACACAGAGTTGAACATTCCCTATCATAGAGCAGGTTGGAATCACTCCTTTTGTAGTATCTGGAAGTGGACATTTGGAGCGCTTTCAGGCCTATTTTGGAAAGGGAAATATCTTCCCGTAACAACTATGCAGAAGCATTCTCAGAAACTTGTTTGTGATGTGTGCCCTCTACTGACAGAGTTGAACCTTTCTTTTCATAGAGCAGTTTTGAAACACTCTTTTTGTAGAATCTGCAAGAGGATATTTGCATAGCTTTGAGGATTTCGTGGGAAACGGGATTGTCTTCAGGTAAAATCTAGACAGAAGCATTCTCAGAAACTTCTTTGGGATGTTTGCATTCAAGTCACAGAGTAGAACATTCCCTTTGGTAGAGCAGGTTTGAAACACTCTTTTTGTAGTATCTGGAAGTGGACATTTGGAGCGCTTTCAGGCCCATGTTGGAAAGGGAAATATCTTCCCGTAACAACTAGGCAGAAGCATTCTCAGAAACTTATTTGAGATGCGTGGACTCAACTAAGAGAATTGAACCACCGTTTTGAAGGAGCAGTTTTGAAACACTCTTTTTCTGGAATCTGCAAGAGTATATTTGCCTAGCCTTGAGAATTTCGTTGGAAACGGGATTGTCTTCAGATAAAATCTAGACAGAAGCATTCTCACAAACTTCGTTGGGATGTTTGCATTCAAGTCACAGAGTAGAACATTCCCTTTGGTAGAGCAGGTTTGAAACACTCTTTTTTTAGTATATGGAAGTGGACATTTGGAGCGCTTTCAGGCCTTACGTTGGAAAAGGAAATATCTTCCCATAACAACTAGACAGAAGCATTCTCAGAAACTAGTTTCTGATGTGTGTCCTCAACTAACACAGTTGAACATTTCTTTAGACAGAACAGTTTTGAAACACTCTTTTTGTGGAATCTGCAAGTGGCTATTTGGCTAGATTTGAGGATTTCGTTGGAAACGGGATTACATATAAAAAGCAGTCAGCAGCATTCTCAGAAAGTTCTTTGTGATGATTGCATTCAAGTCACAGAATTGAACATTCCCTTTCACAGAGCAGGTTTGAAACACTCTTTTTGTAGTGTGTGTAAGTGGACATTTGGAGCACTTACCGGCCTAAGGTGAAAAAGGAAATATCTTCCCATAAAAACTAGACAGAAGCATTCTCAGAAACTTACTCGTGATGTGTGTCCTCAACTAAAGGAGTAGAACCTTTCTTTTCATAGAGAAGTTTTGAAACGCTCTTTTTGTGGAATCTGCAAGTGGATATTTGGCTAGTTTTGAGGATTTCGTTGGAAGCGGGAATTCATACAAATTGCAGACTGCAGCGTTCTGAGAAACATCTTTGTGATGTTTGTATTCAGGACACAGAGTTGAACATTCCCTATCATAGAGCAGGTTGGAATCACTCCTTTTGTAGTATCTGGAAGTGGACATTTGGAGCGCTTTCAGGCCTATGTTGGAAAAGGAAATATCTTCCCATAACAACTAGACAGAAGCATTCTCAGAAACTTATTTGAGATGTGTGTACTCAACTAAGAGAATTGAACCACCGTTTTGAAGGAGCAGTTTTGAAACACTCTTTTTCTGGAATCTGCAAGTGGATATTTGGCTAGCTTTGGGGATTTCGCTGGAAGCGGGAATACATATAAAAAGCACACAGCAGCGTTCTGAGAAACTGCTTTCTGATGTTTGCATTCAAGTCAAAAGTTGAACACTCCCTTTCATAGAGCAGTCTTGAAACACCCGTTTTGTAGTATCTGGAACTGGACTTTTGGAGCGATTTCAGGGCTAAGGTGAAAAAGGAAATATCTTCCCATAAAAACTGGACAGAAGCATTCTCAGAAACTTGTTTATGCTGTATCTACTCAACTAACAAAGTTGAACCTTTCTTTTGATAGAGCAGTTTTGAAATGGTCTTTTTGTGGAATCTGCAAGTGGATATTTGGCTAGTTTTGAGGATTTCGTTGGAAGCGGGAATTCATACAAATTGCAGACTGCAGCGTTCTGAGAAACATCTTTGTGATGTTTGTATTCAGGACACAGAGTTGAACATTCCCTATCATAGAGCAGGTTGGAATCACTCCTTTTGTAGTATCTGGAAGTGGACATTTGGAGCGCTTTCAGGCCTATTTTGGAAAGGGAAATATCTTCCCGTAACAACTATGCAGAAGCATTCTCAGAAACTTGTTTGTGATGTGTGCCCTCTACTGACAGAGTTGAACCTTTCTTTTCATAGAGCACTTTTGAAACACTCTTTTTGTAGAATCTGCAAGAGGATATTTGCATAGCTTTGAGGATTTCGTGGGAAACGGGATTGTCTTCAGGTAAAATCTAGACAGAAGCATTCTCAGAAACTTCTTTGGGATGTTTGCATTCAAGTCACAGAGTAGAACATTCCCTTTGGTAGAGCAGGTTTGAAACACTCTTTTTGTAGTATCTGGAAGTGGACATTTGGAGCGCTTTCAGGCCCATGTTGGAAAGGGAAATATCTTCCCGTAACAACTAGGCAGAAGCATTCTCAGAAACTTATTTGAGATGTGTGTACTCAACTAAGAGAATTGAACCACCGTTTTGAAGGAGCAGTTTTGAAACACTCTTTTTCTGGAATCTGCAAGAGTATATTTGCCTAGCCTTGAGGATTTCGTTGGAAACGGGATTGTCTTCAGAGAAAATCTAGACAGAAGCATTCTCAGAAACTTCTTTGGGATGTTTGCATTCAAGTCACAGAGTAGAACATTCCCTTTGGTAGAGCAGGTTTGAAACACTCTTTTTTTAGTATATGGAAGTGGACATTTGGAGCGCTTTCAGGCCTACGTTGGAAAAGGAAATATCTTCCCATAACAACTAGACAGAAGCATTCTCAGAAACTAGTTTCTGATGTGTGTCCTCAACTAACACAGTTGAACATTTCTTTAGACAGAACAGTTTTGAAACACTCTTTTTGTGGAATCTGCAAGTGGCTATTTGGCTAGATTTGAGGATTTCGTTGGAAACGGGATTACATATAAAAAGCAGTCAGCAGCATTCTCAGAAAGTTCTTTGTGATGATTGCATTCAAGTCACAGAATTGAACATTCCCTTTCACAGAGCAGGTTTGAAACACTCTTTTTGTAGTGTGTGTAAGTGGACATTTGGAGCACTTACCGGCCTAAGGTGAAAAAGGAAATATCTTCCCATAAAAACTAGACAGAAGCATTCTCAGAAACTTACTCGTGATGTGTGTCCTCAACTAAAGGAGTAGAACCTTTCTATTCATAGAGAAGTTTTGAAACGCTCTTTTTGTGGAATCTCCAAGTGGATATTTGGCTAGTGTTGAGGATTTCGTTGGAAGCGGGAATTCATACAAAATTGCAGACTGCAGCGTTCTGAGAAACATCTTTGTGATGTTTGTATTCAGGACACAGAGTTGAACATTCCCTATCATAGAGCAGGTTTGAATCACTCCTTTTCTAGTATCTGGAAGTGGACATTTGGAGCGCTTTCAGGCCTATGTTGGAAAAGGAAATATCTTCCCATAACAAATAGACAGAAGCATTCTCAGAAACTTATTTGAGATGTGTGTACTCAACTAAGAGAATTGAACCACCGTTTTGAAGGAGCAGTTTTGAAACACTCTTTTTCTGGAATCTGCCAGTGGATATCTGGCTAGCTTTGGGGATTTCGCTGGAAGCGGGAATACATATAAAAAGCACACAGCAGCGTTCTGAGAAACTTCTTTCTGATGTTCGCATTCAAGTCAAAAGTTGAACACTCCCTTTCATAGAGCAGTCTTGAAACTCCCCTTTTGTGGTATCTGGAAGTGGACATTTGGAGTGCTTTCAGGGCTAAGGTGAAAAAGGAAATATCTTCCCATAAAAACTGGACAGAAGCATTCTCAGAAACTTGTTTATGCTGTATCTACTCAGCTAACAAAGTTGAACCTTTCTTTTGATAGAGCAGTTTTGAAATGCTCTTTTTGTGGAGTCTGCAAGTGGATATTTGGTTAGTTTTGAGGATTGCGTTGGAAGCGGGAATTCATACAAATTGCAGACTGCAGCGTTCTGAGAAACATCTTTGTGATGTTTGTATTCAGGACACAGAGTTGAACATTCCCTATCATAGAGCAGGTTTGAATCACTCCTTTTGTAGTATCTGGAAGTGGACATTTGGAGCGCTTTCCGGCCTCAGGTGAAAAAGGAAATATCTTCCCATAAAAACTAGGCAGAAAGCATTCTCAGAAACTTATTTGAGATGTGTGTACTCAACTAAGAGAATTGAACCACCGTTTTGAAGGAGCAGTTTTGAAACACTCTTTTTCTGGAATCTGCAAGTGGATATTTGGCTAGCTTTGGGGATTTCGCTGGAGGCGGGAATACATATAAAAAGCACACAGCAGCGTTCTGAGAAACTGCTTTCTGATGTTTGCATTCAAGTCAAAAGTTGAACACTCCCTTTCATAGAGCAGTCCTGAAACACTACTTTTGTAGTATCTGGAACTGGACTTTTGGAGCGCTTTCAGGGCTAAGGTGAAAAAGGAAATATCTTCCCATAAAAACTGGACAGAAGCATTCTCAGAAACTTGTTTATGCTGTATCTACTCAACTAACAAAGTTGAACCTTTCTTTTGATAGAGCAGTTTTGAAATGGTCTTTTTGTGGAATCTGCAAGTGGATATTTGGCTAGTTTTGAGGATTTCGTTGGAAGCGGGAATTCATACAAATTGCAGACTGCAGCGTTCTGAGAAACATCTTTGTGATGTTTGTATTCAGGACACAGAGTTGAACATTCCCTATCATAGAGCAGGTTGGAATCACTCCTTTTGTAGTATCTGGAAGTGGACATTTGGAGCGCTTTCAGGCCTATTTTGGAAAGGGAAATATCTTCCCGTAACAACTATGCAGAAGCATTCTCAGAAACTTGTTTGTGATGTGTGCCCTCTACTGACAGAGTTGAACCTTTCTTTTCATAGAGCAGTTTTGAAACACTCTTTTTGTAGAATCTGCAAGAGGATATTTGCATAGCTTTGAGGATTTCGTGGGAAACGGGATTGTCTTCAGGTAAAATCTAGACAGAAGCATTCTCAGAAACTTCTTTGGGATGTTTGCATTCAAGTCACAGAGTAGAACATTCCCTTTGGTAGAGCAGGTTTGAAACACTCTTTTTGTAGTATCTGGAAGTGGACATTTGGAGCGCTTTCAGGCCCATGTTGGAAAGGGAAATATCTTCCCGTAACAACTAGGCAGAAGCATTCTCAGAAACTTATTTGAGATGTGTGTACTCAACTAAGAGAATTGAACCACCGTTTTGAAGGAGCAGTTTTGAAACACTCTTTTTCTGGAATCTGCAAGAGTATATTTGCCTAGCCTTGAGGATTTCGTTGGAAACGGGATTGTCTTCAGAGAAAATCTAGACAGAAGCATTCTCAGAAACTTCTTTGGGATGTTTGCATTCAAGTCACAGAGTAGAACATTCCCTTTGGTAGAGCAGGTTTGAAACACTCCTTTTTTAGTATATGGAAGTGGACATTTGGAGCGCTTTCAGGCCTACGTTGGAAAAGGAAATATCTTCCCATAAAAACTAGACAGAAGCATTCTCAGAAACTTATTTGTGATGTGTGTCCTCAACTGACAGAGTTGAACATTTCTTTTGAGAGAGGAGTTTTGAAACACTCTTTTTGTGGAATCTGCAAGTGGATATTTGGCTGGCTTTGAGGATTTCGTTGGAAACGGGAATACATATAAAAAGCACACAGCAGCGTTCTGAGAAACTTCTTTCTGATGTTCGCATTCAAGTCAAAAGTTGAACACTCCCTTTCATAGAGCAGTCTTGAAACTCCCCTTTTGTGGTATCTGGAAGTGGACATTTGGAGTGCTTTCAGGGCTAAGGTGAAAAAGGAAATATCTTCCCATAAAAACTGGACAGAAGCATTCTCAGAAACTTGTTTATGCTGTATCTACTCAGCTAACAAAGTTGAACCTTTCTTTTGATAGAGCAGTTTTGAAATGCTCTTTTTGTGGAGTCTGCAAGTGGATATTTGGTTAGTTTTGAGGATTGCGTTGGAAGCGGGAATTCATACAAATTGCAGACTGCAGCGTTCTGAGAAACATCTTTGTGATGTTTGTATTCAGGACACAGAGTTGAACATTCCCTATCATAGAGGAGGTTGGAATCACTCCTTTTGTAGTATCTGGAAGTGGACATTTGGAGCGCTTTCAGGCCTATGTTGAAAAAGGAAATATCTTCCCATAACAAGTAGACACAAGCATTCTCAGAAACTTATTTGAGATGTGTGTACTCAACTAAGAGAATTGAACCACCGTTTTGAAGGAGCAGTTTTGAAACTCTCTTTTTCTGGAATCTGCAAGTGGATATTTGGCTAGCTTTGGGGATTTCGCTGGAAGCGGGAATACATATAAAAAGCACACAGCAGCGTTCTGAGAAACTGCTTTCTGATGTTTGCATTCAAGTCAAAAGTTGAACACTCCCTTTCATAGGGCAGTCCTGAAACACCCCTTTTGTAGTATCTGGAACTGGACTTTTGGAGCGATTTCAGGGCTAAGGTGAAAAAGGAAATATCTTCCCATAAAAACTGGACAGAAGCATTCTCAGAAACTTGTTTATGCTGTATCTACTCAACTAACAAAGTTGAACCTTTCTTTTGATAGAGCAGTTTTGAAATGGTCTTTTTGTGGAATCTGCAAGTGGATATTTGGCTAGTTTTGAGGATTTCGTTGGAAGCGGGAATTCATACAAATTGCAGACTGCAGCGTTCTGAGAAACATCTTTGTGATGTTTGTATTCAGGACACAGAGTTGAACATTCCCTATCATAGAGCAGGTTTGAATCACTCCTTTTGTAGTATCTGGAAGTGGACATTTGGAGCGCTTTCAGGCCTATGTTGAAAAAGGAAATATCTTCCCATAACAACTAGACACAAGCATTCTCAGAAACTTGTTTGTGATGTGTGCCCTCTACTGACAGAGTTGAACCTTTCTTTTCATAGAGCAGTTTTGAAACACTCTTTTTGTAGAATCTGCAAGAGGATATTTGCATAGCTTTGAGGATTTCGTGGGAAACGGGATTGTCTTCAGGTAAAATCTAGACAGAAGCATTCTCAGAAACTTCTTTGGGATGTTTGCATTCAAGTCACAGAGTAGAACATTCCCTTTGGTAGAGCAGGTTTGAAACACTCTTTTTGTAGTATCTGGAAGTGGACATTTGGAGCGCTTTCAGGCCCATGTTGGAAAGGGAAATATCTTCCCGTAACAACTAGGCAGAAGCATTCTCAGAAACTTATTTGAGATGTGTGTACTCAACTAAGAGAATTGAACCACCGTTTTGAAGGAGCAGTTTTGAAACACTCTTTTTCTGGAATCTGCAAGAGTATATTTGCCTAGCCTTGAGGATTTCGTTGGAAACGGGATTGTCTTCAGATAAAATCTAGACAGAAGCATTCTCAGAAACTTCTTTGGGATGTTTGCATTCAAGTCACAGAGTAGAACATTCCCTTTGGTAGAGCAGGTTTGAAACACTCTTTTTTTAGTATATGGAAGTGGACATTTGGAGCGCTTTCAGGCCTACGTTGGAAAAGGAAATATCTTCCCATAACAACTAGACAGAAGCATTCTCAGAAACTAGTTTCTGATGTGTGTCCTCAACTAACACAGTTGAACTTTTCTTTAGACAGAACAGTTTTGAAACACTCTTTTTGTGGAATCTGCAAGTGGATATTTGGCTAGATTTGAGGATTTCGTTGGAAACGGGATTACATATAAAAAGCAGACAGCAGCATTCTCAGAAAGTTCTTTGTGATGATTGCATTCAAGTCACAGAATTGAACATTCCCTTTCACAGAGCAGGTTTGAAACACTCTTTTTGTAGTGTGTGTAAGTGGACATTTGGAGCGCTTTCTGGCCTAAGGTGAAAAAGGACATATCTTCCCATAAAAACTAGACAGAAGCATTCTCAGAAACTTACTCGCGATGTGTGTCCTCAACTAAAGGAGTAGAACCTTTCTTTTCATAGAGAAGTTTCGAAACGCTCTTTTTGTGGAATCTGCAAGTGGATATTTGGCTAGTTTTGAGGATTTCGTTGGAAGCGGGAATTCATACAAATTGCAGACTGCAGCATTCTCAGAAACTTGTTTATGCTGTATCTACTCAACTAACAAAGTTGAACCTTTCTTTTGACAGAGCAGTTTTGAAATGCTCTTTTTGTGGAATCTGCAAGTGGATATTTGGCTAGTTTTGAGGATTTCGCTGGAAGCGGGAATTCATACAAATTGCAGACTGCAGCATTCTCAGAAACTTATTTGAGATGTGTGTACTCAACTAAGAGAATTGAACCACCGTTTTGAAGGAGCAGTTTTGAAACTCTCTTTTTCTGGAATCTGCAAGTGGATATTTGGCTAGCTTTGGGGATTTCGCTGGAAGCGGGAATACATATAAAAAGCACACATCAGCGTTCTGAGAAACTGCTTTCTGATGTTTGCATTCAAGTCAAAAGTTGAACACTCCCTTTCATAGAGCAGTCTTGAAACACCCCTTTTGTAGTATCTGGAACTGGACTTTTGGAGCGATTTCAGGGCTAAGGTGAAAAAGGAAATATCTTCCCATAAAAACTGGACAGAAGCATTCTCAGAAACTTGTTTATGCTGTATCTACTCAACTAACAAAGTTGAACCTTTCTTTTGATAGAGCAGTTTTGAAATGGTCTTTTTGTGGAATCTGCAAGTGGATATTTGGCTAGTTTTGAGGATTTCGTTGGAAGCGGGAATTCATACAAATTGCAGACTGCAGCGTTCTGAGAAACATCTTTGTGATGTTTGTATTCAGGACACAGAGTTGAACATTCCCTATCATAGAGCAGGTTGGAATCACTCCTTTTGTAGTATCTGGAAGTGGACATTTGGAGCGCTTTCAGGCCTATGTTGAAAAAGGAAATATCTTCCCATAACAACTAGACACAAGCATTCTCAGAAACTTGTTTGTGATGTGTGCCCTCTACTGACAGAGTTGAACCTTTCTTTTCATAGAGCAGTTTTGAAACACTCTTTTTGTAGAATCTGCAAGAGGATATTTGCATAGCTTTGAGGATTTCGTGGGAAACGGGATTGTCTTCAGGTAAAATCTAGACAGAAGCATTCTCAGAAACTTCTTTGGGATGTTTGCATTCAAGTCACAGAGTAGAACATTCCCTTTGGTAGAGCAGGTTTGAAACACTCTTTTTGTAGTATCTGGAAGTGGACATTTGGAGCGCTTTCAGGCCTATGTTGGAAAGGGAAATATCTTCCCGTAACAACTAGGCAGAAGCATTCTCAGAAACTTATTTGAGATGTGTGCACTCAACTAAGAGAATTGAACCACCGTTTTGAAGGAGCAGTTTTGAAACACTCTTTTTCTGGAATCTGCAAGAGGATATTTGCCTAGCTTTGAGGATTTCGTTGGAAACGGGATTGTGTTCAGATCAAATCTAGACAGAAGCATTCTCAGAAACTTCTTTGGGATGTTTGCATTCAAGTCACAGAGTAGAACATTCCCTTTGGTAGAGCAGGTTTGAAACACTCTTTTTTTAGTATATGGAAGTGGACATTTGGAGCGCTTTCAGGCCTACGTTGGAAAAGGAAATATCTTCCCATAACAACTAGACAGAAGCATTCTCAGAAACTAGTTTCTGATGTGTGTCCTCAACTAACACAGTTGAACATTTCTTTAGACAGAACAGTTTTGAAACTCTCTTTTTGTGGAATCTGCAAGTGGCTATTTGGCTAGATTTGAGGATTTCGTTGGAAACGGGATTACATATAAAAAGCAGACAGCAGCATTCTCAGAAAGTTCTTTGTGATGATTGCATTCAAGTCACAGAATTGAACATTCCCTTTCACAGAGCAGGTTTGAAACACTCTTTTTGTAGTGTGTGTAAGTGGACATTTGGAGCACTTTCCGGCCTAAGGTGAAAAAGGAAATATCTTCCCATAAAAACTAGACAGAAGCACTCTCAGAAACTTACTCGTGATGTGTGTCCTCAACTAAAGGAGTAGAACCTTTCTTTTCATAGAGAAGTTTTGAAACGCTCTTTTTGTGGAATCTGCAAGTGGATATTTGGCTAGTTTGGAGGATTTCGTTGGAAGCGGGAATTCATACAAATTGCAGACTGCAGCGATCTGAGAAACATCTTTGTGATGTTTGTATTCAGGACACAGAGATGAACATTCCCTATCATAGAGCAGGTTGGAATCACTCCTTTTGTAGTATCTGGAAGTGGACATTTGGAGCGCTTTCAGGCCTATTTTGAAAAAGGAAATATCTTCCCATAACAACTAGACACAAGCATTCTCAGAAACTTATTTGAGATGTGTGTACTCAACTAAGAGAATTGAACCACCGTTTTGAAGGAGCAGTTTTGAAACACTCTTTTTCTGGAATCTGCAAGTGGATATTTGGCTAGCTTTGGGGATTTCGCTGGAAGCGGGAATACATATAAAAAGCACACAGCAGCGTTCTGAGAAACTGCTTTCTGATGTTTGCATTCAAGTCAAAAGTTGAACACTCCCTTTCATAGAGCAGTCCTGAAACACTCCTTTTGTAGTATCTGGAACTGGACTTTTGGAGCGCTTTCAGGGCTAAGGTGAAAAAGGAAATATCTTCCCATAAAAACTGGACAGAAGCATTCTCAGAAACTTTTTTATGCTGTATCTACTCAACTAACAAAGTTGAACCTTTCTTTTGATAGAGCAGTTTTGAAATGCTCTTTTTGTGGAATCTGCAAGTGGATATTTGGCTAGTTTTGAGGATTTCGTTGGAAGCGGGAATTCATACAAATTGCAGACTGCAGCGTTCTGAGAAACATCTTTGTGATGTTTGTATTCAGGACAGAGAGTTGAACATTCCCTATCATAGAGCAGGTTGGAATCACTCCTTTTGTAGTATCTGGAAGTGGACATTTGGAGCGCTTTCTGGCCTATGTTGAAAAAGGAAATATCTTCCCATAACAACTAGACACAAGCATTCTCAGAAACTTGTTTGTGATGTGTGCCCTCTACTGACAGAGTTGAACCTTTCTTTTCATAGAGCAGTTTTGAAACACTCTTTTTGTAGAATCTGCAAGAGGATATTTGCATAGCTTTGAGGATTTCGTGGGAAACGGGATTGTCTTCAGGTAAAATCTAGACAGAAGCATTCTCAGAAACTTCTTTGGGATGTTTGCATTCAAGTCACAGAGTAGAACATTCCCTTTGGTAGAGCAGGTTTGAAACACTCTTTTTGTAGTATCTGGAAGTGGACATTTGGAGCGCTTTCAGGCCTATGTTGGAAAGGGAAATATCTTCCCGTAACAACTAGGCAGAAGCATTCTCAGAAACTTATTTGAGATGTGTGTACTCAACTAAGAGAATTGAACCACCGTTTTGAAGGAGCAGTTTTGAAACCCTCTTTTTCTGGAATCTGCAAGAGTATATTTGCCTAGCCTTGAGGATTTCGTTGGAAACGGGATTGTCTTCAGATAAAATCTAGACAGAAGCATTCTCAGAAACTTCTTTGGGATGTTTGCATTCAAGTCACAGAGTAGAACATTCCCTTTGGTAGAGCAGGTTTGAAACACTCTTTTTTTAGTATATGGAAGTGGACATTTGGATCGCTTTCAGGCCTACGTTGGAAAAGGAAATATCTTCCCATAACAACTAGACAGAAGCATTCTCAGAAACTAGTTTCTGATGTGTGTCCTCAACTAACACAGTTGAACATTTCTTTAGACAGAACAGTTTTGAAACACTCTTTTTGTGGAATCTGCAAGTGGCTATTTGGCTAGATTTGAGGATTTCGTTGGAAACGGGATTACATATAAAAAGCAGTCAGCAGCATTCTCAGAAAGTTCTTTGTGATGATTGCATTCAAGTCACAGAATTGAACATTCCCTTTCACAGAGCAGGTTTGAAACACTCTTTTTGTAGTGTGTGTAAGTGGACATTTGGAGCACTTACCGGCCTAAGGTGAAAAAGGAAATATCTTCCCATAAAAACTAGACAGAAGCATTCTCAGAAACTTACTCGTGATGTGTGTCCTCAACTAAAGGAGTAGAACCTTTCTTTTCATAGAGAAGTTTTGAAACGCTCTTTTTGTGGAATCTGCAAGTGGATATTTGGCTAGTTTTGAGGATTTCGTTGGAAGCGGGAATTCATACAAATTGCAGACTGCAGCGTTCTGAGAAACATCTTTGTGATGTTTGTATTCAGGACACAGAGTTGAATATTCCCTATCATAGAGCAGGTTTGAATCACTCCTTTTGTAGTATCTGGAAGTGGACATTTGGAGCGCTTTCAGGCCTATGTTGGAAAAGGAAATATCTTCCCATAACAACTAGACAGAAGCATTCTCAGAAACTTATTTGAGATGTGTGTACCTCAACTAAGAGAATTGAACCACCGTTTTGAAGGAGCAGTTTTGAAACTCTCTTTTTCTGGAATCTGCAAGTGGATATTTGGCTAGCTTTGGGGATTTCGCTGGAAGCGGGAATACATATAAAAAGCACACAGCAGCGTTCTGAGAAACTGCTTTCTGATGTTTGCATTCAAGTCAAAAGTTGAACACTCCCTTTCATAGAGCAGTCTTGAAACACCCCTTTTGTAGTATCTGGAACTGGACTTTTGGAGCGATTTCAGGGCTAAGGTGAAAAAGGAAATATCTTCCCATAAAAACTGGACAGAAGCATTCTCAGAAACTTGTTTATGCTGTATCTACTCAACTAACAAAGTTGAACCTTTCTTTTGATAGAGCAGTTTTGAAATGGTCTTTTTGTGGAATCTGCAAGTGGATATTTGGCTAGTTTTGAGGATTTCGTTGGAAGCGGGAATTCATACAAATTGCAGACTGCAGCGTTCTGAGAAACATCTTTGTGATGTTTGTATTCAGGACACAGAGTTGAACATTCCCTATCATAGAGCAGGTTGGAATCACTCCTTTTGTAGTATCTGGAAGTGGACATTTGGAGCGCTTTCAGGCCTATTTTGGAAAGGGAAATATCTTCCCGTAACAACTATGCAGAAGCATTCTCAGAAACTTGTTTGTGATGTGTGCCCTCTACTGACAGAGTTGAACCTTTCTTTTCATAGAGCAGTTTTGAAACACTCTTTTTGTAGAATCTGCAAGAGGATATTTGCATAGCTTTGAGGATTTCGTGGGAAACGGGATTGTCTTCAGGTAAAATCTAGACAGAAGCATTCTCAGAAACTTCTTTGGGATGTTTGCATTCAAGTCACAGAGTAGAACATTCCCTTTGGTAGAGCAGGTTTGAAACACTCTTTTTGTAGTATCTGGAAGTGGACATTTGGAGCGCTTTCAGGCCCATGTTGGAAAGGGAAATATCTTCCCGTAACAACTAGGCAGAAGCATTCTCAGAAACTTATTTGAGATGTGTGTACTCAACTAAGAGAATTGAACCACCGTTTTGAAGGAGCAGTTTTGAAACACTCTTTTTCTGGAATCTGCAAGAGTATATTTGCCTAGCCTTGAGGATTTCGTTGGAAACGGGATTGTCTTCAGAGAAAATCTAGACAGAAGCATTCTCAGAAACTTCTTTGGGATGTTTGCATTCAAGTCACAGAGTAGAACATTCCCTTTGGTAGAGCAGGTTTGAAACACTCTCTTTTTAGTATATGGAAGTGGACATTTGGAGCGCTTTCAGGCCTACGTTGGAAAAGGAAATATCTTCCCATAACAACTAGACAGAAGCATTCTCAGAAACTAGTTTCTGATGTGTGTCCTCAACTAACACAGTTGAACTTTTCTTTAGACAGAACAGTTTTGAAACACTCTTTTTGTGGAATCTGCAAGTGGATATTTGGCTAGATTTGAGGATTTCGTTGGAAACGGGATTACATATAAAAAGCAGACAGCAGCATTCTCAGAAAGTTCTTTGTGATGATTGCATTCAAGTCACAGAATTGAACATTCCCTTTCACAGAGCAGGTTTGAAACCCTCTTTTTGTAGTGTGTGTAAGTGGACATTTGGAGCGCTTTCCGGCCTAAGGTGAAAAAGGAAATATCTTCCCATAAAAACTGGACAGAAGCATTCTCAGAAACTTGTTTATGCTGTATCTACTCAACTAACAAAGTTGAACCTTTCTTTTGATAGAGCAGTTTTGAAATGCTCTTTTTGTGGAATCTGCAAGTGGATATTTGGCTAGTTTTGAGGATTTCGTTGGAAGCGGGAATTCATACAAATTGCAGACTGCCAGCGTTCTGAGAACATCTTTGTGATGTTTGTATTCAGGACACAGAGATGAACATTCCCTATCATAGAGCAGGTTGGAATCACTCCTTTTGTAGTATCTGGAAGTGGACATTTGGAGCGCTTTCAGGCCTATGTTGAAAAAGGAAATATCTTCCCATAACAACTAGACACAGCATTCTCAGAAACTTGTTTGTGATGTGTGCCCTCTACTGACAGAGTTGAACCTTTCTTTTCATAGAGCAGTTTTGAAACACTCTTTTTGTAGAATCTGCAAGAGGATATTTGCATAGCTTTGAGGATTACGTGGGAAACGGGATAGTCTTCAGGTAAAATCTAGACAGAAGCATTCTCAGAAACTTCTTTGGGATGTTTGCATTCAAGTCACAGAGCAGAACATTCCCTTTGGTAGAGTAGGTTTGAAACACTCTTTTTGTAGTATCTGGAAGTGGACATTTGGAGCGCTTTCAGGCCTATGTTGGAAAGGGAAATATCTTCCCGTAACAACTAGGCAGAAGCATTCTCAGAAACTTATTTGAGATGTGTGTATTCAACTAAGAGAATTGAACCACCGTTTTGAAGGAGCAGTTTTGAAACACTCTTTTTCTGGAATCTGAAAGAGGATATTTGCCTAGCCTTGAGGATTTCGTTGGAAACGGGATTGTCTTCAGATCAAATCTATACAGAAGCATTCTCAGAAACTTCCTTGGGATGTTTGCATTCAAGTCACAGAGTAGAACATTCCCTTTGGTAGAGCAGGTTTGAAACACTCTTTTTTTAGTATATGGAAGTGGACATTTGGAGCGCATTCAGGCCTACGTTGGAAAAGGAAATATCTTCCCATAACAACTAGACAGAAGCATTCTCAGAAACTAGTTTCTGATGTGTGTCCTCAACTAACACAGTTGCACATTTCTTTAGACAGAACAGTTTTGAAACACTCTTTTTGTGGAATCTGCAAGTGGCTATTTGGCTAGATTTGAGGATTTCGTTGGAAACGGGATTACATATAAAAAGCAGTCAGCAGCATTCTCAAAAAGTTCTTTGTGATGATTGCATTCAAGTCACAGAATTGAACATTCCCTTTCACAGAGCAGGTTTGAAATACTCTTTTTTAGTGTGTGTAATTGGACATTTGGAGCACTTTCCGGCCTAAGGTGAAAAAGGAAATATCTTCCCATAAAAACTAGACAGAAGCATTCTCAGAAACTTACTCGTGATGTGTGTCCTCCACTAAATGAGTAGAACCTTTCTTTTCATAGAGAAGTTTTGAAACGCTCTTTTTGTAGAATCTGCAAGAGGATATTTGCATAGCTTTGAGGATTTCGTGGGAAACGGGATTGTCTTCAGGTAAAATCTAGACAGAAGCATTCTGAGAAACTTCTTTGGGATGTTTGCATTCAAGTCACAGAGTAGAACATTCCCTTTGGTAGAGCAGGTTTGAAACACTCTTTTTGTAGTATCTGGAAGTGGACATTTGGAGCGCTTTCAGGCCTATGTTGGAAAGGGAAATATCTTCCCGTAACAACTAGGCAGAAGCATTCTCAGAAACTTATTTGAGATGTGTGTACTCAACTAAGAGAATTGAACCACCGTTTTGAAGGAGCAGTTTTGAAACACTCTTTTTCTGGAATCTGCAAGAGGATATTTGCCTAGCCTTGAGGATTTCGTTGGAAACGGGATTGTCTTCAGATCAAATCTAGACAGAAGCATTCTCAGAAACTTCTTTGGGATGTTTGCATTCATGTCACAGAGTAGAACATTCCCTTTGGTAGAGCAGGTTTGAAACACTCTTTTTTTAGTATATGGAAGTGGACATTTGGAGCGCTTTCAGGCCTACGTTGGAAAAGGAAATATCTACCCATAACAACTAGACAGAAGCATTCTCAGAAACTAGTTTCTGATGTGTGTCCTCAACTAACACAGTTGAACATTTCTTTAGACAGAACAGTTTTGAAACACTCTTTTTGTGGAATCTGCAAGTGGCTATTTGGCTAGATTTGAGGATTTCGTTGGAAACGGGATTACATATAAAAAGCAGACAGCAGCATTCTCAGAAAGTTCTTTGTGATGATTGCATTCAAGTCACAGAATTGAACATTCCCTTTCACAGGGCAGGTTTGAAACACTCTTTTTGTAGTGTGTGTAAGTGGACATTTGGAGCACTTTCCGGCCTAAGGTGAAAAAGGAAATATCTTCCCATAAAAACTAGACAGAAGCATTCTCAGAAACTTACTCGTGATGTGTGTCCTCAACTAAAGGAGTAGAACCTTTCTTTTCATAGAGAAGTTTTGAAACGCTCTTTTTGTGGAATCTGCAAGTGGATATTTGGCTAGTTTGGAGGATTTCGTTGGAAGCGGGAATTCATACAAATTGCAGACTGCAGCGTTCTGAGAAACATCTTTGTGATGTTTGTATTCAGGACACAGAGTTGAACATTCCCTATCGTAGAGCAGGTTTGAATCACTCCTTTTGTAGTATCTGGAAGTGGACATTTGGAGCGCTTTCAGGCCTTTGTTGGAAAGGGAAATATCTTCCCTTAACAACTAGGCAGAAGCATTCTCAGAAACTTATTTGAGATGTGTGTACTCAACTAAGAGAATTGAACCACCGTTTTGAAGGAGCAGTTTTGAAACACTCTTTTTCTGGAATCTGCAAGTGGATATTTGGCTAGCTTTGGGGATTTCGCTGGAAGCGGGAATACATATAAAAAGCACACAGCAGCGTTCTGAGAAACTGCTTTCTGATGTTTGCATTCAAGTCAAAAGTTGAACACTCCCTTTCATAGAGCAGTCCTGAAACACTCCTTTTGTAGTATCTGGAACTGGACTTTTGGAGCGCTTTCAGGGCTAAGGTGAAAAAGGAAATATCTTCCCATAAAAACTGGACAGAAGCATTCTCAGAAACTTGTTTATGCTGTATCTACTCTACTAAAAAAGTTGAACCTTTCTTTTGATAGAGCAGTTTTGAAATGCTCTTTTTGTGGAATCTGCAAGTGGATATTTGGCTAGATTTGAGGATTTCGTTGGAAGCTGGAATACATACAAATTGCAGACTGCAGCGTTCTGAGAAACATCTTTGTGATGTTTGTATTCAGGACACAGAGTTGAACATTCCCTATCATAGAGCAGGTTGGAATCACTCCTTTTGTAGTATCTGGAAGTGGACATTTGGAGCGCTTTCAGGCCTATGTTGAAAAAGGAAATATCTTCCCATAACAACTAGACACAAGCATTCTCAGAAACTTGTTTGTGATGTGTGCCCTCTACTGACAGAGTTGAACCTTTCTTTTCATAGAGCAGTTTTGAAACACTCTTTTTGTAGAATCTGCAAGAGGATATTTGCATAGCTTTGAGGATTTCGTGGGAAACGGGATTGTCTTCAGGTAAAATCTAGACAGAAGCATTCTCAGAAACTTCTTTGGGATGTTTGCATTCAAGTCACAGAGCAGAACATTCCCTTTGGTAGAGCAGGTTTGAAACACTCTTTTTGTAGTATCTGGAAGTGGACATTTGGAGCGCTTTCAGGCCTATGTTGGAAAGGGAAATATCTTCCCGTAACAACTAGGCAGAAGCATTCTCAGAAACTTATTTGAGATGTGTGTACTCAACTAAGAGAATTGAACCACCGTTTTGAAGGAGCAGTTTTGAAACACTCTTTTTCTGGAATCTGCAAGAGGATATTTGCCTAGCCTTGAGGATTTCGTTGGAAACGGGATTGTCTTCAGATCAAATCTAGACAGAAGCATTCTCAGAAACTTCTTTGGGATGTTTGCATTCATGTCACAGAGTAGAACATTCCCTTTGGTAGAGCAGGTTTGAAACACTCTTTTTTAAGTATATGGAAGTGGACATTTGGAGCGCTTTCAGGCCTACGTTGGAAAAGGAAATATCTTCCCATAACAACTAGACAGAAGCATTCTCAGAAACTAGCTTCTGATGTGTGTCCTCAACTAACACAGTTGAACATTTCTTTAGACAGAACAGTTTTGAAACACTCTTTTTGTGGAATCTGCAAGTGGCTATTTGGCTAGATTTGAGGATTTCGTTGGAAACGGGATTACATATAAAAAGCAGACAGCAGCATTCTCAGAAAGTTCTTTGTGATGATTGCATTCAAGTCACAGAATTGAACATTCCCTTTCACAGAGCAGGTTTGAAACACTCTTTTTGTAGTGTGTGTAAGTGGACATTTGGAGCACTTTCCGGCCTAAGGTGAAAAAGGAAATATCTTCCCATAAAAACTAGACAGAAGCATTCTCAGAAACTTACTCGTGATGTGTGTCCTCAACTAAAGGAGTAGAACCTTTCTTTTCATAGAGAAGTTTTGAAACGCTCTTTTTGTGGAATCTGCAAGTGGATATTTGGCTAGTTTTGAGGATTTCGTTGGAAGCGGGAATTCATACAAATTGCAGACTGCAGCGTTCTGAGAAACATCTTTGTGATGTTTGTATTCAGGACACAGAGTTGAACATTCCCTATCATAGAGCAGGTTTGAATCACTCCTTTCGTAGTATCTGGAAGTGGACATTTGGAGCGCTTTCAGGCCTATGTTGGAAAAGGAAATATCTTCCCATAACAACTAGACAGAAGCATTCTCAGAAACTTATTTGAGATGTGTGTACTCAACTAAGAGAATTGAACCACCGTTTTGAAGGAGCAGTTTTGAAACACTCTTTTTCTGGAATCTGCAAGTGGATATTTGGCTAGCTTTGGGGATTTCGCTGGAAGCGGGAATACATATAAAAAGCACACAGCAGCGTTCTGAGAAACTGCTTTCTGATGTTTGCATTCAAGTCAAAAGTTGAACACTCCCTTTCATAGAGCAGTCCTGAAACACTCCTTTTGTAGTATCTGGAACTGGAATTTTGGAGCGCTTTCAGGGCTAAGGTGAAAAAGGAAATATCTTCCCATAAAAACTGGACAGAAGCATTCTCAGAAACTTACTCGTGATGTGTGTCCTCAACTAAAGGAGTAGAACATTTCTATTCATAGAGAAGTTTTGAAACGCTCTTTTTGTGGAATCTGCAAGTGGATATTTGGCTAGTTTTGAGGATTTCGTTGGAAGCTGGAATTCATGCAAATTGCAGACTGCAGCGTTCTGAGAAACATCTTTGTGATGTTTGTATTCAGGACACAGAGTTGAACATTCCCTATCATAGAGCAGGTTGGAATCACTCCTTTTGTAGTATCTGGAAGTGGACATTTGGAGCGCTTTCAGGCCTATGTTGAAAAAGGAAATATCTTCCCATAACAACTAGACACAAGCATTCTCAGAAACTTGTTTGTGATGTGTGCCCTCTACTGACAGAGTTGAACCTTTCTTTTCATAGAGCAGTTTTGAAACACTCTTTTTGTAGAATCTGCAAGAGGATATTTGCATAGCTTTGAGGATTTCGTGGGAAACGGGATTGTCTTCAGGCAAAATCTAGACAGAAGCATTCTCAGAAACTTCTTTGGGATGTTTGCATTCAAGTCACAGAGTAGAACATTCCCTTTGGTAGAGCAGGTTTGAAACACTCTTTTTGTAGTATCTGGAAGTGGACATTTGGAGCGCTTTCAGGCCTATGTTGGAAAGGGAAATATCTTCCCGTAACAACTAGGCAGAAGCATTCTCAGAAACTTATTTGAGATGTGTGTACTCAACTAAGAGAATTGAATCACCGTTTTGAAGGAGCAGTTTTGAAACACTCTTTTTCTGGAATCTGCAAGAGGATATTTGCCTAGCCTTGAGGATTTCGTTGGAAACGGGATTGTCTTTAGATCAAATCTAGACAGAAGCATTCTCAGAAACTTCTTTGGGATGTTTGCATTCAAGTCACAGAGTAGAACATTCCCTTTGGTAGAGCAGGTTTGAAACACTCTTTTTTTAGTATATGGAAGTGGACATTTGGAGCGCTTTCAGGCCTACGTTGGAAGAGGAAATATCTTCCCATAACAACTAGACAGAAGCATTCTCAGAAACTTGTTTCTGATGTGTTTCCTCAACTAACACAGTTGAACATTTCTTTAGACAGAACAGTTTTGAAACACTCTTTTTGTGGAATCTGCAAGTGGCTATTTGGCTAGATTTGAGGATTTCGTTGGAAACGGGATTACATATAAAAAGCAGACAGCAGCATTCTCAGAAAGTTCTTTGTGATGATTGCATTCAAGTCACAGAATTGAACATTCCCTTTCACAGAGCAGGTTTGAAACACTCTTTTTGTAGTGTGTGTAAGTGGACATTTGGAGCACTTTCCGGCCTAAGGTGAAGAAGGGAATATCTTCCCATAAAAACTAGACAGAAGCATTCTCAGAAACTTACTCGTGATGTGTGTCCTCAACTAAAGGAGTAGAACCTTTGTTTTCATAGAGAAGTTTTGAAACGCTCTTTTTGTGGAATCTGCAAGTGGATATTTGGCTAGTTTGGAGGATTTCGTTGGAAGCGGGAATTCATACAAATTGCAGACTGCAGCGTTCTGAGAAACATCTTTGTGATGTTTGTATTCAGGACACTGAGTTGAACATTCCCTATCATAGAGCAGGTTTGAATCACTCCTTTTGTAGTATCTGGAAGTGGACATTTGGAGCGCTTTCAGGCCTATGTTGGAAAAGGAAATATCTTCCCATAACAACTAGACAGAAGCATTCTCAGAAACTTATTTGAGATGTGTGTACTCAACTAAGAGAATTGAACCACCGTTTTGAAGGAGCAGTTTTGAAACACTCTTTTTCTGGAATCTGCAAGTGGATATTTGGCTAGCTTTGGGGATTTCGCTGGAAGCGGGAATACATATAAAAAGCACACAGCAGCGTTCTGAGAAACTGCTTTCTGATGTTTGCATTCAAGTCAAAAGTTGAACACTCCCTTTCATAGAGCAGTCCTGAAACACTCCTTTTGTAGTATCTGGAACTGGACTTTTGGAGCGCTTTCAGGGCTAAGGTGAAAAAGGAAATATCTTCCCATAAAAACTGGACAGAAGCATTCTCAGAAACTTGTTTATGCTGTATCTACTCAACTAACAAAGTTGAACCTTTCTTTTGATAGAGCAGTTTTGAAATGCTCTTTTTGTGGAATCTGCAAGTGGATATTTGGCTAGTTTTGAGGATTTCGCTGGAAGCGGGAATTCATACAAATTGCAGACTGCAGCGTTCTGAGAAACATCTTTGTGATGTTTGTATTCAGGACAGAGAGTTGAACATTCCCTATCATAGAGCAGGTTGGAATCACTCCTTTTGTAGTATCTGGAAGTGGACATTTGGAGCGCTTTCAGGCCTATGTTGAAAAAGGAAATATCTTCCCATAACAACTAGACACAAGCATTCTCAGAAACTTGTTTGTGATGTGTGCCCTCTAGTGACAGAGTTGAACCTTTCTTTTCATAGAGCAGTTTTGAAACACTCTTTTTGTAGAATCTGCAAGAGGATATTTGAATAGCTTTGAGGATTTCGTGGGAAACGGGATTGTCTTCAGGTAAAATCTAGACAGAAGCATTCTCAGAAACTTCTTTGGGATGTTTGCATTCAAGTCACAGAGTAGAACATTCCCTTTGGTAGAGCAGGTTTGAAACACTCTTTTTGTAGTATCTGGAAGAGGACATTTGGAGCGCTTTCAGGCCTATGTTGGAAAGGGAAATATCTTCCCGTAACAACTAGGCAGAAGCATTCTCAGAAACTTATTTGAGATGTGTGTACTCAACTAAGAGAATTGAACCACCATTTTGAAGGAGCAGTTTTGAAACACTCTTTTTCTGGAATCTGCAAGAGGATATTTGCCTAGCCTTGAGGATTTCGTTGGAAACGGGATTGTCTTCAGATCAAATCTAGACAGAAGCATTCTCAGAAACTTCTTTGGGATGTTTGCATTCAAGTCACAGAGTAGAACATTCCCTTTGGTAGAGCAGGTTTGAAACACTCTTTTTGTAGTATCTGGAAGTGGACATTTGGAGCGCTTTCAGGCCTATGTTGGAAAGGGAAATATCTTCCCGTAACAACTAGGCAGAAGCATTCTCAGAAACGTATTTGAAATGTGTGGACTCAACGAAGAGAATTGAACCACCGTTTTGAAGGAGCAGTTTTGAAACACTCTTTTTCTGGAATCTGCAAGAGTATATTTGCCTAGCCTTGAGGATTTCGTTGGAAACGGGATTGTCTTCAGATAAAATCTAGACAGAAGCATTCTCAGAAACTTCTTTGGGATGTTTGCATTCAAGTCACAGAGTAGAACATTCCCTTTGGTAGAGCAGGTTTGAAACACTCTTTTTTTAGTATATGGAAGTGGACATTTGGAGCGCTTTCAGGCCTACGTTGGAAAAGGAAATATCTTCCCATAACAACTAGACAGAAGCATTCTCAGAAACTAGTTTCTGATGTGTGTCCTCAACTAACACAGTTGAACATTTCTTTAGACAGAACAGTTTTGAAACACTCTTTTTGTGGAATCTGCAAGTGGCTATTTGGCTAGATTTGAGGATTTCGTTGGAAACGGGATTACATATAAAAAGCAGACAGCAGCATTCTCAGAAACTTCTTTGTGATGATTGCATTCAAGTCACAGTAATTGAACATTCCCTTTCACAGAGCAGGTTTGAAACACTCTTTTTGTAGTGTGTGTAAGTGGACATTTGGAGCGCTTTCCAGCCTAAGGTGAAAAAGGAAATATCGTCCCATAAAAACTAGACAGAAGCATTCTCAGAAACTTACTCGTGATGTGTGTCCTCAACTAAAGGAGTAGAACCTTTCTATTCATAGAGAAGTTTTGAAACGCTCTTTTTGTGGAATCTCCAAGTGGATATTTGGCTAGTTTTGAGGATTTCGTTGGAAGCGGGAATTCATACAAATTGCAGACTGCAGCGTTCTGAGAAACATCTTTGTGATGTTTGTATTCAGGACACAGAGGTGAACATTCCCTATCATAGAGCAGGTTGGAATCACTCCTTTTGTAGTATCTGGAAGTGGACATTTGGAGCGCTTTCAGGCCTATGTTGAAAAAGGAAATATCTTCCCATAACAACTAGACACAAGCATTCTCAGAAACTTGTTTGTGATGTGTGCCCTCTACTGACAGAGTTGAACCTTTCTTTTCATAGAGCAGTTTTGAAACACTCTTTTTGTAGAATCTGCAAGAGGATATTTGCATAGCTTTGAGGATTTCGTGGGAAACGGGATTGTCTTCAGGTAAAATCTAGACAGAAGCATTCTCAGAAACTTCTTTGGGATGTTTGCATTCAAGTCACAGAGTAGAACATTCCCTTTGGTAGAGCAGGTTTGAAACCCTCTTTTTGTAGTATCTGGAAGTGGACATTTGGAGCGCTTTCAGGCCCATGTTGGAAAGGGAAATATCTTCCCGTAACAACTAGGCAGAAGCATTCTCAGAAACTTATTTGAGATGTGTGTACTCAACTAAGAGAATTGAACCACCGTTTTGAAGGAGCAGTTTTGAAACACTCTTTTTCTGGAATCTGCAAGAGTATATTTGCCTAGCCTTGAGGATTTCGTTGGAAACGGGATTGTCTTCAGAGAAAATCTAGACAGAAGCATTCTCAGAAACTTCTTTGGGATGTTTGCATTCAAGTCACAGAGTAGAACATTCCCTTTGGTAGAGCAGGTTTGAAACACTCTTTTTTTAGTATATGGAAGTGGACATTTTGATCGCTTTCAGGCCTACATTGGAAAAGGAAATATCTTCCCATAACAACTAGACAGAAGCATTCTCAGAAACTAGTTTCTGATGTGTGTCCTCAACTAACACAGTTGAACATTTCTTTAGACAGAACAGTTTTGAAACACTCTTTTTGTGGAATCTGCAAGTGGCTATTTGGCTAGATTTGAGGATTTCGTTGGAAACGGGATTACATATAAAAAGCAGTCAGCAGCATTCTCAGAAAGTTCTTTGTGATGATTGCATTCAAGTCACAGAATTGAACATTCCCTTTCACAGAGCAGGTTTGAAACACTCTTTTTGTAGTGTGTGTAAGTGGACATTTGGAGCGCTTTCCGGCCTAAGGTGAAAAAGGAAATATCTTCCCATAAAAACTAGACAGAAGCATTCTCAGAAACTTACTCGTGATGTGTGTCCTCAACTAAAGGAGTAGAACCTTTCTTTCATAGAGAAGTTTTGAAACGCTCTTTTTGTGGAATCTGCAAGTGGATATTTGGCTAGTTTGGAGGATTTCGTTGGAAGCGGGAATTCATACAAATTGCAGACTGCAGCGTTCTGAGAAACATCTTTGTGATGTTTGTATTCAGGACACAGAGTTGAACATTCCCTATCATAGAGCAGGTTGGAATCACTCCTTTTGTAGTATCTGGAAGTGGACATTTGGAGCGCTTTCAGGCCTATGTTGGAAAAGGAAATATCTTCCCATAACAACTAGACAGAAGCATTCTGAGAAACTTATTTGAGATGTGTGTACTCAACTAAGAGAATTGAACCACCGTTTTGAAGGAGCAGTTTTGAAACACTCTTTTTCTGGAATCTGCAAGTGGATATTTGGCTAGCTTTGGGGATTTCGCTGGAGGCGGGAATACATATAAAAAGCACACAGCAGCGTTCTGAGAAACTGCTTTCTGATGTTTGCATTCAAGTCAAAAGTTGAACACTCCCTTTCATAGAGCAGTCCTGAAACACTCCTTTTGTAGTATCTGGAACTGGACTTTTGGAGCGCTTTCAGGGCTAAGGTGAAAAAGGAAATATCTTCCCATAAAAACTGGACAGAAGCATTCTCAGAAACTTACTCGTGATGTGTGTCCTCAACTAAAGGAGTAGAACATTTCTTTTCATAGAGAAGTTTTGAAACGCTCTTTTTGTGGAATCTGCAAGTGGATATTTGGCTAGTTTTGAGGATTTCGTTGGAAGCGGGAATTCATACAAATTGCAGACTGCAGCGTTCTGAGAAACATCTTTGTGATGTTTGTATTCAGGACACAGAGTTGAACATTCCCTATCATAGAGCAGGTTGGAATCACTCCTTTTGTAGTATCTGGAAGTGGACATTTGGAGCGCTTTCAGGCCTATGTTGAAAAAGGAAATATCTTCCCATAACAACTAGACACAAGCATTCTCAGAAACTTCTTTGGGATGTTTGCATTCAAGTCACAGAGTAGAACATTCCCTTTGGTAGAGCAGGTTTGAAACACTCTTTTTGTAGTATCTGGAAGTGGACATTTGGAGCGCTTTCAGGCCTATGTTGGAAAGGGAAATATCTTCCCGTAACAACTAGGCAGAAGCATTCTCAGAAACTTGTTTGTGATGTGTGCCCTCTACTGACAGAGTTGAACCTTTCTTTTCATAGAGCAGTTTTGAAACACTCTTTTTGTAGAATCTGCAAGAGGATATTTGCATAGCTTCGAGGATTTCGTGGGAAACGGGATTGTCTTCAGGTAAAATCTAGACAGAAGCATTCTCGGAAACTTATTTGAGATGTGTGTACTCAACTAAGAGAATTGAACCACCCTTTTGAAGGAGCAGTTTTGAAACACTCTTTTTCTGGAATCTGCAAGAGTATATTTGCCTAGCTTTGAGGATTCCGTTGGAAACGGGATTGTCTTCAGATCAAATCTAGACAGAAGCATTCTCAGAAATTTCTTTGGGATGTTTGCATTCAAGTCACAGAGTAGAACATTCCCTTTGGTAGAGCAGGTTTGAAACACTCTTTTTTTCGTATATGGAAGTGGACATTTGGAGCGCTTTCAGGCCTACGTTGGAAAAGGAAATATCTTCCCATAACAACTAGACAGAAGCATTCTCAGAAACTTATTTGAGATGTGTGTACTCAACTAAGAGAATTGAACCACCGTTTTGAAGGAGCAGTTTTGAAACATTCTTTTTCTGGAATCTGCAAGTGGATATTTAGCTAGATTTGAGGATTTCGTTGGAAACGGGATTACATATACAAAGCAGACAGCAGCAGTCTCAGAAAGTTCTTTGTGATGATTGCATTCAAGTCACAGAATTCAACATTCCCTTTCACAGAGCAGGTTTGAAACACTCTTTTTGTAGTGTGTGTAAGTGGACATTTGGAGCACTTACCGGCCTAAGGTGAAAAAGGAAATATCTTCCCATAAAAACTAGACAGAAGCATTCTCAGAAACTTACTCGTGATGTGTGTCCTCAACTAAAGGTGTAGAACCTTTCTTTTCATAGAGAAGTTTTGAAACGCTCTTTTTGTGGAATCTGCAAGTGGATATTTGGCTATTTTTGAGGATTTCGTTGGAAGCGGGAATTCATACAAATTGCAGACTGCAGCGTTCTGAGAAACATCTTTGTGATGTTTGTATTCAGGACACAGAGTTGAACATTCCCTATCATAGAGCAGGTTGGAATCACTCCTTTTGTAGTATCTGGAAGTGGACATTTGGAGCGCTTTCAGGCCCTATGTTGGAAAAGGAAATATCTTCCCATAACAACTAGACAGAAGCATTCTCAGAAACTTGTTTGTGATGTGTGCCCTCTACTGACAGAGTTGAACCTTTCTTTTCATAGAGCAGTTTTGAAACACTCTTTTTGTAGAATCTGCAAGAGGATATTTGCATAGCTTTGAGGATTTCGTGGGAAACGGGATTGTCTTCAGGTAAAATCTAGACAGAAGCATTCTCAGAAACTTCTTTGGGATGTTTGCATTCAAGTCACAGAGTAGAACATTCCCTTTGGTAGAGCAGGTTTGAAACACTCTTTTTATAGTATCTGGAAGTGGACATTTGGAGCGCTTTCAGGCCTATGTTGGAAAGGGAAATATCTTCCCGTAACAACTAGGCAGAAGCATTCTCAGAAACTTATTTGAGATGTGTGTACTCAACTAAGAGAATTGAACCACCGTTTTGAAGGAGCAGTTTTGAAACACTCTTTTTCTGGAATCTGCAAGAGGATATTTGCCTAGCCTTGAGGATTTCGTTGGAAACGGGATTGTCTTCAGATCAAATCTAGACAGAAGCATTCTCAGAAACTTCTTTGGGATGTTTGCATTCAAGTCACAGAGTAGAACATTCCCTTTGGTAGAGCAGGTTTGATACACTCTTTTTTTAGTATATGGAAGTGGACATTTGGAGCGCTTTCAGGTCTACGTTGGAAAAGGAAATATCTTCCCATAACAACTAGACAGAAGCATTCTCAGAAACTAGTTTCTGATGTGTGTCCTCAACTAACACAGTTGAACATTTCTTTAGACAGAACAGTTTTGAAACTCTCTTTTTGTGGAATCTGCAAGTGGCTATTTGGCTAGATTTGAGGATTTCGTTGGAAACGGGATTACATATAAAAAGCAGACAGCAGCATTCTCAGAAAGTTCTTTGTGATGATTGCATTCAAGTCACAGAATTGAACATTCCCTTTCACAGAGCAGGTTTGAAACACTCTTTTTGTAGTGTGTGTAAGTGGACATTTGGAGCACTTTCCGGCCTAAGGTGAAAAAGGAAATATCTTCCCATAAAAACTAGACAGAAGCATTCTCAGAAACTTACTCGTGATGTGTGTCCTCAACTAAAGGAGTAGAACCTTTCTTTCATAGAGAAGTTTTGAAACGCTCTTTTTGTGGAATCTGCAAGTGGATATTTGGCTAGTTTGGAGGATTTCGTTGGAAGCGGGAATTCTTACAAATTGCAGACTGCAGCGTTCTGAGAAACATCTTTGTGATGTTTGTATTCAGGACACAGAGTTGAACATTCCCTATCATAGAGCAGGTTTGAATCACTCCTTTTCTAGTATCTGGAAGTGGACATTTGGAGCGCTTTCAGGCCTATGTTGGAAAAGGAAATATCTTCCCATAACAAATAGACAGAAGCATTCTCAGAAACTTATTTGAGATGTGTGTACTCAACTAAGAGAATTGAACCACCGTTTTGAAGGAGCAGTTTTGAAACTCTCTTTTTCTGGAATCTGCAAGTGGATATTTGGCTAGCTTTGGGGATTTCGCTGGAAGCGGGAATACATATAAAAAGCACACAGCAGCGTTCTGAGAAACTGCTTTCTGATGTTTGCATTCAAGTCAAAAGTTGAACACTCCCTTTCATAGAGCAGTCCTGAAACACCCCTTTTGTAGTATCTGGAACTGGACTTTTGGAGCGATTTCAGGGCTAAGGTGAAAAAGGAAATATCTTCCCATAAAAACTGGACAGAAGCATTCTCAGAAACTTGTTTATGCTGTATCTACTCAACTAACAAAGTTGAACCTTTCTTTTGATAGAGCAGTTTTGAAATGGTCTTTTTGTGGAATCTGCAAGTGGATATTTGGCTAGTTTTGAGGATTTCGTTGGAAGCGGGAATTCATACAAATTGCAGACTGCAGCGTTCTGAGAAACATCTTTGTGATGTTTGTATTCAGGACACAGAGTTGAACATTCCCTATCATAGAGCAGGTTGGAATCACTCCTTTTGTAGTATCTGGAAGTGGACATTTGGAGCGCTTTCAGGCCTATTTTGGAAAGGGAAATATCTTCCCGTAACAACTATGCAGAAGCATTCTCAGAAACTTGTTTGTGATGTTGTGCCCTCTACTGACAGAGTTGAACCTTTCTTTTCATAGAGCAGTTTTGAAACACTCTTTTTGTAGAATCTGCAAGAGGATATTTGCATAGCTTTGAGGATTTCGTGGGAAACGGGATTGTCTTCAGGTAAAATCTAGACAGAAGCATTCTCAGAAACTTCTTTGGGATGTTTGCATTCAAGTCACAGAGTAGAACATTCCCTTTGGTAGAGCAGGTTTGAAACACTCTTTTTGTAGTATCTGGAAGTGGACATTTGGAGCGCTTTCAGGCCCATGTTGGAAAGGGAAATATCTTCCCGTAACAACTAGGCAGAAGCATTCTCAGAAACTTATTTGAGATGTGTGTACTCAACTAAGAGAATTGAACCACCGTTTTGAAGGAGCAGTTTTGAAACACTCTTTTTCTGGAATCTGCAAGAGGATATTTGCCTAGCCTTGAGGATTTCGTTGGAAACGGGATTGTCTTCAGAGAAAATCTAGACAGAAGCATTCTCAGAAACTTCTTTGGGATGCTTGCATTCAAGTCACAGAGTAGAACATTCCCTTTGGTAGAGCAGGTTTGAAACACTCTTTTTGTAGTATCTGGAAGTGGACATTTGGAGCGCTTTCAGGCCTACGTTGGAAAAGGAAATATCTTCCCATAACAACTAGACAGAAGCATTCTCAGAAACTAGTTTCTGATGTGTGTCCTCAACTAACACAGTTGAACATTTCTTTAGACAGAACAGTTTTGAAACACTCTTTTTGTGGAATCTGCAAGTGGCTATTTGGCTAGATTTGAGGATTTCGTTGGAAACGGGATTACATATAAAAAGCAGTCAGCGGCATTCTCAGAAAGTTCTTTGTGATGATTGCATTCAAGTCACAGAATTGAACATTCCCTTTCACAGAGCAGGTTTGAAACACTCTTTTTGTAGTGTGTGTAAGTGGACATTTGGAGCACTTACCGGCCTAAGGTGAAAAAGGAAATATCTTCCCATAAAAACTAGACAGAAGCATTCTCAGAAACTTACTCGTGATGTGTGTCCTCAACTAAAGGAGTAGAACCTTTCTTTTCATAGAGAAGTTTTGAAACGCTCTTTTTGTGGAATCTGCAAGTGGATATTTGGCTAGTTTTGAGGATTTCGTTGGAAGCGGGAATTCATACAAATTGCAGACTGCAGCGTTCTGAGAAACATCTTTGTGATGTTTGTATTCAGGACACAGAGTTGAACATTCCCTATCATAGAGCAGGTTTGAATCACTCCTTTTGTAGTATCTGGAAGTGGACATTTGGAGCGCTTTCAGGCCTATGTTGGAAAAGGAAATATCTTCCCATAACAACTAGACAGAAGCATTCTCAGAAACTTATTTGAGATGTGTGTACTCAACTAAGAGAATTGAACCACCGTTTTGAAGGAGCAGTTTTGAAACACTCTTTTTCTGGAATCTGCAAGTGGCTATTTGGCTAGCTTTGGGGATTTCGCTGGAAGCGGGAATACATATAAAAAGCACACAGCAGCGTTCTGAGAAACTGCTTTCTGATGTTTGCATTCAAGTCAAAAGTTGAACACTCCCTTTCTTAGAGCAGTCTTGAAACACCCCTTTTGTAGTATCTGGAACTGGAAATTTGGAGCGCTTTCAGGGCTAAGGTGAAAAAGGAAATATCTTCCCATAAAAACTGGACAGAAGCATTCTCAGAAACTTGTTTATGCTGTATCTACTCAACTAACAAAGTTGAACCTTTCTTTTGATAGAGCAGTTTTGAAATGCTCTTTTTGTGGAATCTGCAAGTGGATATTTGGCTAGTTTTGAGGATTTCGTTGGAAGCGGGAATTCATACAAATTGCAGACTGCAGCGTTCTGAGAAACATCTTTGTGATGTTTGTATTCAGGACAGAGAGTTGAACATTCCCTATCATAGAGCAGGTTGGAATCACTCCTTTTGTAGTATCTGGAAGTGGACATTTGGAGCGCTTTCAGGCCTATGTTGAAAAAGGAAATATCTTCCCATAACAACTAGACACAAGCATTCTCAGAAACTTGTTTGTGATGTGTGCCCTCTACTGACACAGTTGAACCTTTCTTTTCATAGAGCAGTTTTGAAACACTCTTTTTGTAGAATCTGCAAGAGGATATTTGCATAGCTTTGAGGATTTCGTGGGAAACGGGATTGTCTTCAGGTAAAATCTAGACAGAAGCATTCTCAGAAACTTCTTTGGGATGTTTGCATTCAAGTCACAGAGTAGAACATTCCCTTTGGTAGAGCAGGTTTGAAACACTCTTTTTGTAGTATCTGGAAGTGGACATTTGGAGCGCTTTCAGGCCTATGTTGGAAAGGGAAATATCTTCCCGTAACAACTAGGCAGAAGCATTCTCAGAAACTTATTTTGGATGTGTGTACTCAACTAAGAGAATTGAACCACCGTTTTCAAGGAGCAGTTTTGAAACACTCTTTTTCTGGAATATGCAAGAGTATATTTGCCTAGCCTTGAGGATTTCGTTGGAAACGGGATTGTCTTCAGATCAAATCTAGACAGAAGCATTCTCAGAAACTTCTTTGGGATGTTTGCATTCAAGTCACAGAGTAGAACATTCCCTTTGGTAGAGCAGGTTTGAAACACTCTTTTTTTAGTATATGGAAGTGGACATTTGGAGAGCTTTCAGGCCTACGTTGGAAAAGGAAATATCTTCCCATAACAACTAGACAGAAGCATTCTCAGAAACTAGTTTCTGATGTGTGTCCTCAACTAACACAGTTGAACATTTCTTTAGACAGAACAGTTTTGAAACACTGTTTTTGTGGAATCTGCAAGTGGATATTTGGCTAGATTTGAGGATTTCGTTGGAAACGGGATTACATATAAAAAACAGTCAGCAGCATTCTAAGAAAGTTCTTTGTGATGATTGCATTCAAGTCACAGAATTGAACATTCCCTTTCACAGAGCAGGTTTGAAACAATCTTTTTGTAGTGTGTGTAAGTGGACATTTGGAGCGCTTTCTGGCCTAAGGTGAAAAAGGAAATATCTTCCCATAAAAACTAGACAGAAGAATTCTCAGAAACTTACTCGTGATGTGTGTCCTCAACTAAAGGAGTAGAACCTTTCTTTTCATAGAGAAGTTTTGAAACGCTCTTTTTGTGGAATCTGCAAGTGGATATTTGGCTAGTTTTGAGGATTTCGTTGGAAGCGGGAATTCATACAAATTGCAGACTGCAGCGTTCTGAGAAACATCTTTGTGATGTTTGTATTCAGGACACAGAGTTGAACATTCCCTATCATAGAGCAGGTTTGAATCACTCCTTTTGTAGTATCTGGAAGTGGACATTTGGAGCGCTTTCAGGCCTATGTTAGAAAAGGAAATATCTTCCCATAACAACTAGACAGAAGCATTCTCAGAAACTTATTTGAGATGTGTGTACTCAACTAAGAGAATTGAACCACCGTTTTGAAGGAGCAGTTTTGAAACACTCTTTTTCTGGAATCTGCAAGTGGATATTTGGCTAGCTTTGGGGATTTCGCTGGAAGCGGGAATACATATAAAAAGCACACAGCAGCGTTCTGAGAAACTGCTTTCTGATGTTTGCATTCAAGTCAAAAGTTGAACACTCCCTTTCATAGAGCAGTCCTGAAACACTCCTTTTGTAGTATCTGGAACTGGACTTTTGGAGCGCTTTCAGGGCTAAGGTGAAAAAGGAAATATCTTCCCATAAAAACTGGACAGAAGCATTCTCAGAAACTTGTTTATGCTGTATCTACTCAACTAACAAAGTTGAACCTTTCTTTTGATAGAGCAGTTTTGAAATGGTCTTTTTGTGGAATCTGCAAGTGGATATTTGGCTAGTTTTGAGGATTTCGTTGGAAGCGGGAATTCATACAAATTGCAGACTGCAGCGTTCTGAGAAACATCTTTGTGATGTTTGTATTCAGGACAGAGAGTTGAACATTCCCTATCATAGAGCAGGTTGGAATCACTCCTTTTGTAGTATCTGGAAGTGGACATTTGGAGCGCTTTCTGGCCTATGTTGAAAAAGGAAATATCTTCCCATAACAACTAGACACAAGCATTCTCAGAAACTTGTTTGTGATGTGTGCCCTCTACTGACAGAGTTGAACCTTTCTTTTCATAGAGCAGTTTTGAAACACTCTTTTTGTAGAATCTGCAAGAGGATATTTGCATAGCTTTGAGGATTTCGTGGGAAACGGGATTGTCTTCAGGTAAAATCTAGACAGAAGCATTCTCAGAAACTTCTTTGGGATGTTTGCATTCAAGTCACAGAGTAGAACATTCCCTTTGGTAGAGTAGGTTTGAAACACTCTTTTTGTAGTATCTGGAAGTGGACATTTGGAGCGCTTTCAGGCCCATGTTGGAAAAGGAAATATCTTCCTGTAACAACTAGGCAGAAGCATTCTCAGAAACTTATTTGAGATGTGTGTACTCAACTAAGAGAATTGAACCACCGTTTTGAAGGAGCAGTTTTGAAACACTCTTTTTCTGGAATCTGCAAGAGGATATTTGCCTAGCTTTGAGGATTTCGTTGGAAACGGGATTGTCTTCAGATCAAATCTAGACAGAAGCATTCTCAGAAACTTCTTTGGGATGTTTGCATTCAAGTCACAGAGTAGAACATTCCCTTTGGTAGAGCAGGTTTGAAACACTCTTTTTTTAGTATATGGAAGTGGACATTTGGAGCGCTTTCAGGCCTACGTTGGAAAAGGAAATATCTTCCCATAACAACTAGACAGAAGCATTCTCAGAAACTAGTTTCTGATGTGTGTCCTCAACTAACACAGTTGAACATTTCTTTAGACAGAACAGTTTTGAAACTCTCTTTTTGTGGAATCTGCAAGTGGCTATTTGGCTAGATTTGAGGATTTCGTTGGAAACGGGATTACATATAAAAAGCAGACAGCAGCATTCTCAGAAATTTCTTTGTGATGATTGCATTCAAGTCACAGAATTGAACATTCCCTTTCACAGAGCAGGTTTGAAACACTCTTTTTATAGTGTGTGTAAGTGGACATTTGGAGCACTTTCCGGCCTAAGGTGAAAAAGGAAATATCTTCCCATAAAAACTAGACAGAAGCATTCTCAGAAACTTACTCGTGATGTGTGTCCTCAACTAAAGGAGTAGAACCTTTGTTTTCATAGAGAAGTTTTGAAACGCTCTTTTTGTGGAATCTGCAAGTGGATATTTGGCTAGTTTGGAGGATTTCGTTGGAAGCGGGAATTCATACAAATTGCAGACTGCAGCGTTCTGAGAAACATCTTTGTGATGTTTGTATTCAGGACACAGAGTTGAACATTCCCTATCATAGAGCAGGTTTGAATCACTCCTTTTGTAGTATCTGGAAGTGGACATTTGGAGCGCTTTCAGGCCTATGTTGGAAAAGGAAATATCTTCCCATAACAACTAGACAGAAGCATTCTCAGAAACTTATTTGAGATGTGTGTACTCAACTAAGAGAATTGAACCACCGTTTTGAAGGAGCAGTTTTGAAACACTCTTTTTCTGGAATCTGCAAGTGGATATTTGGCTAGCTTTGGGGACTTCGCTGGAGGCGGGAATACATATAAAAAGCACACAGCAGCGTTCTGAGAAACTGCTTTCTGATGTTTGCATTCAAGTCAAAAGTTGAACACTCCCTTTCATAGAGCAGTCCTGAAACACTCCTTTTGTAGTATCTGGAACTGGACTTTTGGAGCGCTTTCAGGGCTAAGGTGAAAAAGGAAATATCTTCCCATAAAAACTGGACAGAAGCATTCTCAGAAACTTGTTTATGCTGTATCTACTGAACTAACAAATTTGAACCTTTCTTTTGATAGAGCAGTTTTGAAATGCTCTTTTTGTGGAATCTGCAAGTGGATATTTGGCTAGTTTTGAGGATTTCGTTGGAAGCGGGAATTCATACAAATTGCAGACTGCAGCGTTCTGAGAAATATCTTTGTGATGTTTGTATTCAGGACACAGAGTTGAACATTCCCTATCATAGAGCAGGTTGGAATCACTCCTTTTGTAGTATCTGGAAGTGGACATTTGGAGCGCTTTCAGGCCTATGTTGAAAAAGGAAATATCTTCCCATAACAACTAGACACAAGCATTCTCAGAAACTTGTTTGTGATGTGTGCCCTCTACTGACAGAGTTGAACCTTTCTTTTCATAGAGCAGTTTTGAAACACTCTTTTTGTAGAATCTGCAAGAGGATATTTGCATAGCTTTGAGGATTTCGTGGGAAACGGGATTGTCTTCAGGTAAAATCTAGACAGAAGCATTCTCAGAAACTTCTTTGGGATGTTTGCATTCAAGTCACAGAGTAGAACATTCCCTTTGGTAGAGCAGGTTTGAAACACTCTTTTTGTAGTATCTGGAAGTGGACATTTGGAGCGCTTTCAGGCCCATGTTGGAAAGGGAAATATCTTCCCGTAACAACTAGGCAGAAGCATTCTCAGAAACTTATTTGAGATGTGTGTACTCAACTAAGAGAATTGAACCACCGTTTTGAAGGAGCAGTTTTGAAACACTCTTTTTCTGGAATCTGCAAGAGTATATTTGCCTAGCCTTGAGGATTTCGTTGGAAACGGGATTGTCTTCAGAGAAAATCTAGACAGAAGCATTCTCAGAAACTTCTTTGGGATGCTTGCATTCAAGTCACAGAGTAGAACATTCCCTTTGGTAGAGCAGGTTTGAAACACTCTTTTTGTAGTATCTGGAAGTGGACATTTGGAGCGCTTTCAGGCCTACGTTGGAAAAGGAAATATCTTCCCATAACAACTAGACAGAAGCATTCTCAGAAACTAGTTTCTGATGTGTGTCCTCAACTAACACAGTTGAACATTTCTTTAGACAGAACAGTTTTGAAACACTCTTTTTGTGGAATCTGCAAGTGGCTATTTGGCTAGATTTGAGGATTTCGTTGGAAACGGGATTACATATAAAAAGCAGTCAGCAGCATTCTCAGAAAGTTCTTTGTGATGATTGCATTCAAGTCACAGAATTGAACATTCCCTTTCACAGAGCAGGTTTGAAACACTCTTTTTGTAGTGTGTGTAAGTGGACATTTGGAGCACTTACCGGCCTAAGGTGAAAAAGGAAATATCTTCCCATAAAAACTAGACAGAAGCATTCTCAGAAACTTACTCGTGATGTGTGTCCTCAACTAAAGGAGTAGAACCTTTCTTTTCATAGAGAAGTTTTGAAACGCTCTTTTTGTGGAATCTGCAAGTGGATATTTGGCTAGTTTTGAGGATTTCGTTGGAAGCGGGAATTCATACAAATTGCAGACTGCAGCGTTCTGAGAAACATCTTTGTGATGTTTGTATTCAGGACACAGAGTTGAACATTCCCTATCATAGAGCAGGTTGGAATCACTCCTTTTGTAGTATCTGGAAGTGGACATTTGGAGCGCTTTCAGGCCTATGTTGGAAAAGGAAATATCTTCCCATAACAACTAGACAGAAGCATTCTCAGAAACTTATTTGAGATGTGTGTACTCAACTAAGAGAATTGAACCACCGTTTTGAAGGAGCAGTTTTGAAACTCTCTTTTTCTGGAATCTGCAAGTGGATATTTGGCTAGCTTGGGGATTTCGCTGGAAGCGGGAATACATATAAAAAGCACACAGCAGCGTTCTGAGTAAACTGCTTTCTGATGTTTGCATTCAAGTCAAAAGTTGAACACTCCCTTTCATAGAGCAGTCCTGAAACACTCCTTTTGTAGTATCTGGAACTGGACTTTTGGAGCGCTTTCAGGGCTAAGGTAAAAAAGGAAATATCTTCCCATAAAAACTGGACAGAAGCATTCTCAGAAACTTGTTTATGCTGTATCTACTCAACTAACAAAGTTGAACCTTTCTTTTGATAGAGCAGTTTTGAAATGCTCTTTTTGTGGAATCTGCAAGTGGATATTTGGCTAGTTTTGAGGATTTCGTTGGAAGCGGGAATTCATACAAATTGCAGACTGCAGCGTTCTGAGAAACATCTTTGGATGTTTGTATTCAGGACAGAGAGTTGAACATTCCCTATCATAGAGCAGGTTGGAATCACTCCTTTTGTAGTATCTGGAAGTGGACATTTGGAGCGCTTTCAGGCCTATGTTGAAAAAGGAAATATCTTCCCATAACAACTAGACACAAGCATTCTCAGAAACTTGTTTGTGATGTGTGCCCTCTACTGACAGAGTTGAACCTTTCTTTTCATAGAGCAGTTTTGAAACACTCTTTTTGTAGAATCTGCAAGAGGATATTTGCATAGCTTTGAGGATTTCGTGGGAAACGGGATTGTCTTCAGGTAAAATCTAGACAGAAGCATTCTCAGAAACTTCTTTGGGATGTTTGCATTCAAGTCACAGAGTAGAACATTCCCTTTGGTAGAGCAGGTTTGAAACACTCTTTTTGTAGTATCTGGAAGTGGACATTTGGAGCGCTTTCAGGCCCATGTTGGAAAGGGAAATATCTTCCCGTAACAACTAGGCAGAAGCATTCTCAGAAACTTATTTGAGATGTGTGTACTCAACTAAGAGAATTGAACCACCGTTTTGAAGGAGCAGTTTTGAAACACTCTTTTTCTGGAATCTGCAAGAGTATATTTGCCTAGCCTTGAGGATTTCGTTGGAAACGGGATTGTCTTCAGAGAAAATCTAGACAGAAGCATTCTCAGAAACTTCTTTGGGATGTTTGCATTCAAGTCACAGAGTAGAACATTCCCTTTGGTAGAGCAGGTTTGAAACACTCTTTTTTTAGTATATGGAAGTGGACATTTGGATCGCTTTCAGGCCTACGTTGGAAAAGGAAATATCTTCCCATAACAACTAGACAGAAGCAATCTCAGAAACTAGTTTCTGATGTGTGTCCACAACTAACACAGTTGTATATTTCTTTAGACAGAACAGTTTTGAAACACTCTTTTTGTGGAATCTGCAAGTGGATATTTGGCTAGATTTGAGGATTTCGTTGGAAACGGGATTACATATAAAAAGCAGTCAGCAGCATTCTCAGAAAGTTCTTTGTGATGATTGCATTCAAGTCACAGAATTGAACATTCCCTTTCACAGAGCAGGTTTGAAACACTCTTTTTGTAGTGTGTGTAAGTGGACATTTGGAGCGCTTTCCGGCCTAAGGTGAAAAAGGAAATATCTTCCCATAAAAACTAGACAGAAGCATTCTCAGAAACTTACTCGTGATGTGTGTCCTCAACTAAAGGAGTAGAACCTTTCTTTTCATAGAGAAGTTTTGAAACGCTCTTTTTGTGGAATCTGCAAGTGGATATTTGGCTAGTTTGGAGGATTTCGTTGGAAGCGGGAATTCATACAAATTGCAGACTGCAGCGTTCTGAGAAACATCTTTGTGATGTTTGTATTCAGGACACAGAGTTGAACATTCCCTATCATAGAGCAGGTTGGAATCACTCCTTTTGTACTATCTGGAAGTGGACATTTGGAGCGCTTTCAGGCCTATGTTGAAAAAGGAAATATCTTCCCATAACAACTAGACAGAAGCATTCTCAGAAACTTGTTTGTGATGTGTGCCCTCTACTGACAGAGTTGAACCTTTCTTTTCATAGAGCAGTTTTGAAACACTCTTTTTGTAGAATCCGCAAGAGGATATTTGCATAGCTTTGAGGATTTCGTGGGAAACGGGATTGTCTTCAGGTAAAATACTAGACAGAAGCATTCTCAGAAACTTCTTTGGGGATGTTTGCATTCAAGTCACAGAGTAGAACATTCCCTTTGGTAGAGCAGGTTTGAAACACTCTTTTTGTAGTATCTGGAAATGGACATTTGGAGCGCTTTCAGGCCCATGTTGGAAAGGGAAATATCTTCCCGTAACAACTAGGCAGAAGCATTCTCAGAAACTTATTTGAGATGTGTGTACTCAACTAAGAGAATTGAACCACCGTTTTGAAGGAGCAGTTTTGAAACACTCTTTTTCTGGAATCTGCAAGAGTATATTTGCCTAGCCTTGAGGATTTCGTTGGAAACGGGATTGTCTTCAGAGAAAATCTAGACAGAAGCATTCTCAGAAACTTCTTTGGGATGTTTGCATTCAAGTCACAGAGTAGAACATTCCCTTTGGTAGAGCAGGTTTGAAACACTCTTTTTTTAGTATATGGAAGTGGACATTTGGAGCGCTTTCAGGCCTACGTTGGAAAAGGAAATATCTTCCCATAACAACTAGACAGAAGCATTCTCAGAAACTAGTTTCTGATGTGTGTCCTCAACTAACACAGTTGAACATTTCTTTAGACAGAACAGTTTTGAAACACTCTTTTTGTGGAATCTGCAAGTGGCTATTTGGCTAGATTTGAGGATTTCGTTGGAAACGGGATTACATATAAAAAGCAGTCAGCAGCATTCTCAGAAAGTTCTTTGTGATGATTGCATTCAAGTCACAGAATTGAACATTCCCTTTCACAGAGCAGGTTTGAAACACTCTTTTTGTAGTGTGTGTAAGTGGACATTTGGAGCACTTACCGGCCTAAGGTGAAAAAGGAAATATCTTCCCATAAAAACTAGACAGAAGCATTCTCAGAAACTTACTCGTGATGTGTGTCCTCAACTAAAGGAGTAGAACCTTTCTATTCATAGAGAAGTTTTGAAACGCTCTTTTTGTGGAATCTCCAAGTGGATATTTGGCTAGTGTTGAGGATTTCGTTGGAAGCGGGAATTCATACAAATTGCAGACTGCAGCGTTCTGAGAAACATCTTTGTGATGTTTGTATTCAGGACACAGAGATGAACATTCCCTATCATAGAGCAGGTTGGAATCACTCCTTTTGTAGTATCTGGAAGTGGACATTTGGAGCGCTTTCAGGCCTATGTTGAAAAAGGAAATATCTTCCCATAACAACTAGACACAAGCATTCTCAGAAACTTGTTTGTGATGTGTGCCCTCTACTGACAGAGTTGAACCTTTCTTTTCATAGAGCAGTTTTGAAACACTCTTTTTGTAGAATCTGCAAGAGGATATTTGCATAGCTTTGAGGATTTCGTGGGAAACGGGATTGTCTTCAGGTAAAATCTAGACAGAAGCATTCTCAGAAACTTCTTTGGGATGTTTGCATTCAAGTCACAGAGTAGAACATTCCCTTTGGTAGAGCAGGTTTGAAACCCTCTTTTTGTAGTATCTGGAAGTGGACATTTGGAGCGCTTTCAGGCCCATGTTGGAAAGGGAAATATCTTCCCGTAACAACTAGGCAGAAGAATTCTCAGAAACTTATTTGAGATGTGTGTACTCAACTAAGAGAATTGAACCACCGTTTTGAAGGAGCAGTTTTGAAACACTCTTTTTCTGGAAACTGCAAGAGTATATTTGCCTAGCCTTGAAGATTTCGTTGGAAACGGGATTGTCTTCAGATAAAATCTAGACAGAAGCATTCTCAGAAACTTCTTTGGGATGTTTGCATTCAAGTCACAGAGTAGAACATTCCCTTTGGTAGAGCAGGTTTGAAACACTCTTTTTTTAGTATATAGAAGTGGACATTTGGAGCGCTTTCAGGCCTACGTTGGAAAAGGAAATATCTTCCCATAACAACTAGACAGAAGCATTCTCAGAAACTAGTTTCTGATGTGTGTCCTCAACTAACACAGTTGAACTTTTCTTTAGACAGAACAGTTTTGAAACACTCTTTTTGTGGAATCTGCAAGTGGATATTTGGCTAGATTTGAGGATTTCGTTGGAAACGGGATTACATATAAAAAGCAGACAGCAGCATTCTCAGAAAGTTCTTTGTGATGATTGCATTCAAGTCACAGAATTGAACATTCCCTTTCACAGAGCAGGTTTGAAAGACTCTTTTTGTAGTGTGTGTAAGTGGACATTTGGAGCACTTACCGGCCTAAGGTGAAAAAGGAAATATCTTCCCATAAAAACTAGACAGAAGCATTCTCAGAAACTTACTCGTGATGTGTGTCCTCAACTAAAGGAGTAGAACCTTTCTTTTCATAGAGAAGTTTTGAAACGCTCTTTTTGTGGAATCTGCAAGTGGATATTTGGCTAGTTTTGAGGATTTCGTTGGAAGCGGGAATTCATACAAATTGCAGACTGCAGCGTTCTGAGAAACATCTTTGTGATGTTTGTATTCAGGACACTGAGTTGAACATTCCCTATCATAGAGCAGGTTTGAGTCACTCCTTTTGTAGTATCTGGAAGTGGACATTTGGAGCGCTTTCAGGCCTATGTTGGAAAAGGAAATATCTTCCCATAACAACTAGACAGAAGCATTCTCAGAAACTTATTTGAGATGTGTGTACTCAACTAAGAGAATTGAACCACCGTTTTGAAGGAGCAGTTTTGAAACACTCTTTTTCTGGAATCTGCAAGTGGATATTTGGCTAGCTTTGGGGATTTCGCTGGAAGCGGGAATACATATAAAAAGCACACAGCAGCGTTCTGAGAAACTGCTTTCTGATGTTTGCATTCAAGTCAAAAGTTGAACACTCCCTTTCATAGAGCAGTCTTGAAACACCCCTTTTGTAGTATCTGGAACTGGACTTTTGGAGCGATTTCAGGGCTAAGGTGAAAAAGGAAATATCTTCCCATAAAAACTGGACAGAAGCATTCTCAGAAACTTGGTTATGCTGTATCTACTCAACTAACAAAGTTGAACCTTTCTTTTGATAGAGCAGTTTTGAAATGGTCTTTTTGTGGAATCTGCAAGTGGATATTTGGCTAGTTTTGAGGATTTCGTTGGAAGCGGGAATTCATACAAATTGCAGACTGCAGCGTTCTGAGAAACATCTTTGTGATGTTTGTATTCAGGACACAGAGTTGAACATTCCCTATCATAGAGCAGGTTGGAATCACTCCTTTTGTAGTATCTGGAAGTGGACATTTGGAGCGCTTTCAGGCCTACGTTGAAAAAGGAAATATCTTCCCATAACAACTAGACACAAGCATTCTCAGAAACTTGTTTGTGATGTGTGCCCTCTACTGACAGAGTTGAACCTTTCTTTTCATAGAGCAGTTTTGAAACACTCTTTTTGTAGAATCTGCAAGAGGATATTTGCATAGCTTTGAGGATTTCGTGGGAAACGGGATTGTCTTCAGGTAAAATCTAGACAGAAGCATTCTCAGAAACTTCTTTGGGATGTTTGCATTCAAGTCACAGAGTAGAACATTCCCTTTGGTAGAGCAGGTTTGAAACACTCTTTTTGTAGTATCTGGAAGTGGACATTTGGAGCGCTTTCAGGCCCATGTTGGAAAGGGAAATATCTTCCCGTAACAACTAGGCAGAAGCATTCTCAGAAACTTATTTGAGATGTGTGTACTCAACTAAGAGAATTGAACCACCGTTTTGAAGGAGCAGTTTTGAAACACTCTTTTTCTGGAATCTGCTAGAGTATATTTGCCTAGCCTTGAGGATTTCGTTGGAAACGGGATTGTCTTCAGATCAAATCTAGACAGAAGCATTCTCAGAAACTTCTTTGGGATGTTTGCATTCAAGTCACAGAGTAGAACATTCCCTTTGGTAGAGCAGGTTTGAAACACTCTTTTTTTAGTATATGGAAGGACATTTGGAGCGCTTTCAGGCCTACGTTGGAAAAGGAAATATCTTCCCATAACAACTAGACAGAAGCATTCTCAGAAACTATTTTCTGATGTGTGTCCTCAACTAACACAGTTGAACTTTTCTTTAGACAGAACAGTTTTGAAACACTCTTTTTGTGGAATCTGCAAGTGGATATTGGGCTAGATTTGAGGATTTCGTTGGAAACGGGATTACATATAAAAAGCAGTCAGCAGCATTCTCAGAAAGTTCTTTGTGATGATTGCATTCAAGTCACAGAATTGAACATTCCCTTTCACAGAGCAGGTTTGAAACACTCTTTTTGTAGTGTGTGTAAGTGGACATTTGGAGCGCTTTCCGGCCTAAGGTGAAAAAGGACATATCTTCCCATAAAAACTAGACGGAAGCATTCTCAGAAACTTACTCGTGATGTGTGTCCTCAACTAAAGGAGTAGAACCTTTCTATTCATAGAGAAGTTTTGAAACGCTCTTTTTGTGGAATCTCCAAGTGGATATTTGGCTAGTTTTGAGGATTTCGTTGGAAGCGGGAATTCATACAAATTGCAGACTGCAGCGTTTTGAGAAACATCCTTTGTGATGTTTGTATTCAGGACACAGAGATGAACATTCCCTATCATAGAGCAGGTTGGAATCACTCCTTTTGTAGTATCTGGAAGTGGACATTTGGAGCGCTTTCAGGCCTATGTTGAAAAAGGAAATATCTTCCCATAACAACTAGACACAAGCATTCTCAGAAACTTGTTTGTGATGTGTGCCCTCTACTGACAGAGTTGAACCTTTCTTTTCATAGAGCAGTTTTGAAACACTCTTTTATAGAATCCGCAAGAGGATATTTGCATAGCTTTGAGGATTTCGTGGGAAACGGGATTGTCTTCAGGTAAAATCTAGACAGAAGCATTCTCAGAAACTTCTTTGGGATGTTTGCATTCAAGTCACAGAGTAGAACATTCCCTTTGGTAGAGCAGGTTTGAAACACTCTTTTTGTAGTATCTGGAAGTGGACATTTGGAGCGCTTTCAGGCCTACGTTGGAAAAGGAAATATCTTCCCATAACAACTAGACAGAAGCATTCTCAGAAACTAGTTTCTGATGTGTGTCCTCAACTAAAACAGTTGTACATTTCTTTACACAGAACAGTTTTGAAACACTCTTTTTGTGGTATCTGCAAGTGGATATTGGGGTAGATTTGAGGATTTCGTTGGAAACGGGATTACATATAAAAAGCAGACAGCAGCATTCTCAGAAAGTTCTTTGTGATGATTGCATTCAAGTCACAGAATTGAACATTCCCTTTCACAGAGCAGGTTTGAAACACTCTTTTTGTAGTGTGTGTAAGTGGACAATTGGAGCGCTTTCTGGCCTAAGGTGAACAAGGAAATATCTTCCCATAAAAACTAGACAGAAGCATTCTCAGAAACTTACTCGTGATGTGTGTCCTCAACTAAAGGTGTAGAACCTTTCTTTTCATAGAGAAGTTTTGAAACGCTCTTTTTGTGGAATCTGCAAGTGGATATTTGGCTAGTTTTGAGGATTTCGTTGGAAGCGGGAATTCATACAAATGGCAGACTGCAGCGTTCTGAGAAACATCTTTGTGATGTTTGTATTCAGGACACAGAGTTGAACATTCCCTATCATAGAGCAGGTTGGAATCACTCCTTTTGTAGTATCTGGAAGTGGACATTTGGAGCGCTTTCAGGCCTATGTTGAAAAAGGAAATATCTTCCCATAACAACTAGACACAAGCATTCTCAGAAACTTGTTTGTGATGTGTGCCCTCTACTGACAGAGTTGAACCTTTCTTTTCATAGAGCAGTTTTGAAACACTCTTTTTGTAGAATCTGCAAGAGGATATTTGCATAGCTTTGAGGATTTCGTGGGAAACGGGATTGTCTTCAGGTAAAATCTAGACAGAAGCATTCTCAGAAACTTCTTTGGGATGTTTGCATTCAAGTCACAGAGTAGAACATTCCCTTTGGTAGAGCAGGTTTGAAACACTCTTTTTGTAGTATCTGGAAGTGGACATTTGGAGCGCTTTCAGGCCTATGTTGGAAAGGGAAATATCTTCCCGTAACAACTAGGCAGAAGCATTCTCAGAAACTTATTTGAGATGTGTGTACTCAACTAAGAGAATTAAACCACCGTTTAGAAGGAGCAGTTTTGAAACACTCTTTTTCTGGAATCTGCAAGAGGATATTTGCCTAGCCTTGAGGATTTCGTTGGAAACGGGATTGTCTTCAGATCAAATCTAGACAGAAGCATTCTCAGAAACTTCTTTGGGATGTTTGCATTCAAGTCACAGAGTAGAACATTCCCTTTGGTAGAGCAGGTTTGAAAAACTCTTTTTGTAGTGTGTGTAAGTGGACATTTTGAGCGCTTTCTGGCCTACGTTGGAAAAGGAAATATCTTCCCATAACAACTAGACAGAAGCATTCTCAGAAACTAGTTTCTGATGTGTGTCCTCAACTAACACAGTTGAACATTTCTTTAGACAGAACAGTTTTGAAACACTCTTTTTGTGGAATCTGCAAGTGGATATTTGGCTAGATTTGAGGATTTCGTTGGAAACGGGATTACATATAAAAAGCAGACAGCAGCATTCTCAGAAACTTCTTTGTGATGATTGCATTCAAGTCACAGAATTGAACATTCCTTTTCACAGAGCAGGTTTGAAACACTCTTTTTCTAGTGTGTGTAAGTGGACATTTGGAGCGCTTTCCGGCCTAAGGTGAACAAGGAAATATCTTCCCATAAAAACTAGACAGAAGCATTCTCAGAAACTTACTCGTGATGTGTGTCCTCAACTAAAGGAGTAGAACCTTTCTTTTCATAGAGAAGTTTTGAAACGCTCTTTTTGTGGAATCTGCAAGTGGATATTTGGCTAGTTTGGAGGATTTCGTTGGAAGCGGGAATTCATACAAATTGCAGACTGCAGCGTTCTGAGAAACAACTTTGTGATGTTTGTATTCAGGACACAGAGTTGAACATTCCCTATCATAGAGCAGGTTGGAATCACTCCTTTTGTGGTATCTGGAAGTGGACATTTGGAGCGCTTTCAGGCCTATGTTGGAAAAGGAAATATCTTCCCATAACAACTAGACAGAAGCATTCTCAGAAACTTATTTGAGATGTGTGTACTCAACTAAGAGAATTGAACCACCGTTTTGAAGGAGCAGTTTTGAAACACTCTTTTTCTGGAATCTGCAAGTGGATATTTGGCTAGCTTTGGGGATTTCGCTGGAAGCGGGAATACATATAAAAAGCACACAGCAGCGTTCTGAGAAACTGCTTTCTGATGTTTGCATTCAAGTCAAAAGTTGAACACTCCCTTTCATAGAGCAGTCCTGAAACACTCCTTTTGTAGTATCTGGAACTGGACTTTTGGAGCGCTTTCAGGGCTAAGGTGAAAAAGGAAATATCTTCCCATAAAAACTGGAGAGAATCATTCTCAGAAACTTGTTTATGCTGTATCTACTCAACTAACATAGTTGAACCTTTCTTTTGATAGAGCAGTTTTGAAATTCTCTTTTTGTGGAATCTGCAAGTGGATATTTGGCTAGTTTGGAGGATTTCGTTGGAAGCGGGAATTCATACAAATTGCAGACTGCAGCGTTCTGAGAAACATCTTTGTGATGTTTGTATTCAGGACACAGAGTTGAACATTCCCTATCATAGAGCAGGTTTGAATCACTCCTTTTGTAGTATCTGGAAGTGGACATTTGGAGCGCTTTCAGGCCTATGTTGGAAAAGGAAATATCTTCCCATAACAACTAGACAGAAGCATTCTCAGAAACTTATTTGAGATGTGTGTACTCAACTAAGAGAATTGAACCACCGTTTTGAAGGAGCAGTTTTGAAACTCTCTTTTTCTGGAATCTGCAAGTGGATATTTGGCTAGCTTTGGGGATTTCGCTGGAAGCGGGAATACATATAAAAAGCACACAGCAGCGTTCTGAGAAACTGCTTTCTGATGTTTGCATTCAAGTCAAAAGTTGAACACTCCCTTTCATAGAGCAGTCTTGAAACACCCCTTTTGTAGTATCTGGAACTGGACTTTTGGAGCGATTTCAGGGCTAAGGTGAAAAAGGAAATATCTTCCCATAAAAACTGGACAGAAGCATTCTCAGAAACTTGGTTATGCTGTATCTACTCAACTAACAAAGTTGAACCTTTCTTTTGATAGAGCAGTTTTGAAATGGTCTTTTTGTGGAATCTGCAAGTGGATATTTGGCTAGTTTTGAGGATTTCGTTGGAAGCGGGAATTCATACAAATTGCAGACTGCAGCGTTCTGAGAAACATCTTTGTGATGTTTGTATTCAGGACACAGAGTTGAACATTCCCTATCATAGAGCAGGTTTGAATCACTCCTTTTGTAGTATCTGGAAGTGGACATTTGGAGTGCTTTCAGGCCTATGTTGGAAAAGGAAATATCTTCCCATAACAACTAGACAGAAGCATTCTCAGAAACTTATTTGAGATGTGTGTACTCAACTAAGAGAATTGAACCACCGTTTTGAAGGAGCAGTTTTGAAACACTCTTTTTCTGGAATCTGCAAGTGGATATTTGGCTAGCTTTGGGGATTTCGCTGGAAGCGGGAATACATATAAAAAGCACACAGCAGCGTTCTGAGAAACTGCTTTCTGATGTTTGCATTCAAGTCAAAAGTTGAACACTCCCTTTCATAGAGCAGTCTTGAAACACCCCTTTTGTAGTATCTGGAACTGGACTTTTGGAGCGATTTCAGGGCTAAGGTGAAAAAGGAAATATCTTCCCATAAAAACTGGACAGAAGCATTCTCAGAAACTTGGTTATGCTGTATCTACTCAACTAACAAAGTTGAACCTTTCTTTTGATAGAGCAGTTTTGAAATGGTCTTTTTGTGGAATCTGCAAGTGGATATTTGGCTAGTTTTGAGGATTTCGTTGGAAGCGGGAATTCATACAAATTGCAGACTGCAGCGTTCTGAGAAACATCTTTGTGATGTTTGTATTCAGGACACAGAGTTGAACATTCCCTATCATAGAGCAGGTTGGAATCACTCCTTTTGTAGTATCTGGAAGTGGACATTTGGAGCGCTTTCAGGCCTATTTTGGAAAGGGAAATATCTTCCCGTAACAACTATGCAGAAGCATTCTCAGAAACTTGTTTGTGATGTGTGCCCTCTACTGACAGAGTTGAACCTTTCTTTTCATAGAGCAGTTTTGAAACACTCTTTTTGTAGAATCTGCAAGAGGATATTTGCATAGCTTTGAGGATTTCGTGGGAAACGGGATTGTCTTCAGGTAAAATCTAGACAGAAGCATTCTCAGAAACTTCTTTGGGATGTTTGCATTCAAGTCACAGAGTAGAACATTCCCTTTGGTAGAGCAGGTTTGAAACACTCTTTTTGTAGTATCTGGAAGTGGACATTTGGAGCGCTTTCAGGCCCATGTTGGAAAGGGAAATATCTTCCCGTAACAACTAGGCAGAAGCATTCTCAGAAACATATTTGAGATGTGTGTACTCAACTAAGAGAATTGAACCACCGTTTCGAAGGAGCAGTTTTGAAACACCCTTTTTCTGGAATCTGCAAGAGTATATTTGCCTAGCCTTGAGGATTTCGTTGGAAACGGGATTGTCTTCAGATCAAATCTAGACAGAAGCATTCTCAGAAACTTCTTTGGGATGTTTGCATTCAAGTCACAGAGTAGAACATTCCCTTTGGCAGAGCAGGTTTGAAACACTCTTTTTGTAGTATCTGGAAGTGGACATTTGGAGCGCTTTCAGTCCTATGTTGGAAAGGGAAATATCTTCCCTTAACAACTAGGCAGAAGCATTCTCAGAAACTTATTTGAGATGTGTGTACTCAACTAAGAGAATTGAACCACCGTTTTGAAGGACCAGTTTTGAAACACTCTTTTTCTGGAATCTGCTAGAGGATATTTGCCAGCTTTGAGGATTTCGTTGGAAACGGGATTGTCTTCAGATAAAATCTAGACAGAAGCATTCTCAGAAACTTCTTTGGGATGTTTGCATTCAAGTCACAGAGTAGAACATTCCCTTTGGTAGAGCAGGTTTGAAACCCTACTTTTGTAGTATCTGGAAGTGGACATTTGGAGCGCTTTCAGGCCCATGTTGGAAAGGGAAATATCTTCCCGTAACAACTAGGCAGAAGCATTCTCAGAAACTTATTTGAGATGTGTGTACTCAACTAAGAGAATTGAACCACCGTTTTGAAGGAGCAGTTTTGAAACACTCTTTTTCTGGAATCTGCAAGAGTATATTTGCCTAGCCTTGAGGATTTCGTTGGAAACGGGATTGTCTTCAGATAAAATCTAGACAGAAGCATTCTCAGAAACTTCTTTGGGATGTTTGCATTCAAGTCACAGAGTAGAACATTCCCTTTGGTAGAGCAGGTTTGAAACACTCTTTTTTTAGTATATGGAAGTGGACATTTGGAGCGCTTTCAGGCCTACGTTGGAAAAGGAAATATCTTCCCATAACAACTAGACAGAAGCATTCTCAGAAACTAGTTTGTGATGTGTGTCCTCAACTAACACAGTTGTACATTTCTTTAGACAGAACAGTTTTGAAACACTCTTTTTGTGGAATCTGCAAGTGGATATTTGGCTAGATTTGAGTATTTCGTTGGAAACGGGATTACATATAAAAAGCAGTCAGCAGCATTCTCAGAAAGTTCTTTGTGATGATTGCATTCAAGTCACAGAATTGAACATTCCCTTTCACAGAGCAGGTTTGAAGCACTCTTTCTGTAGTGTGTGTAAGTGGACATTTGGAGCGCTTTCCGGCCTAAGGTGAAAAAGGACATATCTTCCCATAAAAACTAGACAGAAGCATTCTCAGAAACTTACTCGTGATGTGTGTCCTCAACTAAAGGAGTAGAACCTTTCTATTCATAGAGAAGTTTTGAAACGCTCTTTTTGTGGAATCTCCAAGTGGATATTTGGCTAGTGTTGAGGATTTCGTTGGAAGCGGGAATTCATACAAATTGCAGACTGCAGCGTTCTGAGAAACATCTTTGTGATGTTTGTATTCAGGACACAGAGATGAACATTCCCTATCATAGAGCAGGTTGGAATCACTCCTTTTGTAGTATCTGGAAGTGGACATTTGGAGCGCTTTCAGGCCTATGTTGAAAAAGGAAATATCTTCCCATAACAACTAGACACAAGCATTCTCAGAAACTTGTTTGTGATGTGTGCCCTCTACTGACAGAGTTGAACCTTTCTTTTCATAGAGCAGTTTTGAAACACTCTTTTTGTAGAATCTGCAAGAGGATATTTGCATAGCTTTGAGGATTTCGTGGGAAACGGGATTGTCTTTAGGTAAAATCTAGACAGAAGCATTCTCAGAAACTTCTTTGGGATGTTTGCATTCAAGTCACAGAGTAGAACATTCCCTTTGGTAGAGCAGGTTTGAAACACTCTTTTTTTAGTATATGGAAGTGGACATTTGGAGCGCTTTCAGGCCTATGTTGGAAAGGGAAATATCTTCCCGTAACAACTAGGCAGAAGCATTCTCAGAATCTTATTTGAGATGTGTGTACTCAACTAAGAGAGTTGAACCACCGTTTTGAAGGAGCAGTTTTGAAACACTCTTTTTCTGGAATCTGCAAGAGTATATTTGCCTAGCCTTGACGATTTCGTTGGAAACGGGATTGTCTTCAGATCAAATCTAGACAGAAGCATTCTCAGAAACTTCTTTGGGATGTTTGCATTCAAGTCACAGAGTAGAACATTCCCTTTGGTAGAGCAGGTTTGAAACACTCTTTTTTTAGTATATGGAAGGACATTTGGAGCGCTTTCAGGCCTACGTTGGAAAAGGAAATCTCTTCCCATAACAACTAGACAGAAGCATTCTCAGAAACTAGTTTCTGATGTGTGTCCTCAACTAACACAGTTGAACTTTTCTTTAGACAGAACAGTTTTGAAACACTCTTTTTGTGGAATCTGCAAGTGGATATTGGGCTAGATTTGAGGATTTCGTTGGAAACGGGATTACATATAAAAAGCAGACAGCAGCATTCTCAGAAAGTTCTTTGTGATGATTGCATTCAAGTCACAGAATTGAACATTCCCTTTCACAGAGCAGGTTTGAAACACTCTTTTTGTAGTGTGTGTAAGTGGACATTTGGAGCGCTTTCCGGCCTAAGGTGAAAAAGGACATATCTTCCCATAAAAACTAGACAGAAGCATTCTCAGAAACTTACTCGTGATGTGTGTCCTCCACTAAAGGAGTAGAACCTTTCTATTTATAGAGAAGTTTTGAAACGCTCTTTTTGTGGAATCTCCAAGTGGATATTTGGCTAGTTTTGAGGATTTCCTTGGAAGCGGGAATTCATCCAAATTGCAGACTGCAGCGTTCTGAGAAACATCTTTGTGATGTTTGTATTCAGGACACAGAGATGAACATTCCCTATCATAGAGCAGGTTGGAATCACTCCTTTTGTAGTATCTGGAAGTGGACATTTGGAGCGCTTTCAGGCCTATGTTGAAAAAGGAAATATCTTCCCATAACAACTAGACACAAGCATTCTCAGAAACTTGTTTGTGTTGTGTGCCCTCTACTGACAGAGTTGAACCTTTATTTTCATAGAGCAGTTTTGAAACACTCTTTTTGTAGAATCCGCAAGAGGATATTTGCATAGCTTTGAGGATTTCGTGGGAAACGGGATTGTCTTCAGGTAAAATCTAGACAGAAGCATTCTCAGAAACTTCTTTGGGATGTTTGCATTCAAGTCACAGAGTAGAACATTCCCTTTGGTAGAGCAGGTTTGAAACACTCTTTTTGTAGTATCTGGAAGTGGACATTTGGAGCGCTTTCAGGACCATGTTGGAAAGGGAAATATCTTCCCGTAACAACTAGGCAGAAGCATTCTCAGAAACTTATTTGAGATGTGTGTACTCAACTAAGAGAATTGAACCACCGTTTTGAAGGAGCAGTTTTGAAACCCTCTTTTTCTGGAATCTGCAGGAGTATATTTGCCTAGCCTTGAGGATTTCGTTGGAAACGGGATTGTCTTCAGATAAAATCTAGACAGAAGCATTCTCAGAAACTTCTTTGGGATGTTTGCATTCAAGTCACAGAGTAGAACATTCCCTTTGGTAGAGCAGGTTTGAAACACTCTTTTTTTAGTATATGGAAGTGGACATTTGGAGCGCTTTCAGGCCTACGTTGGAAAAGGAAATATCTTCCCATAACAACTAGACAGAAGCATTCTCAGAAACTAGTTTCTGATGTGTGTCCTCAACTAACACAGTTGTACATTTCTTTAGACAGAACAGTTTTGAAACACTCTTTTTGTGGAATCTGCAAGTGGATATTGGGCTAGATTTGAGGATTTCGTTGGAAACGGGATTACATATAAATAGCAGTCAGCAGCATTCTCAGAAAGTTCTTTGTGATGATTGCATTCAAGTCACAGAATTGAACATTCCCTTTCATAGAGCAGGTTTGAAACACTCTTTTTGTAGTGTGTGTAAGTGGACATTTGGAGCGCTTTCCGGCCTAAGGTGAAAAAGGACATATCTTCCCATAAAAACTAGACAGAAGCATTCTCAGAAACTTACTCGTGATGTGTGTCCTCAACTAAAGGAGTAGAACCTTTCTATTGATAGAGAAGTTTTGAAACGCTCTTTTTGTGGAATCTCCAAGTGGATATTTGGCTAGTTTTGAGGATTTCGTTGGAAGCGGGAATTCATACAAATTGCAGACTGCAGCGTTCTGAGAAACATCTTTGTGATGTTTGTATTCAAGACACAGAGATGAACATTCCCTATCATAGAGCATGTTGGAATCACTCCTTTTGTAGTATCTGGAAGTGGACATTTGGAGCGCTTTCAGGCCTATGTTGAAAAAGGAAATATCTTCCCATAACAACTAGACACAAGCATTCTCAGAAACTTGTTTGTGATGTGTGCCCTCTACTGACAGAGTTGAACCTTTCTTTTCATAGAGCAGTTTTGAAACACTCTTTTATAGAATCCGCAAGAGGATATTTGCATAGCTTTGAGGATTTCGTGGGAAACGGGATTGTCTTCAGGTAAAATGTAGACAGAAGCATTCTCAGAAACTTCTTTGGGATGTTTGCATTCAAGTCACAGAGTAGAACATTCCCTTTGGTAGAGCAGGTTTGAAACACTCTTTTTGTAGTATCTGGAAGTGGACATTTGGAGCGCTTTCAGGCCCATGTTGGAAAGGGAAATATCTTCCCGTAACAACTAGGCAGAAGCATTCTCAGAAACTTATTTGAGATGTGTGTACTCAACTAAGAGAATTGAACCACCGTTTTGAAGGAGCAGTTTTGAAACACTCTTTTTCTGGAATCTGCAAGAGTATATTTGCCTAGCCTTGAGGATTTCGTTGGAAACGGGATTGTCTTCAGATAAAATCTAGACAGAAGCATTCTCAGAAACTTCTTAGGGATGTTTGCATTCAAGTCACAGAGTAGAACATTCCCTTTGGTAGAGCAGGTTTGAAACACTCTTTTTTTAGTATATGGAAGTGGACATTTGGAGTGCTTTCAGGCCTACGTTCGAAAAGGAAATATCTTCCCATAACAACTAGACAGAAGCATTCTCAGAAACTAGTTTCTGATGTGTGTCCTCAACTAACACAGTTGAATATTTCTTTAGACAGAACAGTTTTGAAACACTCTTTTTGTGGAATCTGCAAGTGGCTATTTGGCTAGATTTAAGGATTTCGTTGGAAACGGGATTACATATAAAAAGCACTCAGCAGCATTCTCAGAAAGTTCTTTGTGATGATTGCATTCAAGTCACAGAATTGAACATTCCCTTTCACAGAGCAGGTTTGAAACACTCTTTTTGTAGTGTGTGTAAGTGGACATTTGGAGCACTTACCGGCCTAAGGTGAAAAAGGAAGTATCTTCCCATAAAAACTAGACAGAAGCATTCTCAGAAACTTACTCGTGATGTGTGTCCTCAACTAAAGGAGTAGAACCTTTCTTTTCATAGAGAAGTTTTGAAACGCTCTTTTTGTGGAATCTGCAAGTCGATATTTGGCTAGTTTTGAGGATTTCGTTGGAAGCGGGAATTCATACAAATTGCAGACTGCAGCGTTCTGAGAAACATCTTTGTGATGTTTGTATTCAGGACACAGAGTTGAACATTCCCTATCATAGAGCAGGTTTGAATCACTCCTTTTCTAGTATCTGGAAGTGGACATTTGGAGCGCTTTCAGGCCTATGTTGGAAAAGGAAATATCTTCCCATAACAAATAGACAGAAGCATTCTCAGAAACTTATTTGAGATGTGTCTACTCAACTAAGAGAATTGAACCACCGTTTTGAAGGAGCAGTTTTGAAACACTCTTTTTCTGGAATCTGCAAGTGGATATTTGGCTAGCTTTGGGGATTTCGCTGGAAGCGGGAATACATATAAAAAGCACAAAGCAGCGTTCTGAGAAACTGCTTTCTGATGTTTGCATTCAAGTCAAAAGTTGAACACTCCCTTTCATAGAGCAGTCTTGAAACACCCCTTTTGTAGTATCTGGAACTGGACTTTTGGAGCGATTTTAGGGCTAAGGTGAAAAAGGAAATATCTTCCCATAAAAACTGGACAGAAGCATTCTCAGAAACTTGTTTATGCTGTATCTACTCAACTAACAAAGTTGAACCTTTCTTTTGATAGAGCAGTTTTGAAATGGTCTTTTTGTGGAATCTGCAAGTGGATATTTGGCTAGTTTTGAGGATTTCGTTGGAAGCGGGAATTCATACAAATTGCAGACTGCAGCGTTCTGAGAAACATCTTTGTGATGTTTGTATTCAGGACACAGAGTTGAACATTCCCTATCATAGAGCAGGTTGGAATCACTCCTTTTGTAGTATCTGGAAGTGGACATTTGGAGCGCTTTCAGGCCTATGTTGAAAAAGGAAATGTCTTCCCATAACAACTAGACACAAGCATTCTCAGAAACTTATTTGAGATGTGTGTACTCAACTAAGAGAATTGAACCACCGTTTTGAAGGAGCAGTTTTGAAACACTCTTTTTCTGGAATCTGCAAGTGGATATTTGGCTAGCTTTGGGGATTTCGCTGGAAGCGGGAATACATATAAAAAGCACACAGCAGCGTTCTGAGAAACTGCTTTCTGATGTTTGCATTCAAGTCAAAAGTTGAACACTCCCTTTCATAGAGCAGTCTTGAAACACCCCTTTTGTAGTATCTGGAACTGGACTTTTGGAGCGATTTCAGGGCTAAGGTGAAAAAGGAAATATCTTCCCATAAAAACTGGACAGAAGCATTCTCAGAAACTTGGTTATGCTGTATCTACTCAACTAACAAAGTTGAACCTTTCTTTTGATAGAGCAGTTTTGAAATGGTCTTTTTGTGGAATCTGCAAGTGGATATTTGGCTAGTTTTGAGGATTTCGTTGGAAGCGGGAATTCATACAAATTGCAGACTGCAGCGTTCTGAGAAACATCTTTGTGATGTTTGTATTCAGGACACAGAGTTGAACATTCCCTATCATAGAGCAGGTTGGAATCACTCCTTTTGTAGTATCTGGAAGTGGACATTTGGAGCGCTTTCAGGCCTATTTTGGAAAGGGAAATATCTTCCCGTAACAACTATGCAGAAGCATTCTCAGAAACTTGTTTGTGATGTGTGCCCTCTACTGACAGAGTTGAACCTTTCTTTTCATAGAGCAGTTTTGAAACACTCTTTTTGTAGAATCTGCAAGAGGATATTTGCATAGCTTTGAGGATTTCGTGGGAAACGGGATTGTCTTCAGGTAAAATCTAGACAGAAGCATTCTCAGAAACTTCTTTGGGATGTTTGCATTCAAGTCACAGAGTAGAACATTCCCTTTGGTAGAGCAGGTTTGAAACACTCTTTTTGTAGTATCTGGAAGTGGACATTTGGAGCGCTTTCAGGCCCATGTTGGAAAGGGAAATATCTTCCCGTAACAACTAGGCAGAAGCATTCTCAGAAACTTATTTGAGATGTGTGTACTCAACTAAGAGAATTGAACCACCGTTTTGAAGGAGCAGTTTTGAAACACTCTTTTTCTGGAATCTGCAAGAGTATATTTGCCTAGCCTTGAGAATTTCGTTGGAAACGGGATTGTCTTCAGGTAAAATCTAGACAGAAGCATTCTCAGAAACTTCTTTGGGATGTTTGCATTCAAGTCACAGAGTAGAACATTCCCTTTGGTAGAGCAGGTTTGAAACACTCTTTTTGTAGTATCTGGAAGTGGACATTTGGAGCACTTTCAGGCCCATGTTGGAAAGGGAAATATCTTCCCGTAACAACTAGGCAGAAGCATTCTCTGAAACTTTTTTGAGATGTGTGTACGCAACTAAGAGAATTGAACCACCGTTTTGAAGGAGCAGTTTTGAAACACTCTTTTTCTGGAATCTGCTAGATGATATTTGCCTAGCCTTGAGGATTTCGTTGGAAACGGGATTGTCTTCAGATAAAATCTAGACAGAAGCATTCTCAGAAACTTCTTTGGGATGTTTGTATTCAAGTCACAGAGTAGAACATTCCCTTTGGTAGAGCAGGTTTGAAACACTCTTTTTTTAGTATATGGAAATGGACATTTGGAGCGCTTTCAGGCCTACGTTGGAAAAGGAAATATCTTCCCATAACAACTAGACAGAAGCATTCTCAGAAACTTGTTTCTGATGTGTGTCCTCAACTAACACAGTTGAACTTTTCTTTAGACAGAACAGTTTTGAAACACTCTTTTTGTGGAATCTGCAAGTGGATATTTGGCTAGATTTGAGGATTTCGTTGGAAACGGGATTACATATAAAAAGCAGACAGCAGCATTCTCAGAAAGTTCTTTGTGATGATTGCATTCAAGTCACAGAATTGAACATTCCCTTTCACAGAGCAGGTTTGAAACACTCTTTTTGTAGTGTGTGTAAGTGGACATTTGGAGCGCTTTCCGGCCTAAGGTGAAAAAGGAAATATCTTCCCATAAAAACTAGACAGAAGCATTCTCAGAAACTTACTCGTGATGTGTGTCCTCAACTAAAGGAGTAGAACCTTTCTTTTCATAGAGAAGTTTTGAAACGCTCTTTTTGTGGAATCTGCAAGTGGATATTTGGCTAGTTTTGAGGATTTCGTTGGAAGCGGGAATTCATACAAATTGCAGACTGCAGCGTTCTGAGAAACATCTTTGTGATGTTTGTATTCAGGACACAGAGATGAACATTCCCTATCATAGAGCAGGTTGGAATCACTCCTTTTGTAGTATCTGGAAGTGGACATTTGGAGCGCTTTCAGGCCTATGTTGAAAAAGGAAATATCTTCCCATAACAACTAGACACAAGCATTCTCAGAAACTTGTTTGTGATGTGTGCCCTCTACTGACAGAGTTGAACCTTTCTTTTCATAGAGCAGTTTTGAAACACTCTTTTTGTAGAATCTGCAAGAGGATATTTGCATAGCTTTGAGGATTTCGTGGGAAACGGGATTGTCTTCAGGTAAAATCTAGACAGAAGCATTCTCAGAAACTACTTTGGGATGTTTGCATTCAAGTCACAGAGTAGAACATTCCCTTTGGTAGAGCAGGTTTGAAACCCTCTTTTTGTAGTATCTGGAAGTGGACATTTGGAGCGCTTTCAGGCCCATGTTGGAAAGGGAAATATCTTCCCGTAACAACTAGGCAGAAGCATTCTCAGAAACTTATTTGAGATGTGTGTACTCAACTAAGAGAATTGAACCACCGTTTTGAAGGAGCAGTTTTGAAACACTCTTTTTCTGGAATCTGCAAGAGTATATTTGCCTAGCCTTGAGGATTTCGTTGGAAACGGGATTGTCTTCAGAGAAAATCTAGACAGAAGCATTCTCAGAAACTTCTTTGGGATGTTTGCATTCAAGTCACAGAGTAGAACATTCCCTTTGGTAGAGCAGGTTTGAAACACTCTTTTTGTAGTATCTGGAAGTGGACATTTGGAGCGCTTTCAGGCCTACGTTGGAAAAGGAAATATCTTCCCATAACAACTAGACAGAAGCATTCTCAGAAACTAGTTTCTGATGTGTGTCCTCAACTAACACAGTTGAACATTTCTTTAGACAGAACAGTTTTGAAACACTCTTTTTGTGGAATCTGCAAGTGGCTATTTGGCTAGATTTGAGGATTTCGTTGGAAACGGGATTACATATAAAAAGCAGTCAGCAGCATTCTCAGAAAGTTCTTTGTGATGATTGCATTCAAGTCACAGAATTGAACATTCCCTTTCACAGAGCAGGTTTGAAAGACTCTTTTTGTAGTGTGTGTAAGTGGACATTTGGAGCACTTACCGGCCTAAGGTGAAAAAGGAAATATCTTCCCATAAAAACTAGACAGAAGCATTCTCAGAAACTTACTCGTGATGTGTGTCCTCAACTAAAGGAGTAGAACCTTTCTTTTCATAGAGAAGTTTTGAAACGCTCTTTTTGTGGAATCTGCAAGTGGATATTTGGCTAGTTTGGAGGATTTCGTTGGAAGCGGGAATTCATACAAATTGCAGACTGCAGCGTTCTGAGAAACATCTTTGTGATGTTTGTATTCAGGACACAGAGTTGAACATTCCCTATCATAGAACAGGTTTGAATCACTCCTTTTGTAGTATCTGGAAGTGGACATTTGGAGCGCTTTCAGGCCTATGTTGGAAAAGGAAATATCTTCCCATAACAACTAGACAGAAGCATTCCCAGAAACTTATTGGAGATGTGTGTACTCAACTATGAGAATTGAACCACCGTTTTGAAGGAGCAGTTTGGAAACACTCTTTTTCTGGAATCTGCAAGTGGATATTTGGCTAGCTTTGGGGATTTCGCTGTAAGCGGGAATACATATAAAAAGCACACAGCAGCGTTCTGAGAAACTGCTTTCTGATGTTTGCATTCAAGTCAAAAGTTGAACACTCCCTTTCATAGAGCAGTCTTGAAACACCCCTTTTGTAGTATCTGGAACTGGACATTTGGAGCGCCTTCAGGGCTAAGGTGAAAAAGGAAATATCTTCCCATAAAAACTGGACAGAAGCATTCTCAGAAACTTGTTTATGCTGTATCTACTCAACTAACAAAGTTGAACCTTTCTTTTGATAGAGCAGTTTTGAAATGCTCTTTTTGTGGAATCTGCAAGTGGATATTTGGCTAGTTTTGAGGATTTCGTTGGAAGCGGGAATTCATACAAATTGCAGACTGCAGCGTTCTGAGAAACATCTTTGTGATGTTTGTATTCAGGACACAGAGTTGAACATTCCCTATCATAGAGCAGGTTGGAATCACTCCTTTTGTAGTATCTGGAAGTGGACATTTGGAGCGCTTTCAGGCCTATTTTGGAAAGGGAAATATCTTCCCGTAACAACTATGCAGAAGCATTCTCAGAAACTTGTTTGTGATGTGTGCCCTCTACTGACAGAGTTGAACCTTTCTTTTCATAGAGCAGTTTTGAAACACTCTTTTTGTAGAATCTGCAAGAGGTTATTTGCATAGCTTTGAGGATTTCGTGGGAAACGGGATTGTCTTCAGGTAAAATCTAGACAGAAGCATTCTCAGAAACTTCTTTGGGATGTTTGCATTCAAGTCACAGAGTAGAACATTCCCTTTGGTAGAGCAGGTTTGAAACACTCTTTTTGTAGTATCTGGAAGTGGACATTTGGAGCGCTTTCAGGCCCATGTTGGAAAGGGAAATATCTTCCCGTAACAACTAGGCAGAAGCATTCTCAGAAACTTATTTGAGATGTGTGTACTCAACTAAGAGAATTGAACCACCGTTTTGAAGGAGCAGTTTTGAAACACTCTTTTTCTGGAATCTGCAAGAGTATATTTGCCTAGCCTTGAGGATTTCGTTGGAAACGGGATTGTCTTCAGAGAAAATCTAGACAGAAGCATTCTCAGAAACTTCTTTGGGATGTTTGCATTCAAGTCACAGAGTAGAACATTCCCTTTGGTAGAGCAGGTTTGAAACACTCTTTTTGTAGTATCTGGAAGTGGACATTTGGAGCGCTTTCAGGCCTACGTTGGAAAAGGAAATATCTTCCCATAACAACTAGACAGAAGCATTCTCAGAAACTAGTTTCTGATGTGTGTCCTCAACTAACACAGTTGAACATTTCTTTAGACAGAACAGTTTTGAAACACTCTTTTTGTGGAATCTGCAAGTGGCTATTTGGCTAGATTTGAGGATTTCGTTGGAAACGGGATTACATATAAAAAGCAGTCAGCAGCATTCTCAGAAAGTTCTTTGTGATGATTGCATTCAAGTCACAGAATTGAACATTCCCTTTCACAGAGCAGGTTTGAAACACTCTTTTTGTAGTGTGTGTAAGTGGACATTTGGAGCACTTACCGGCCTAAGGTGAAAAAGGAAATATCTTCCCATAAAAACTAGACAGAAGCATTCTCAGAAACTTACTCGTGATGTGTGTCCTCAACTAAAGGAGTAGAACCTTTCTTTTCATAGAGAAGTTTTGATACGCTCTTTTTGTGGAATCTGCAAGTGGATATTTGGCTAGTTTTGAGGATTTCGTTGGAAGCGGGAATTCATACAAATTGCAGACTGCAGCGTTCTGAGAAACATCTTTGTGATGTTTGTATTCAGGACACAGAGTTGAACATTCCCTATCATAGAGCAGGTTGGAATCACTCCTTTTGTAGTATCTGGAAGTGGACATTTGGAGCGCTTTCAGGCCTATGTTGAAAAAGGAAATATCTTCCCATAACAACTAGACACAAGCATTCTCAGAAACTTGTTTGTGATGTGTGCCCTCTACTGACAGAGTTGAACCTTTCTTTTCATAGAGCAGTTTTGAAACACTCTTTTTGTAGAATCTGCAAGAGGATATTTGCATAGCTTTGAGGATTTCGTGGGAAACGGGATTGTCTTCAGGTAAAATCTAGACAGAAGCATTCTCAGAAACTTCTTTGGGATGTTTGCATTCAAGTCACAGAGTAGAACATTCCCTTTGGTAGAGCAGGTTTGAAACACTCTTTTTGTAGTATCTGGAAGTGGACATTTGGAGCGCTTTCAGGCCTATGTTGGAAAGGGAAATATCTTCCCGTAACAACTAGGCAGAAGCATTCTCAGAAACTTATTTGAGATGTGTGTACTCAACTAAGAGAATTGAACCACCGTTTTGAAGGAGCAGTTTTGAAACACTCTTTTTCTGGAATCTGCAAGAGGATATTTGCCTAGCCTTGAGGATTTCGTTGGAAACGGGATTGTCTTCAGATCAAATCTAGACAGAAGCATTCTCAGAAACTTCTTTGGGATGTTTGCATTCAAGTCACAGAGTAGAACATTCCCTTTGGTAGAGCAGGTTTGAAACACTCTTTTTTTAGTATATGGAAGTGGACATTTGGAGCGCTTTCAGGCCTACGTTGGAAAAGGAAATATCTTCCCATAACAACTAGACAGAAGCATTCTCAGAAACTAGTTTCTGATGTGTGTCCTCAACTAACACAGTTGAACATTTCTTTAGACAGAACAGTTTTGAAACACTCTTTTTGTGGAATCTGCAAGTGGCTATTTGGCTAGATTTGAGGATTTCGTTGGAAACGGAATTACATATGAAAAGCAGACAGCAGCATTCTCAGAAAGTTCTTTGTGATGATTGCATTCAAGTCACAGTATTGAACATTCCCTTTCACAGAGCAGGTTTGAAACACTCTTTTTGTAGTGTGTGTAAGTGGACATTTGGAGCACTTACCGGCCTAAGGTGAAAAAGGAAATATCTTCCCATAAAAACTAGACAGAAGCATTCTCAGAAACTTACTCGTGATGTGTGTCCTCAACTAAAGGAGTAGAACCTTTCTTTTCATAGAGAAGTTTTGAAACGCTCTTTTTGTGGAATCTGCAAGTGGATATTTGGCTAGTTTGGAGGATTTCGTTGGAAGCGGGAATTCATACAAATTGCAGACTGCAGCGTTCTGAGAAACATCTTTGTGATGTTTGTATTCAGGACACAGAGTTGAACATTCCCTATCATAGAGCAGGTTTGAATCACTCCTTTTGTAGTATCTGGAAGTGGACATTTGGAGCGCTTTCAGGCCTATGTTGGAAAAGGAAATATCTTCCCATAACAACTAGACAGAAGCATTCTCAGAAACTTATTTGAGATGTGTGTACTCAACTAAGAGAATTGAACCACCGTTTTGAAGGAGCAGTTTTGAAACACTCTTTTTCTGGAATCTGCAAGTGGATATTTGGCTAGCTTTGGGGATTTCGCTGGAAGCGGGAATACATATAAAAAGCACACAGCAGCGTTCTGAGAAACTGCTTTCTGATGTTTGCATTCAAGTCAAAAGTTGAACACTCCCTTTCATAGAGCAGTCCTGAAACACCCCTTTTGTAGTATCTGGAACTGGACTTTTGGAGCGCTTTCAGGGCTAAGGTGAAAAAGGAAATATCTTCCCATAAAAACTGGACAGAAGCATTCTCAGAAACTTGTTTATGCTGTATCTACTCAACTAACAAAGTTGAACCTTTCTTTTGATAGAGCAGTTTTGAAATGCTCTTTTTGTGGAATCTGCAAGTGGATATTTGGCTAGTTTTGAGGATTTCGTTGGAAGCGGGAATTCATACAAATTGCAGACTGCAGCGTTCTGAGAAACATCTTTGTGATGTTTGTATTCAGGACAGAGAGTTGAACATTCCCTATCATAGAGCAGGTTGGAATCACTCCTTTTGTAGTATCTGGAAGTGGACATTTGGAGCGCTTTCAGGCCTATGTTGAAAAAGGAAATATCTTCCCATAACAACTAGACACAAGCATTCTCAGAAACTTGTTTGTGATGTGTGCCCTCTACTGACAGAGTTGAACCTTTCTTTTCATAGAGCAGTTTTGAAACACTCTTTTTGTAGAATCTGCAAGAGGATATTTGCATAGCTTTGAGGATTTCGTGGGAAACGGGATTGTCTTCAGGTAAAATCTAGACAGAAGCATTCTCAGAAACTTCTTTGGGATGTTTGCATTCAAGTCACAGAGTAGAACATTCCCTTTGGTAGAGCAGGTTTGAAACACTCTTTTTGTAGTATCTGGAAGTGGACATTTGGAGCGCTTTCAGGCCTATGTTGGAAAGGGAAATATCTTCCCGTAACAACTAGGCAGAAGCATTCTCAGAAACTTATTTGAGATGTGTGTACTCAACTAAGAGAATTGAACCACCGTTTTGAAGGAGCAGTTTTGAAACACTCTTTTTCTGGAATCTGCAAGAGTATATTTGCCTAGCCTTGAGGATTTCGTTGGAAACGGGATTGTCTTCAGAGAAAATCTAGACAGAAGCATTCTCAGAAACTTCTTTGGGATGTTTGCATTCAAGTCACAGAGTAGAACATTCCCTTTGGTAGAGCAGGTTTGAAACACTCTTTTTTTAGTATATGGAAGTGGACATTTGGATCGCTTTCAGGCCTACGTTGGAAAAGGAAATATCTTCCCATAACAACTAGACAGAAGCATTCTCAGAAACTAGTTTCTGATGTGTGTCCTCAACTAACACAGTTGAACATTTCTTTAGACAGAACAGTTTTGAAACACTCTTTTTGTGGAATCTGCAAGTGGCTATTTGGCTAGATTTGAGGATTTCGTTGGAAACGGGATTACATATAAAAAGCAGTCAGCAGCATTCTCAGAAACTTCTTTGGGATGTTTGCATTCAAGTCACAGAGTAGAACATTCCCTTTGGTAGAGCAGGTTTGAAACACTCTTTTTGTAGTGTGTGTAAGTGGACATTTGGAGAGCTTTCAGGCCTACGTTGGAAAAGGAAATATCTTCCCATAACAACTAGACAGAAGCATTCTCAGAAACTAGTTTCTGATGTGTGTCCTCAACTAACACAGTCGAACTTTTCTTTAGACAGAACAGTTTTGAAACACTCTTTTGTGGAATCTGCAAGTGGATATTTGGCTAGATTTGAGGATTTCGTTGGAAAAGGGATTACATATAAAAAGCAGACAGCAGCATTCTCAGAAACTTCTTTGTGATGATTGTATTCAGGACACAGAGTTGAACATTCCCTATCATAGAGCAGGTTGGAATCACTCCTTTTGTAGTATCTGGAGGTGGACATTTGGAGCGCTTTCAGGCCTATGTTGAAAAAGGAAATATCTTCCCATAACAACTAGGCAGAAGCATTCTCAGAAACTTATTTGAGATGTGTGTACTCAACTAAGAGAATTGAACCACCGTTTTGAAGGAGCAGTTTTGAAACTCTCTTTTTCTGGAATCTGCAAGTGGATATTTGGCTAGCTTTGGGGATTTCGCTGGAAGCGGGAATACATATAAAAAGCACACAGCAGCGTTCTGAGAAACTGCTTTCTGATGTTTGCATTCAAGTCAAAAGTTGAACACTCCCTTTCATAGAGCAGTCTTGAAACACCCCTTTTGTAGTATCTGGAACTGGACTTTTGGAGCGATTTCAGGGCTAAGGTGAAAAAGGAAATATCTTCCCATAAAAACTGGACAGAAGCATTCTCAGAAACTTGGTTATGCTGTATCTACTCAACTAACAAAGTTGAACCTTTCTTTTGATAGAGCAGTTTTGAAATGGTCTTTTTGTGGAATCTGCAAGTGGATATTTGGCTAGTTTTGAGGATTTCGTTGGAAGCGGGAATTCATACAAATTGCAGACTGCAGCGTTCTGAGAAACATCTTTGTGATGTTTGTATTCAGGACACAGAGTTGAACATTCCCTATCATAGAGCAGGTTGGAATCACTCCTTTTGTAGTATCTGGAAGTGGACATTTGGAGCGCTTTCAGGCCTATTTTGGAAAGGGAAATATCTTCCCGTAACAACTATGCAGAAGCATTCTCAGAAACTTGTTTGTGATGTGTGCCCTCTACTGACAGAGTTGAACCTTTCTTTTCATAGAGCAGTTTTGAAACACTCTTTTTGTAGAATCTGCAAGAGGATATTTGCATAGCTTTGAGGATTTCGTGGGAAACGGGATTGTCTTCAGGTAAAATCTAGACAGAAGCATTCTCAGAAACTTCTTTGGGATGTTTGCATTCAAGTCACAGAGTAGAACATTCCCTTTGGTAGAGCAGGTTTGAAACACTCTTTTTGTAGTATCTGGAAGTGGACATTTGGAGCGCTTTCAGGCCCATGTTGGAAAAGGAAATATCTTCCCGTAACAACTAGGCAGAAGCATTCTCAGAAACTTATTTGAGATGTGTGTACTCAACTAAGAGAATTGAACCACCGTTTTGAAGGAGCAGTTTTGAAACACTCTTTTTCTGGAATCTGCAAGAGTATATTTGCCTAGCCTTGAGGATTTCGTTGGAAACGGGATTGTCTTCAGAGAAAATCTAGACAGAAGCATTCTCAGAAACTTCTTTGGGATGTTTGCATTCAAGTCACAGAGTAGAACATTCCCTTTGGTAGAGCAGGTTTGAAACACTCTTTTTTTAGTATATGGAAGTGGACATTTGGAGCGCTTTCAGGCCTACGTTGGAAAAGGAAATATCTTCCCATAACAACTAGACAGAAGCATTCTCAGAAACTAGTTTCTGATGTGTGTCCTCAACTAACACAGTTGAACATTTCTTTAGACAGAACAGTTTTGAAACACTCTTTTTGTGGAATCTGCAAGTGGCTATTTGGCTAGATTTGAGGATTTCGTTGGAAACGGGATTACATATAAAAAGCAGTCAGCAGCATTCTCAGAAAGTTCTTTGTGATGATTGCATTCAAGTCACAGAATTGAACATTCCCTTTCACAGAGCAGGTTTGAAACACTCTTTTTGTAGTGTGTGTAAGTGGACATTTGGAGCACTTACCGGCCTAAGGTGAAAAAGGAAATATCTTCCCATAAAAACTAGACAGAAGCATTCTCAGAAACTTACTCGTGATGTGTGTCCTCAACTAAAGGAGTAGAACCTTTCTTTTCATAGAGAAGTTTTGAAACGCTCTTTTTGTGGAATCTGCAAGTGGATATTTGGCTAGTTTTGAGGATTTCGTTGGAAGCGGGAATTCATACAAATTGCAGACTGCAGCGTTCTGAGAAACATCTTTGTGATGTTTGTATTCAGGACACAGAGTTGAACATTCCCTATCATAGAGCAGGTTTGAATCACTCCTTTTGTAGTATCTGGAAGTGGACATTTGGAGCGCTTTCAGGCCTATGTTGGAAAAGGAAATATCTTCCCATAACAACTAGACAGAAGCATTCTCAGAAACTTATTTGAGATGTGTGTACTCAACTAAGAGAATTGAACCACCGTTTTGAAGGAGCAGTTTTGAAACACTCTTTTTCTGGAATCTGCAAGTGGATATTTGGCTAGCTTTGGGGATTTCGCTGGAAGCGGGAATACATATAAAAAGCACACAGCAGCGTTCTGAGAAACTGCTTTCTGATGTTTGCATTCAAGTCAAAAGTTGAACACTCCCTTTCATAGAGCAGTCCTGAAACACTCCTTTTGTAGTATCTGGAACTGGACTTTTGGAGCGCTTTCAGGGCTAAGGTGAAAAAGGAAATATCTTCCCATAAAAACTGGACAGAAGCATTCTCAGAAACTTGTTTATGCTGTATCTACTCAACTAACAAAGTTGAACCTTTCTTTTGATAGAGCAGTTTTGAAATGCTCTTTTTGTGGAATCTGCAAGTGGATATTTGGCTAGTTTTGAGGATTTCGTTGGAAGCGGGAATTCATACAAATTGCAGACTGCAGCGTTCTGAGAAACATCTTTGTGATGTTTGTATTCAGGACAGAGAGTTGAACATTCCCTATCATAGAGCAGGTTAGAATCACTCCTTTTGTAGTATCTGGAAGTGGACATTTGGAGCGCTTTCAGGCCTATGTTGAAAAAGGAAATATCTTCCCATGACAACTAGACACAAGCATTCTCAGAAACTTATTTGAGATGTGTGTACTCAACTAAGAGAATTGAACCACCGTTTTGAAGGAGCAGTTTTGAAACACTCTTTTTCTGGAATCTGCAAGTGGATATTTGGCTAGCTTTGGGGATTTCGCTGGAAGCGGGAATACATATAAAAAGCCCACAGCAGCGTTCTGAGAAACTGCTTTCTGATGTTTGCATTCAAGTCAAAAGTTGAACACTCCCTTTCATAGAGCAGTCCTGAAACACTCCTTTTGTAGTATCTGGAACTGGACTTTTGGAGCGCTTTCAGGGCTAAGGTGAAAAAGGAAATATCTTCCCATAAAAACTGGACAGAAGCATTCTCAGAAACTTGTTTATGCTGTATCTACTCAACTAACAAAGTTGAACCTTTCTTTTGATAGAGCAGTTTTGAAATGCTCTTTTTGTGGAATCTGCAAGTGGATATTTGGCTAGTTTTGAGGATTTCGTTGGAAGCGGGAATTCATACAAATTGCAGACTGCAGCGTTCTGAGAAACATCTTTGTGATGTTTGTATTCAGGACAGAGAGTTGAACATTCCCTATCATAGAGCAGGTTGGAATCACTCCTTTTGTAGTATCTGGAAGTGGACATTTGGAGCGCTTTCAGGCCTATGTTGAAAAAGGAAATATCTTCCCATAACAACTAGACACAAGCATTCTCAGAAACTTGTTTGTGATGTGTGCCCTCTACTGACAGAGTTGAACCTTTCTTTTCATAGAGCAGTTTTGAAACACTCTTTTTGTAGAATCTGCAAGAGGATATTTGCATAGCTTTGAGGATTTCGTGGGAAACGGGATTGTCTTCAGGTAAAATCTAGACAGAAGCATTCTCAGAAACTTCTTTGGGATGTTTGCATTCAAGTCACAGAGTAGAACATTCCCTTTGGTAGAGCAGGTTTGAAACACTCTTTTTGTAGTATCTGGAAGTGGACATTTGGAGCGCTTTCAGGCCTATGTTGGAAAGGGAAATATCTTCCCGTAACAACTAGGCAGAAGCATTCTCAGAAACTTATTTGAGATGTGTGTACTCAACTAAGAGAATTGAACCACCGTTTTGAAGGAGCAGTTTTGAAACACTCTTTTTCTGGAATCTGCAAGAGGATATTTGCCTAGCCTTGAGGATTTCGTTGGAAACGGGATTGTCTTCAGATCAAATCTAGACAGAAGCATTCTCAGAAACTTCTTTGGGATGTTTGCATTCATGTCACAGAGTAGAACATTCCCTTTGGTAGAGCAGGTTTGAAACACTCTTTTTTAAGTATATGGAAGTGGACATTTGGAGTGCTTTCAGGCCTACGTTGGAAAAGGAAATATCTTCCCATAACAACTAGACAGAAGCATTCTCAGAAACTAGTTTCTGATGTGTGTCCTCAACTAACACAGTTGAACATTTCTTTAGACAGAACAGTTTTGAAACACTCTTTTTGTGGAATCTGCAAGTGGCTATTTGGCTAGATTTGAGGATTTCGTTGGAAACGGGATTACATATAAAAAGCAGACAGCAGCATTCTCAGAAACTTCTTTGTGATGATTGCATTCAAGTCACAGAATTGAACATTCCCTTTCACAGAGCAGGTTTGAAACACTCTTTTTGTAGTGTGTGTAAGTGGACATTTGGAGCGCTTTCCGGCCTAAGGTGAAAAAGGAAATATCTTCCCATAAAAACTAGACAGAAGCATTCTCAGAAACTTACTCGTGATGTGTGTCCTCAACTAAAGGAGTAGAACCTTTCTTTTCATAGAGAAGTTTTGAAACGCTCTTTTTGTGGAATCTGCAAGTGGATATTTGGCTAGTTTTGAGGATTTCGTTGGAAGCGGGAATTCATACAAACTGCAGACTGCAGCGTTCTGAGAAACATCTTTGTGATGTTTGTATTCAGGACACAGAGTTGAACATTCCCTATCATAGAGCAGGTTTGAATCACTCCTTTTGTAGTATCTGGAAGTGGACATTTGGAGCGCTTTCAGGCCTATGTTGGAAAAGGAAATATCTTCCCATAACAACTAGACAGAAGCATTCTCAGAAACTTATTTGAGATGTGTGTACTCAACTAAGAGAATTGAACCACCGTTTTGAAGGAGCAGTTTTGAAACACTCTTTTTCTGGAATCTGCAAGTGGATATTTGGCTAGCTTTGGGGATTTCGCTGGAAGCGGGAATACATATAAAAAGCACACAGCAGCGTTCTGAGAAACTGCTTTCTGATGTTTGCATTCAAGTCAAAATTTGAACACTCCCTTTCATAGAGCAGTCCTGAAACACTCCTTTTGTAGTATCTGGAACTGGACATTTGGAGCGCTTTCAGGGCTAAGGTGAAAAAGGAAATATCTTCCCATAAAAACTGGACAGAAGCATTCTCAGAAACTTGTTTATGCTGTATCTACTCAACTAACAAAGTTGAACCTTTCTTTTGATAGAGCAGTTTTGAAATGCTCTTTTTGTGGAATCTGCAAGTGGATATTTGGCTAGTTTTGAGGATTTCGTTGGAAGCGGGAATTCATACAAATTGCAGACTGCAGCGTTCTGAGAAACATCTTTGTGATGTTTGTATTCAGGACAGAGAGTTGAACATTCCCTATCATAGAGCAGGTTGGAATCACTCCTTTTGTAGTATCTGGAAGTGGACATTTGGAGCGCTTTCAGGCCTATGTTGAAAAAGGAAATATCTTCCCATAACAACTAGACACAAGCATTCTCAGAAACTTGTTTGTGATGTGTGCCCTCTACTGACAGAGTTGAACCTTTCTTTTCATAGAGCAGTTTTGAAACACTCTTTTTGTAGAATCTGCAAGAGGATATTTGCATAGCTTTGAGGATTTCGTGGGAAACGGGATTGTCTTCAGGTAAAATCTAGACAGAAGCATTCTCAGAAACTTCTTTGGGATGTTTGCATTCAAGTCACAGAGTAGAACATTCCCTTTGGTAGAGCAGGTTTGAAACACTCTTTTTGTAGTATCTGGAAGTGGACATTTGGAGCGCTTTCAGGCCTATGTTGGAAAGGGAAATATCTTCCGGTAACAACTAGGCAGAAGCATTCTCAGAAACTTATTTGAGATGTGTGTACTCAACTAAGAGAATTCGAACCACCGTTTTGAAGGAGCAGTTTTGAAACACTCTTTTTCTGGAATCTGCAAGAGGATATTTGCCTAGCTTTGAGGATTTCGTTGGAAACGGGATTGTGTTCAGATCAAATCTAGACAGAAGCATTCTCAGAAACTTCTTTGGGATGTTTGCATTCAAGTCACAGAGTAGAACATTCCCTTTGGTAGAGCAGGTTTGAAACACTCTTTTTTTAGTATATGGAAGTGGACATTTGGAGCGCTTTCAGGCCTACGTTGGAAAAGGAAATATCTTCCCATAACAAGTAGACAGAAGCATTCTCAGAAACTAGTTTCTGATGTGTGTCCTCAACTAACACAGTTGAACTTTTCTTTAGACAGAACAGTTTTGAAACACTCTTTTGTGGAATCTGCAAGTGGATATTTGGCTAGATTTGAGGATTTCGTTGGAAACGGGATTACATATAAAAAGCAGACAGCAGCATTCTCAGAAAGTTCTTTGTGATGATTGCATTCAAGTCACAGAATTGAACATTCCCTTTCACAGAGCAGGTTTGAAACACTCTTTTTGTAGTGTGTGTAAGTGGACATTTGGAGTGCTTTCCGGCCTAAGGTGAAAAAGGACATATCCTCCCTTAAAAAGTAGACAGAAGCATTCTCAGAAACTTACTCGTGATGTGTGTCCTCAACTAAAGGAGTAGAACCTTTCTATTCATAGAGAAGTTTTGAAACGCTCTTTTTGTGGAATCTCCAAGTGGTTATTTGGTTAGTTTTGAGGATTTCGTTGGAAGCGGGAATTCATCCAAATTGCAGACTGCAGCGTTCTGAGAAACATCTTTGTGATGTTTGTATTCAGGACACAGAGATGAACATTCCCTATCATAGAGCATGTTGGAATCACTCCTTTTGTAGTATCTGGAAGTGGACATTTGGAGCGCTTTCAGGCCTATGTTGAAAAAGGAAATATCTTCCCATAACAACTAGACACAAGCATTCTCAGAAACTTGTTTGTGATGTGTGCCCTCTACTGACAGAGTTGAACCTTTCTTTTCATAGAGCAGTTTTGAAACACTCTTTTTGTAGAATCCGCAAGAGGATATTTGCATAGCTTTGAGGATTTCGTGGGAAACGGGATTGTCTTCAGGTAAAATCTAGACAGAAGCATTCTCAGAAACTTCTTTGGGATGTTTGCATTCAAGTCACAGAGTAGAACATTCCCTTTGGTAGAGCAGGTTTCAAACACTCTTTTTGTAGTATCTGGAAGTGGACATTTGGAGCGCTTTCAGGCCCATGTTGGAAAGGGAAATATCTTCCCGTAACAACTAGGCAGAAGCATTCTCAGAAACTTATTTGAGATGTGTGTACTCAACGAAGAGAATTGAACCACCGTTTTGAAGGAGCAGTTTTGAAACACTCTTTTTCTGGAATCTGCAAGAGTATATTTGCCTAGCCTTGAGGATTTCGTTGGAAACGGGATTGTCTTCAGATAAAATCTAGACAGAAGCATTCTCAGAAACTTCTTTGGGATGTTTGCATTCAAGTCACAGAGTAGAACATTCCCTTTGGTAGAGCAGGTTTGAAACACTCTTTTTTTAGTATATGGAAGTGGACATTTGGAGCGCTTTCAGGCCTACGTTGGAAAAGGAAATATCTTCCCATAACAACTAGACAGAAGCATTCTCAGAAACTAGTTTCTGATGTGTGTCCTCAACTAACACAGTTGAACTTTTCTTTAGACAGAACAGTTTTGAAACACTCTTTTTGTGGAATCTGCAAGTGGATATTTGGCTAGATTTGAGGATTTCGTTGGAAACGGGATTACATATAAAAAGCAGACAGCAGCATTCTCAGAAAGTTCTTTGTGATGATTGCATTCAAGTCACAGAATTGAACATTCCCTTTCACAGAGCAGGTTTGAAACACTCTTTTTGTAGTGTGTGTAAGTGGACATTTGGAGCACTTTCCGGCCTAAGGTGAAAAAGGAAATATCTTCCCACAAAAACTAGACAGAAGCATTCTCAGAAACTTACTCGTGATGTGTGTCCTCAACTAAAGGAGTAGAACCTTTCTTTTCATAGAGAAGTTTTGAAACGCTCTTTTTGTGGAATCTGCAAGTGGATATTTGGCTAGTTTTGAGGATTTCGTTGGAAGCGGGAATTCATACAAATTGCAGACTGCAGCGTTCTGAGAAACATCTTTGTGATGTTTGTATTCAGGACACAGAGTTGAACATTCCCTATCATAGAGCAGGTTTGAATCACTCCTTTTGTAGTATCTGGAAGTGGACATTTGGAGCGCTTTCAGGCCTATGTTGGAAAAGGAAATATCTTCCCATAACAACTAGACAGAAGCATTCTCAGAAACTTATTTGAGATGTGTGTACTCAACTAAGAGAATTGAACCACCGTTTTGAAGGAGCAGTTTTGAAACACTCTTTTTCTGGAATCTGCAAGTGGTATTTGGCTAGCTTTGGGGATTTCGCTGGAAGCGGGAATACATATAAAAAGCACACAGCAGCGTTCTGAGAAAACTGCTTTCTGATGTTTGCATTCAAGTCAAAAGTTGAACACTCCCTTTCATAGAGCAGTCTTGAAACACCCCTTTTGTAGTATCTGGAACTGGAAATTTGGAGCGCCTTCAGGGCTAAGGTGAAAAAGGAAATATCTTCCCATAAAAACTGGACAGAAGCATTCTCAGAAACTTGTTTATGCTGTATCTACTCAACTAACAAAGTTGAACCTTTCTTTTGATAGAGCAGTTTTGAAATGCTCTTTTTGTGGAATCTGCAAGTGGATATTTGGCTAGTTTTGAGGATTTCGTTGGAAGCGGGAATTCATACAAATTGCAGACTGCAGCGTTCTGAGAAACATCTTTGTGATGTTTGTATTCAGGACAGAGAGTTGAACATTCCCTATCATAGAGCAGGTTGGAATCACTCCTTTTGTAGTATCTGGAAGTGGACATTTGGAGCGCTTTCTGGCCTATGTTGAAAAAGGAAATATCTTCCCATAACAACTAGACACAAGCATTCTCAGAAACTTGTTTGTGATGTGTGCCCTCTACTGACAGAGTTGAACCTTTCTTTTCATAGAGCAGTTTTGAAACACTCTTTTTGTAGAATCTGCAAGAGGATATTTGCATAGCTTTGAGGATTTCGTGGGAAACGGGATTGTCTTCAGGTAAAATCTAGACAGAAGCATTCTCAGAAACTTCTTTGGGATGTTTGCATTCAAGTCACAGAGTAGAACATTCCCTTTGGTAGAGCAGGTTTGAAACCCTCTTTTTGTAGTATCTGGAAGTGGACATTTGGAGCGCTTTCAGGCCCATGTTGGAAAGGGAAATATCTTCCCGTAACAACGAGGCAGAAGCATTCTCAGAAACTTATTTGAGATGTGTGTACTCAACTAAGAGAATTGAACCACCGTTTTGAAGGAGCAGATTTGAAACACTCTTTTTCTGGAATCTGCAAGAGTATATTTGCCTAGCCTTGAAGATTTCGTTGGAAACGGGATTGTCTTCAGATAAAATCTAGACAGAAGCATTCTCAGAAACTTCTTTGGGATGTTTGCATTCAAGTCACAGAGTAGAACATTCCCTTTGGTAGAGCAGGTTTGAAACACTCTTTTTTTCGTATATGGAAGTGGACATTTGGAGCGCTTTCAGGCCTACGTTGGAAAAGGAAATATCTTCCCATAACAACTAGACAGAAAGCATTCTCAGAAACTAGTTTCTGATGTGTGTCCTCAACTAACACAGTTGAACATTTCTTTAGACAGAACAGTTTTGAAACACTCTCTTTGTGGAATCTGCAAGTGGATATTTGGCTAGATTTGAGGATTTCGTTGGAAACGGGATTACATATAAAAAGCAGACAGCAGCATTCTCAGAAAGTTCTTTGTGATGATTGCATTCAAGTCACAGAATTGAACATTCCCTTTCACAGAGCAGGTTTGAAACACTCTTTTTGTAGTGTGTGTAAGTGGACATTTGGAGCGCTTTCCGGCCTAAGGTGAAAAAGGAAATATCTTCCCATAAAAACTAGACAGAAGCATTCTCAGAAACTTACTCGTGATGTGTGTCCTCAACTAAAGGAGTAGAACCTTTCTATTCATAGAGAAGTTTTGAAACGCTCTTTTTGTGGAATCTCCAAGTGGATATTTGGCTAGTGTTGAGGATTTCGTTGGAAGCGGGAATTCATACAAATTGCAGACTGCAGCGTTCTGAGAAACATCTTTGTGATGTTTGTATTCAGGACACAGAGATGAACATTCCCTATCATAGAGCAGGTTGGAATCACTCCTTTTGTAGTATCTGGAAGTGGACATTTGGAGCGCTTTCAGGCCTATGTTGAAAAAGGAAATATCTTCCCATAACAACTAGACACAAGCATTCTCAGAAACTTGTTTGTGATGTGTGCCCTCTACTGACAGAGTTGAACCTTTCTTTTCATAGAGCAGTTTTGAAACACTCTTTTTGTAGAATCCGTAAGAGGATATTTGCATAGCTTTGAGGATTTCGTGGGAAACGGGATTGTCTTCAGGTAAAATCTAGACAGAAGCATTCTCAGAAACTTCTTTGGGATGTTTGCATTCAAATCACAGAGTAGAACATTCCCTTTGGTAGAGCAGGTTTGAAACACTCTTTTTGTAGTATCTGGAAGTGGACATTTGGAGCGCTTTCAGGCCCATTTTGGAAAGGGAAATATCTTCCCGTAACAACTAGGCAGAAGCATTCTCGGAAACTTATTTGAGATGTGTGTACTCAACTAAGAGAATTGAACCACCCTTTTGAAGGAGCAGTTTTGAAACACTCTTTTTCTGGAATCTGCAAGAGTATATTTGCCTAGCTTTGAGGATTTCCGTTGGAAACGGGATTGTCTTCAGATCAAATCTAGACAGAAGCATTCTCAGAAACTTCTTTGGGATGTTTGCATTCATGTCACAGAGTAGAACATTCCCTTTGGTAGAGCAGGTTTGAAACACTCTTTTTTTAGTATATGGAAGTGGACATTTGGAGCGCTTTCAGGCCTACGTTGGAAAAGGAAATATCTTCCCATAACAACTAGACAGAAGCATTCTCAGAAACTAGTTTCTGATGTGTGTCCTCAACTAACACAGTTGAACATTTCTTTAGACAGAACAGTTTTGAAACACTCTTTTTGTGGAATCTGCAAGTGGCTATTTGGCTAGATTTGAGGATTTCGTTGGAAACGGGATTACATATAAAAAGCAGACAGCAGCATTCTCAGAAAGTTCTTTGTGATGATTGCATTCAAGTCACAGAATTGAACATTCCCTTTCACAGAGCAGGTTTGAAACACTCTTTTTGTAGTGTGTGTAAGTGGACATTTGGAGCACTTTCCGGCCTAAGGTGAAAAAGGAAATATCTTCCCATAAAAACTAGACAGAAGCACTCTCAGAAACTTACTCGTGATGTGTGTCCTCAACTAAAGGAGTAGAACCTTTCTTTTCATAGAGAAGTTTTGAAACGCTCTTTTTGTGGAATCTGCAAGTGGATATTTGGCTAGTTTGGAGGATTTCGTTGGAAGCGGGAATTCATACAAATTGCAGACTGCAGCGTTCTGAGAAACATCTTTGTGATGTTTGTATTCAGGACACAGAGTTGAACATTCCCTATCATAGAGCAGGTTTGAATCACTCCTTTTGTAGTATCTGGAAGTGGACATTTGGAGCGCTTTCAGGCCTATGTTGGAAAAGGAAATATCTTCCCATAACAACTAGACAGAAGCATTCTCAGAAACTTATTTGAGATGTGTGTACTCAACTAAGAGAATTGAACCACCGTTTTGAAGGAGCAGTTTTGAAACACTCTTTTTCTGGAATCTGCAAGTGGATATTTGGCTAGCTTTGGGGATTTCGCTGGAAGCGGGAATACATATAAAAAGCACACAGCAGCGTTCTGAGAAACTGCTTTCTGATGTTTGCATTCAAGTCAAAAGTTGAACACTCCCTTTCATAGAGCAGTCCTGAAACACTCCTTTTGTAGTATCTGGAACTGGACTTTTGGAGCGCTTTCAGGGCTAAGGTGAAAAAGGAAATATCTTCCCATAAAAACTGGACAGAATCATTCTCAGAAACTTGTTTATGCTGTATCTACTCAACTAACATAGTTGAACCTTTCTTTTGATAGAGCAGTTTTGAAATGCTCTTTTTGTGGAATCTGCAAGTGGATATTTGGCTAGTTTTGAGGATTTCGTTGGAAGCGGGAATTCATACAAATTGCAGACTGCAGCGTTCTGAGAAACATCTTTGTGATGTTTGTATTCAGGACAGAGAGTTGAACACTCCCTATCATAGAGCAGGTTGGAATCACTCCTTTTGTAGTATCTGGAAGTGGACATTTGGAGCGCTTTCAGGCCTATGTTGAAAAAGGAAATATCTTCCCATAACAACTAGACACAAGCATTCTCAGAAACTTGTTTGTGATGTGTGCCCTCTACTGACAGAGTTGAACCTTTCTTTTCATAGAGCAGTTTTGAAACACTCTTTTTGTAGAATCTGCAAGAGGATATTTGCATAGCTTTGAGGATTTCGTGGGAAACGGGATTGTCTTCAGGTAAAATCTAGACAGAAGCATTCTCAGAAACTTCTTTGGGACGTTTGCATTCAAGTCACAGAGCAGAACATTCCCTTTGGTAGAGCAGGTTTGAAACACTCTTTTTGTAGTATCTGGAAGTGGACATTTGGAGCGCTTTCAGGCCTATGTTGGAAAGGGAAATATCTTCCCGTAACAACTAGGCAGAAGCATTCTCAGAAACTTATTTGAGATGTGTGTACTCAACTAAGAGAATTGAACCACCGTTTTGAAGGAGCAGTTTTGAAACACTCTTTTTCTGGAATCTGCAAGAGGATATTTGCCTAGCCTTGAGGATTTCGTTGGAAACGGGATTGTCTTCAGATCAAATCTAGACAGAAGCATTCTCAGAAACTTCTTTGGGATGTTTGCATTCAAGTCACAGAGTAGAACATTCCCTTTGGTAGAGCAGGTTTGAAACACTCTTTTTTTAGTATATGGAAGTGGACATTTGGAGCGCTTTCAGGCCTACGTTGGAAAAGGAAATATCTTCCCATAACAACTAGACAGAAGCATTCTCAGAAACTAGTTTCTGATGTGTGTCCTCAACTAACACAGTTGAACTTTTCTTTAGACAGAACAGTTTTGAAACACTCTTTTTGTGGAATCTGCAAGTGGATATTGGGCTAGATTTGAGGATTTCGTTGGAAACGGGATTACATATAAAAAGCAGACAGCAGCATTCTCAGAAAGTTCTTTGTGATGATTGCATTCAAGTCACAGAATTGAACATTCCCTTTCACAGAGCAGGTTTGAAACACTCTTTTTGTAGTGTGTGTAAGTGAACATTTGGAGCGCTTTCCGGCCTAAGGTGAAAAAGGAAATATCTTCCCATAAAAACTAGACAGAAGCATTCTCAGAAACTTACTCGTGATGTGTTTCCTCAACTAAAGGAGTAGAACCTTTCTATTCATAGAGAAGTTTTGAAACGCTCTTTTTGTGGAATCTCCAAGTGGATATTTGGCTAGTTTTGAGGATTTCGTTGGAAGCGGGAATTCATCCAAATTGCAGACTGCAGCGTTCTGAGAAACATCTTTGTGATGTTTGTATTCAGGACACAGAGATGAACATTCCCTATCATAGAGCATGTTGGAATCACTCCTTTTGTAGTATCTGGAAGTGGACATTTGGAGCGCTTTCAGGCCTATGTTGAAAAAGGAAATATCTTCCCATAACAACTAGACACAAGCATTCTCAGAAAGTTGTTTGTGATGTGTGCCCTCTACTGACAGAGTTGAACCTTTCTTTTCATAGAGCAGTTTTGAAACACTCTTTTTGTAGAATCCGCAAGAGGATATTTGCATAGCTTTGAGGATTTCGTGGGAAACGGGATTGTCTTCAGGTAAAATCTAGACAGAAGCATTCTCAGAAACTTCTTTGGGATGTTTGCATTCAAGTCACAGAGTAGAACATTCCCTTTGGTAGAGCAGGTTTGAAACACTCTTTTTGTAGTATCTGGAAGTGGACATTTGGAGCGCTTTCAGGCCCATGTTGGAAAGGGAAATATCTTCCCGTAACAACTAGGCAGAAGCATTCTCAGAAACTTATTTGAGATGTGTGTACTCAACTAAGAGAATTGAACCACCGTTTTGAAGGAGCAGTTTTGAAACCCTCTTTTTCTGGAATCTGCAAGAGTATATTTGCCTAGCCTTGAGGATTTCGTTGGAAACGGGATTGTCTTCAGATAAAATCTAGACAGAAGCATTCTCAGAAACTTCTTTGGGATGTTTGCATTCAAGTCACAGAGTAGAACACTCCCTTTGGTAGAGCAGGTTTGAAACACTCTTTTTTTAGTATATGGAAGTGGACATTTGGAGCGCTTTCAGGCCTACGTTGGAAAAGGAAATATCTTCCCATAACAACTAGACAGAAGCATTCTCAGAAACTAGTTTCTGATGTGTGTCCTCAACTAACACAGTTGTACATTTCTTTAGACAGAACAGTTTTGAAACACTCTTTTTGTGGAATCTGCAAGTGGATATTGGGCTAGATTTGAGGATTTCGTTGGAAACGGGATTACATATAAAAAGCAGACAGCAGCATTCTCAGAAAGTTCTTTGTGATGATTGCATTCAAGTCACAGAATTGAACATTCCCTTTCACAGAGCAGGTTTGAAACACTCTTTTTGTAGTGTGTGTAAGTGGACATTTGGAGCGCTTTCCGGCCTAAGGTGAAAAAGGACATATCTTCCCATAAAAACTAGACAGAAGCATTCTCAGAAACTTACTCGTGATGTGTGTCCTCAACTAAAGGAGTAGAACCTTTCTATTCATAGAGAAGTTTTGAAACGCTCTTTTTGTGGAATCTCCAAGTGGATATTTGGCTAGTGTTGAGGATTTCGTTGGAAGCGGGAATTCATACAAATTGCAGACTGCAGCGTTCTGAGAAACATCTTTGTGATGTTTGTATTCAGGACACAGAGATGAACATTCCCTATCATAGAGCAGGTTGGAATCACTCCTTTTGTAGTATCTGGAAGTGGACATTTGGAGCGCTTTCAGGCCTATGTTGAAAAAGGAAATATCTTCCCATAACAACTAGACACAAACATTCTCAGAAACTTGTTTGTGATGTGTGCCCTCTACTGACAGAGTTGAACCTTTCTTTTCATAGAGCAGTTTTGAAACACTCTTTTTGTAGAATCCGCAAGAGGATATTTGCATAGCTTTGAGGATTTCGTGGGAAACGGGATTGTCTTCAGGTAAAATCTAGACAGAAGCATTCTCAGAAACTTCTTTGGGATGTTTGCATTCAAGTCACAGAGTAGAACATTCCCTTTGGTAGAGTAGGTTTGAAACACTCTTTTTGTAGTATCTGGAAGTGGACATTTGGAGCGCTTTCAGGCCCATGTTGGAAAGGGAAATATCTTCCCGTAACAACTAGGCAGAAGCATTCTCAGAAACTTATTTGAGATGTGTGTACTCAACTAAGAGAATTGAACCACCGTTTTGAAGGAGCAGTTTTGAAACCCTCTTTTTCTGGAATCTGCAAGAGTATATTTGCCTAGCCTTGAGGATTTCGTTGGAAACGGGATTGTCTTCAGATAAAATCTAGACAGAAGCATTCTCAGAAACTTCTTTGGGATGTTTGCATTCAAGTCACAGAGTAGAACATTCCCTTTGGTAGAGCAGGTTTGAAACACTCTTTTTTTAGTATATGGAAGTGGACATTTGGAGCGCTTTCAGGCCTACGTTGGAAAAGGAAATATCTTCCCATAACAACTAGACAGAAGCATTCTCAGAAACTAGTTTGTGATGTGTGTCCTCAACTAACACAGTTGTACATTTCTTTAGACAGAACAGTTTTGAAACACTCTTTTTGTGGAATCTGCAAGTGGATATTGGGCTAGATTTGAGTATTTCGTTGGAAACGGGATTACATATAAAAAGCAGTCAGCAGCATTCTCAGAAAGTTCTTTGTGATGATTGCATTCAAGTCACAGAATTGAACATTCCCTTTCACAGAGCAGGTTTGAAACACTCTTTCTGTAGTGTGTGTAAGTGGACATTTGGAGCGCTTTTCGGCCTAAGGTGAAAAAGGACATATCTTCCCATAAAAACTAGACAGATAAGCATTCTCAGAAACTTACTCGTGATGTGTGTCCTCAACTAAAGGAGTAGAACCTTTCTTTTCATAGAGAAGTTTTGAAACGCTCTTTTTGTGGAATCTGCAAGTGGATATTTGGCTAGTTTTGAGGATTTCGTTGGAAGCGGGAATTCATACAAATTGCAGACTGCAGCGTTCTGAGAAACATCTTTGTGATGTTTGTATTCAGGACACAGAGTTGAACATTCCCTATCATAGAGCAGGTTTGAATCACTCCTTTTGTAGTATCTGGAAGTGGACATTTGGAGCGCTTTCAGGCCTATGTTGGAAAAGGAAATATCTTCCCATAACAACTAGACAGAAGCATTCTCAGAAACTTATTTGAGATGTGTGTACTCAACTAAGAGAATTGAACCACCGTTTTGAAGGAGCAGTTTTGAAACTCTCTTTTTCTGGAATCTGCAAGTGGATATTTGGCTAGCTTTGGGGATTTCGCTGGAAGCGGGAATACATATAAAAAGCACACAGCAGCGTTCTGAGAAACTGCTTTCTGATGTTTGCATTCAAGTCAAAAGTTGAACACTCCCTTTCATAGAGCAGTCTTGAAACACCCCTTTTGTAGTATCTGGAACTGGACTTTTGGAGCGATTTCAGGGCTAAGGTGAAAAAGGAAATATCTTCCCATAAAAACTGGACAGAAGCATTCTCAGAAACTTGTTTATGCTGTATCTACTCAACTAACAAAGTTGAACCTTTCTTTTGATAGAGCAGTTTTGAAATGGTCTTTTTGTGGAATCTGCAAGTGGATATTTGGCTAGTTTTGAGGATTTCGTTGGAAGCGGGAATTCATACAAATTGCAGACTGCAGCGTTCTGAGAAACATCTTTGTGATGTTTGTATTCAGGACACAGAGTTGAACATTCCCTATCATAGAGCAGGTTGGAATCACTCCTTTTGTAGTATCTGGAAGTGGACATTTGGAGCGCTTTCAGGCCTATTTTGGAAAGGGAAATATCTTCCCGTAACAACTATGCAGAAGCATTCTCAGAAACTTGTTTGTGATGTGTGCCCTCTACTGACAGAGTTGAACCTTTCTTTTCATAGAGCAGTTTTGAAACACTCTTTTTGTAGAATCTGCAAGAGGATATTTGCATAGCTTTGAGGATTTCGTGGGAAACGGGATTGTCTTCAGGTAAAATCTAGACAGAAGCATTCTCAGAAACTTCTTTGGGATGTTTGCATTCAAGTCACAGAGTAGAACATTCCCTTTGGTAGAGCAGGTTTGAAACACTCTTTTTGTAGTATCTGGAAGTGGACATTTGGAGCGCTTCAGGCCCATGTTGGAAAGGGAAATATCTTCCCGTAACAACTAGGCAGAGCATTCTCAGCAAACTTATTTGAGATGTGTGTACTCAACTAAGAGAATTGAACCACCGTTTTGAAGGAGCAGTTTTGAAACACTCTTTTTCTGGAATCTGCAAGAGTATATTTGCCTAGCCTTGAGGATTTCGTTGGAAACGGGATTGTCTTCAGAGAAAATCTAGACAGAAGCATTCTCAGAAACTTCTTTGGGATGTTTGCATTCAAGTCACAGAGTAGAACATTCCCTTTGGTAGAGCAGGTTTGAAACACTCTTTTTTTAGTATATGGAAGTGGACATTTGGAGCGCTTTCAGGCCTACGTTGGAAAAGGAAATATCTTCCCATAACAACTAGACAGAAGCATTCTCAGAAACTAGTTTCTGATGTGTGTCCTCAACTAACACAGTTGAACATTTCTTTAGACAGAACAGTTTTGAAACTCTCTTTTTGTGGAATCTGCAAGTGGCTATTTGGCTTGATTTGAGGATTTCGTTGGAAACGGGATTACATATAAAAAGCAGACAGCAGCATTCTCAGAAAGTTCTTTGTGATGATTGCATTCAAGTCACAGAATTGAACATTCCCTTTCACAGAGCAGGTTTGAAACACTCTTTTTATAGTGTGTGTAAGTGGACATTTGGAGCACTTTCCGGCCTAAGGTGAAAAAGGAAATATCTTCCCATAAAAACTAGACAGAAGCATTCTCAGAAACTTACTCGTGATGTGTGTCCTCAACTAAAGGAGTAGAACCTTTCTTTTCATAGAGAAGTTTTGAAACGCTCTTTTTGTGGAATCTGCAAGTGGATATTTGGCTAGTTTGGAGGATTTCGTTGGAAGCGGGAATTCATACAAATTGCAGACTGCAGCGTTCTGAGAAACATCTTTGTGATGTTTGTATTCAGGACACAGAGATGAACATTACCTATCATAGAGCATGTTGGAATCACTCCTTTTGTAGTATCTGGAAGTGGACATTTGGAGCGCTTTCAGGCCTATGTTGAAAAAGGAAATATCTTCCCATAACAACTAGACACAAGCATTCTCAGAAACTTATTTGAGATGTGTGTACTCAACTAAGAGAATTGAACCACCGTTTTGAAGGAGCAGTTTTGAAACACTCTTTTTCTGGAATCTGCAAGTGGATATTTGGCTAGCTTTGGGGATTTCGCTGGAAGCGGGAATACATATAAAAAGCACACAGCAGCGTTCTGAGAAACTGCTTTCTGATGTTTGCATTCAAGTCAAAAGTTGAACACTCCCTTTCATAGAGCAGTCTTGAAACACCCCTTTTGTAGTATCTGGAACTGGACTTTTGGAGCGATTTCAGGGCTAAGGTGAAAAAGGAAATATCTTCCCATAAAAACTGGACAGAAGCATTCTCAGAAACTTGTTTATGCTGTATCTACTCAACTAACAAAGTTGAACCTTTCTTTTGATAGAGCAGTTTTGAAATGGTCTTTTTGTGGAATCTGCAAGTGGATATTTGGCTAGTTTTGAGGATTTCGTTGGAAGCGGGAATTCATACAAATTGCAGACTGCAGCGTTCTGAGAAACATCTTTGTGATGTTTGTATTCAGGACACAGAGTTGAACATTCCCTATCATAGAGCAGGTTGGAATCACTCCTTTTGTAGTATCTGGAAGTGGACATTTGGAGCGCTTTCAGGCCTATTTTGGAAAGGGAAATATCTTCCCGTAACAACTATGCAGAAGCATTCTCAGAAACTTGTTTGTGATGTGTGCCCTCTACTGACAGAGTTGAACCTTTCTTTTCATAGAGCAGTTTTGAAACACTCTTTTTGTAGAATCTGCAAGAGGATATTTGCATAGCTTTGAGGATTTCGTGGGAAACGGGATTGTCTTCAGGTAAAATCTAGACAGAAACATTCTCAGAAACTTCTTTGGGATGTTTGCATTCAAGTCACAGAGTAGAACATTCCCTTTGGTAGAGCAGGTTTGAAACACTCTTTTTGTAGTATCTGGAAGTGGACATTTGGAGCGCTTTCAGGCCCATGTTGGAAAGGGAAATATCTTCCCGTAACAACTAGGCAGAAGCATTCTCAGAAACTTATTTGAGATGTGTGTACTCAACTAAGAGAATTGAACCACCGTTTTGAAGGAGCAGTTTTGAAACACTCTTTTTCTGGAATCTGCAAGAGTATATTTGCCTAGCCTTGAGGATTTCGTTGGAAACGGGATTGTCTTCAGAGAAAATCTAGACAGAAGCATTCTCAGAAACTTCTTTGGGATGTTTGCATTCAAGTCACAGAGTAGAACATTCCCTTTGGTAGAGCAGGTTTGAAACACTCTTTTTGTAGTATCTGGAAGTGGACATTTGGAGCGCTTTCAGGCCTACGTTGGAAAAGGAAATATCTTCCCATAACAACTAGACAGAAGCATTCTCAGAAACTAGTTTCTGATGTGTGTCCTCAACTAACACAGTTGAACATTTCTTTAGACAGAACAGTTTTGAAACACTCTTTTTGTGGAATCTGCAAGTGGCTATTTGGCTAGATTTGAGGATTTCGTTGGAAACGGGATTACATATAAAAAGCAGTCAGCAGCATTCTCAGAAAGTTCTTTGTGATGATTGCATTCAAGTCACAGAATTGAACATTCCCTTTCACAGAGCAGGTTTGAAACACTCTTTTTGTAGTGTGTGTAAGTGGACATTTGGAGCACTTACCGGCCTAAGGTGAAAAAGGAAATATCTTCCCATAAAAACTAGACAGAAGCATTCTCAGAAACTTACTCGTGATGTGTGTCCTCAACTAAAGGAGTAGAACCTTTCTTTTCATAGAGAAGTTTTGAAACGCTCTTTTTGTGGAATCTGCAAGTGGATATTTGGCTAGTTTTGAGGATTTCGTTGGAAGCGGGAATTCGTACAAATTGCAGACTGCAGCGTTCTGAGAAACATCTTTGTGATGTTTGTATTCAGGACACAGAGTTGAACATTCCCTATCATAGAGCAGGTTTGAATCACTCCTTTTGTAGTATCTGGAAGTGGACATTTGGAGCGCTTTCAGGCCTATGTTGGAAAAGGAAATATCTTCCCATAACAACTAGACAGAAGCATTCTCAGAAACTTATTTGAGATGTGTGTACTCAACTAAGAGAATTGAACCACCGTTTTGAAGGAGCAGTTTTGAAACTCTCTTTTTCTGGAATCTGCAAGTGGATATTTGGCTAGCTTTGGGGATTTCGCTGGAAGCGGGAATACATATAAAAAGCACACAGCAGCGTTCTGAGAAACTGCTTTCTGATGTTTGCATTCAAGTCAAAAGTTGAACACTCCCTTTCATAGAGCAGTCCTGAAACACCCCTTTTGTAGTATCTGGAACTGGACTTTTGGAGCGATTTCAGGGCTAAGGTGAAAAAGGAAATATCTTCCCATAAAAACTGGACAGAAGCATTCTCAGAAACTTGTTTATGCTGTATCTACTCAACTAACAAAGTTGAACCTTTCTTTTGATAGAGCAGTTTTGAAATGGTCTTTTTGTGGAATCTGCAAGTGGATATTTGGCTAGTTTTGAGGATTTCGTTGGAAGCGGGAATTCATACAAATTGCAGACTGCAGCGTTCTGAGAAACATCTTTGTGATGTTTGTATTCAGGACACAGAGTTGAACATTCCCTATCATAGAGCAGGTTGGAATCACTCCTTTTGTAGTATCTGGAAGTGGACATTTGGAGCGCTTTCAGGCCTATGTTGGAAAAGGAAATATCTTCCCATAACAACTAGACAGAAGCGTTCTCAGAAACTTGTTTGTGATGTGTGCCCTCTACTGACAGAGTTGAACCTTTCTTTTCATAGAGCAGTTTTGAAACACTCTTTTTGTAGAATCTGCAAGAGGATATTTGCATAGCTTCGAGGATTTCGTGGGAAACGGGATTGTCTTCAGGTAAAATCTAGACAGAAGCATTCTCAGAAACTTCTTTGAGATGTTTGCATTCAAGTCACAGAGTAGAACATTCCCTTTGGTAGAGCAGGTTTCAAACACTCTTTTTGTAGTATCTGGAAGTGGACATTTGGAGCGCTTTCAGGCCTATGTTGGAAAGGGAAATATCTTCCCGTAACAACAAGGCAGAAGCATTCTCAGAAACTTATTTGAGATGTGTGTACTCACCTAAGAGAATTGAACCACCGTTTTGAAGGAGCAGTTTTGAAACACTCTTTTTCTGGAATCTGCAAGAGGATATTTGCCTAGCCTTGAGGATTTCGTTGGAAACGGGATTGTCTTCAGATCAAATCTAGACAGAAGCATTCTCAGAAACTTCTTTGGGATGTTTGCATTCAAGTCACAGAGTAGAACATTCCCTTTGGTAGAGCAGGTTTGAAACACTCTTTTTTTCGTATATGGAAGTGGACATTTGGAGCGCTTTCAGGCCTACGTTGGAAAAGGAAATATCTTCCCATAACAACTAGACAGAAGCATTCTCAGAAACTTATTTGAGATGTGTGTACTCAACTAAGAGAAATGAACCACCGTTTTGAAGGAGCAGTTTTGAAACACTCTTTTTCTGGAATCTGCAAGAGTATATTTGCCTAGCCTTGACGATTTCGTTGGAAACGGGGTTGTCTGCAGATAAAATCTAGACAGAAGCATTCTCAGAAACCTCTTTGGGATGTTTGCATTCAAGTCACAGAGTAGAACATTCCCTTTGGTAGAGCAGGTTTGAAACACTCTTTTTTTAGTATATGGAAGTGGACATTTTGATCGCTTTCAGGCCTACGTTGGAAAAGGAAATATCTTCCCATAAAAACTAGACAGAAGCATTCTCAGAAACTAGTTTCTGATGTGTGTCCTCAACTAACACAGTTGAACATTTCTTTAGACAGAACAGTTTTGAAACACTCTTTTTGTGGAATCTGCAAGTGGCTATTTGGCTAGATTTGAGGATTTCGTTGGAAACGGGATTACATATAAAAAGCAGACAGCAGCATTCTCAGAAAGTTCTTTGTGATGATTGCATTCAAGTCACAGAATTGAACATTCCCTTTCACAGAGCAAGTTTGAAACACTCTTTTTGTAGTGTGTGTAAGTGGACATTTGGAGCACTTTCCGGCCTAAGGTGAAAAAGGAAATATCTTCCCATAAAAACTAGACAGAAGCATTCTCAGAAACTTACTCGTGATGTGTGTCCTCAACTAAAGGAGTAGAACCTTTCTTTTCATAGAGAAGTTTTGAAACGCTCTTTTTGTGGAATCTGCAAGTGGATATTTGGCTAGTTTTGAGGATTTCGTTGGAAGCGGGAATTCATACAAATTGCAGACTGCAGCGTTCTGAGAAACATCTTTGTGATGTTTGTATTCAGGACACAGAGTTGAACATTCCCTATCATAGAGCAGGTTTGAATCACTCCTTTTGTAGTATCTGGAAGTGGACATTTGGAGCGCTTTCAGGCCTATGTTGGAAAAGGAAATATCTTCCCATAACAACTAGACAGAAGCATTCTCAGAAACTTATTTGAGATGTGTGTACTCAACTAAGAGAATTGAACCACCGTTTTGCAGGAGTAGTTTTGAAACACTCTTTTTCTGGAATCTGCAAGTGGATATTTGGCTAGCTTTGGGGATTCCGCTGGAAGTGGGAATACATATAAAAAGCACACAGCAACGTTCTGAGAAACTGCTTTCTGATGTTTGCATTCAAGTCAAAAGTTGAACACTCCCTTTCATAGAGCAGTCCTGAAACACTCCTTTTGTAGTATCTGGAACTGGACATTTGGAGCGCTTTCAGGGCTAAGGTGAAAAAGGAAATATCTTCCCATAAAAACTGGACAGAAGCATTCTCAGAAACTTGTTTATGCTGTATCTACTCAACTAACAAAGTTGAACTTTTCTTTTGATAGAGCAGTTTTGAAATGCTCTTTTTGTGGAATCTGCAAGTGGATATTTGGCTAGTTTTGAGGATTTCGTTGGAAGCGGGAATTCATACAAATTGCAGACTGCAGCGTTCTGAGAAACATCTTTGTGATGTTTGTATTCAGGACACAGAGTTGAACATTCCCTATCATAGAGCAGGTTTGAATCACTCCTTTTGTAGTATCTGGAAGTGGACATTTGGAGCGCTTTCAGGCCTATGTTGGAAAAGGAAATATCTTCCCATAACAACTAGACAGAAAGCATTCTCAGAAACTTATTTGAGATGTGCGTACTCAACTAAGCAGAATTGAACCACCGTTTTGAAGGAGCAGTTTTGAAACACTCTTTTTCTGGAATCTGCAAGTGGATATCTGGCTAGCTTTGGGGATTTCGCTGGAAGCGGGAATACATATAAAAAGCACACAGCAGCATTCTCAGAAAGTTCTTTGTGATGATTGCATTCAAGTCACAGAATTGAATATTCCCTTTCACAGAGCAGGTTTGAAACACTCTTTTTGTAGTGTGTGTAAGTGGACATTTGGAGCACTTTCCGGCCTAAGGTGAAAAAGGACATATCTTCCCATAAAAACTAGACAGAAGCACTCTCAGAATCTTACTCGTGATGTGTGTCCTCAACTAAAGGAGTAGAACCTTTCTTTTCATAGAGAAGTTTTGAAACGCTCTTTTTGTGGAATCTGCAAGTGGATATTTGGCTAGTTTTGAGGATTTCGTTGGAAGCGGGAATTCATACAAATTGCAGACTGCAGCGTTCTGAGAAACATCTTTGTGATGTTTGTATTCAGGACACAGTAGGATGAACATTCCCTATCATAGAGCAGGTTGGAATCACTCCTTTTGTAGTATCTGGAAGTGGACATTTGGAGCGCTTTCAGGCCTATGTTGAAAAAGGAAATATCTTCCCATAACAACTAGACACAAGCATTCTCAGAAACTTGTTTGTGATGTGTGCCCTCTACTGACAGAGTTGAACCTTTCTTTTCATAGAGCAGTTTTGAAACACTCTTTTTGTAGAATCTGCAAGAGGATATTTGCATAGCTTTGAGGATTTCGTGGGAAACGGGATTGTCTTCAGGTAAAATCTAGACAGAAGCATTCTCAGAAACTTCTTTGGGATGTTTGCATTCAAGTCACAGAGTAGAACATTCCCTTTGGTAGAGCAGGTTTGAAACACTCTTTTTGTAGTATCTGGAAGTGGACATTTGGAGCGCTTCAGGCCCATGTTGGAAAGGGAAATATCTTCCCGTAACAACTAGGCAGAGCATTCTCAGCAAACTTATTTGAGATGTGTGTACTCAACTAAGAGAATTGAACCACCGTTTTGAAGGAGCAGTTTTGAAACACTCTTTTTCTGGAATCTGCAAGAGTATATTTGCCTAGCCTTGAGGATTTCGTTGGAAACGGGATTGTCTTCAGAGAAAATCTAGACAGAAGCATTCTCAGAAACTTCTTTGGGATGTTTGCATTCAAGTCACAGAGTAGAACATTCCCTTTGGTAGAGCAGGTTTGAAACACTCTTTTTTTAGTATATGGAAGTGGACATTTGGAGCGCTTTCAGGCCTACGTTGGAAAAGGAAATATCTTCCCATAACAACTAGACAGAAGCATTCTCAGAAACTAGTTTCTGATGTGTGTCCTCAACTAACACAGTTGTACATTTCTTTATACAGAACAGTTTTGAAACACTCTTTTTGTGGAATCTGCAAGTGGATATTGGGCTAGATTTGAGGATTTCGTTGGAAACGGGATTACATATAAAAAGCAGTCAGCAGCATTCTCAGAAAGTTCTTTGTGATGATTGCATTCAAGTCACAGAATTGAACATTCCCTTTCATAGAGCAGGTTTGAAACACTCTTTTTGTAGTGTGTGTAAGTGGACATTTGGAGCGCTTTCCGGCCTAAGGTGAAAAAGGACATATCTTCCCATAATAACTAGACAGAAGCATTCTCAGAAACTTACTCGTGATGTGTGTCCTCAACTAAAGGAGTAGAACCTTTCTATTCATAGAGAAGTTTTGAAACGCTCTTTTTGTGGAATCTCCAAGTGGATATTTGGCTAGTGTTGAGGATTTCGTTGGAAGCGGGAATTCATACAAATTGCAGACTGCAGCGTTCTGAGAAACATCTTTGTGATGTTTGTATTCAGGACACAGAGATGAACATTCCCTATCATAGAGCAGGTTGGAATCACTCCTTTTGTAGTATCTGGAAGTGGACATTTGGAGCGCTTTCAGGCCTATGTTGAAAAAGGAAATATCTTCCCATAACAACTAGACACAAGCATTCTCAGAAACTTGTTTGTGATGTGTGCCCTCTACTGACAGAGTTGAACCTTTCTTTTCATAGAGCAGTTTTGAAACACTCTTTTTGTAGAATCCGCAAGAGGATATTTGCATAGCTTTGAGGATTTCGTGGGAAACGGGATTGTCTTCAGGTAAAATCTAGAAAGAAGCATTCTCAGAAACTTCTTTGGGATGTTTGCATTCAAGTCACAGAGTAGAACATTCCCTTTGGTAGAGCAGGTTTGAAACACTCTTTTTGTAGTAACTGGAAGTGGACATTTGGAGCGCTTTCAGGCCCATGTTGGAAAGGGAAATATCTTCCCGTAACAACTAGGCAGAAGCATTCTCAGAAACTTATTTGAGATGTGTGTACTCAAGTAAGAGAACTGAACCACCGTTTTGAAGGAGCAGTTTTGAAACACTCTTTTTCTGGAATCTGCAAGAGTATATTTGCCTAGCCTTGAGGATTTCGTTGGAAACGGGATTGTCTTCAGATAAAATCTAGACAGAAGCATTCTCAGAAACTTCTTTGGGATGTTTGCATTCAAGTCACAGAGTAGAACATTCCCTTTGGTAGAGCAGGTTTGAAACACTCTTTTTTTAGTATATGGAAGTGGACATTTGGAGCGCTTTCAGGCCTACGTTGGAAAAGGAAATATCTTCCCATAACAACTAGACAGAAGCATTCTCAGAAACTAGTTTCTGATGTGTGTCCTCAACTAACACAGTTGTACATTTCTTTATACAGAACAGTTTTGAAACACTCTTTTTGTGGAATCTGCAAGTGGATATTGGGCTAGATTTGAGGATTTCGTTGGAAACGGGATTACATATAAAAAGCAGTCAGCAGCATTCTCAGAAAGTTCTTTGTGATGATTGCATTCAAGTCACAGAATTGAACATTCCCTTTCATAGAGCAGGTTTGAAACACTCTTTTTGTAGTGTGTGTAAGTGGACATTTGGAGCGCTTTCCGGCCTAAGGTGAAAAAGGACATATCTTCCCATAAAAACTAGACAGAAGCATTCTCAGAAACTTACTCGTGATGTGTGTCCTCAACTAAAGGAGTAGAACCTTTCTATTCATAGAGAAGTTTTGAAACGCTCTTTTTGTGGAATCTCCAAGTGGATATTTGGCTAGTTTTGAGGATTTCGTTGGAAGCGGGAATTCATACAAATTGCAGACTGCAGCGTTCTGAGAAACATCTTTGTGATGTTTGTATTCAGGACACAGAGATGAACATTCCCTATCATAGAGCAGGTTGGAATCACTCCTTTTGTAGTATCTGGAAGTGGACATTTGGAGCGCTTTCAGGCCTATGTTGAAAAAGGAAATATCTTCCCATAACAAGTAGACACAAGCATTCTCAGAAACTTGTTTGTGATGTGTGCCCTCTACTGACAGAGTTGAACCTTTCTTTTCATAGAGCAGTTTTGAAACACTCTTTTTGTAGAATCTGCAAGAGGATATTTGCATAGCTTTGAGGATTTCGTGGGAAACGGGATTGTCTTCAGGTAAAATCTAGACAGAAGCATTCTCAGAAACTACTTTGGGATGTTTGCATTCAAGTCACAGAGTAGAACATTCCCTTTGGTAGAGCAGGTTTGAAACCCTCTTTTTGTAGTATCTGGAAGTGGACATTTGGAGCGCTTTCAGGCCCATGTTGGAAAGGGAAATATCTTCCCGTAACAACTAGGCAGAAGCATTCTCAGAAACTTATTTGAGATGTGTGTACTCAACTAAGAGAATTGAACCACCGTTTTGAAGGAGCAGTTTTGAAACACTCTTTTTCTGGAATCTGCAAGAGTATATTTGCCTAGCCTTGAGAATTTCGTTGGAAACGGGATTGTCTTCAGATAAAATCTAGACAGAAGCATTCTCAGAAACTTCTTTGGGATGTTTGCATTCAAGTCACAGAGTAGAACATTCCCTTTGGTAGAGCAGGTTTGAAACACTCTTTTTGTAGTATCTGGAAGTGGACATTTGGAGCGCTTTCAGGCCTATGTTGGAAAGGGAAATATCTTCCCTTAACAACTAGGCAGAAGCATTCTCAGAAACTTATTTGAGATGTGTGTACTCAACTAAGAGAATTGAAGCACCGTTTTGAAGGAGCAGTTGTGAAACACTCTTTTTCTGGAATCTGCTAGAGTATATTTGCCTAGCTTTGAGGATTTCGTTGGAAACGGGATTGTCTTCAGCTCAAATCTAGACAGAAGCATTCTCAGAAACTTCTTTGGGATGTTTCTATTCAAGTCACAGAGTAGAACATTCCCTTTGGTAGAGCAGGTTTGAAACACTCTTTTTGTAGTATCTGGAAGTGGACATTTGGAGCGCTTTCAGGCCTATGTTGGAAAGGGAAATATCTTCCCGTAACAACTAGGCAGAAGCATTCTCAGAAACTTATTTGAGATGGGTGTACTCAACTAAGAGAATTGAACCACCCTTTTCAAGGAGAAGTTTTGAAACACTCTTTTTCTGGAATCTGCAAGAGTATATTTGCCTAGCTTTGAGGATTTCGTTGGAAACGGGATTGTCTTCAGATAAAATCTAGACAGAAGCATTCTCAGAAACTTCTTTGGGTGTTTGCATTCAATTCATAGAGTAGAACATTCCCTTTGTTAGAGCAGGTTTGAAACACTCTTTTTTTAGTATATGGAAGTGGACATTTGGAGCGCTTTCAGGCCTACGTTGGAAAAGGAAATATCTTCCCATAACAACTAGACAGAAGCATTCTCAGAAACTAGTTTCTGATGTGTGTCCTCAACTAACACAGTTGAACATTTCTTTAGACAGAACAGTTTTGAAACACTCTTTTTGTGGAATCTGCAAGTGGCTATTTGGCTAGATTTGAGGATTTCTTTGGAAACGGGATTACATATAAAAAGCTGACAGCAGCATTCTCAGAAAGTTCTTTGTGATGATTGCATTCAAGTCACAGAATTGAACATTCCCTTTCACAGAGCAGGTTTGAAACACTCTTTTTGTAGTGTGTGTAAGTGGACATTTGGAGCACTTTCCAGCCTAAGGCGAAAAAGGAAATATCTTCCCATAAAAAATAGACAGAAGCATTCTCAGAAACTTACTCGTGATGTGTGTCCTCAACTAAAGGTGTAGAACCTTTCTTTTCATAGAGAAGTTTTGAAACGCTCTTTTTGTGGAATCTGCAAGTGGATATTTGGCTAGTTTTGAGGATTTCGTTGGAAGCGGGAATTCATACAAATTGCAGACTGCAGCGTTCTGAGAAATATCTTTGTGATGTTTGTATTCAGGACACAGAGTTGAACATTCCCTATCATAGAGCAGGTTGGAATCACTCCTTTTGTAGTATCTGGAAGTGGACATTTGGAGCGCTTTCAGGCCTATGTTGAAAAAGGAAATATCTTCCCATAACAACTAGACACAAGCATTCTCAGAAACTTATTTGAGATGTGTGTACTCAACTAAGAGAATTGAACCACCGTTTTGAAGGAGCAGTTTTGAAACTCTCTTTTTCTGGAATCTGCAAGTGGATATTTGGCTAGCTTTGGGGATTTCGCTGGAAGCGGGAATACATATAAAAAGCACACAGCAGCGTTCTGAGAAACTGCTTTCTGATGTTTGCATTCAAGTCAAAAGTTGAACACTCCCTTTCATAGAGCAGTCCTGAAACACCCCTTTTGTAGTATCTGGAACTGGACTTTTGGAGCGATTTCAGGGCTAAGGTGAAAAAGGAAATATCTTCCCATAAAAACTGGACAGAAGCATTCTCAGAAACTTGTTTATGCTGTATCTACTCAACTAACAAAGTTGAACCTTTCTTTTGATAGAGCAGTTTTGAAATGGTCTTTTTGTGGAATCTGCAAGTGGATATTTGGCTAGTTTTGAGGATTTCGTTGGAAGCGGGAATTCATACAAATTGCAGACTGCAGCGTTCTGAGAAACATCTTTGTGATGTTTGTATTCAGGACACAGAGTTGAACATTCCCTATCATAGAGCAGGTTGGAATCACTCCTTTTGTAGTATCTGGAAGTGGACATTTGGAGCGCTTTCAGGCCTATTTTGGAAAGGGAAATATCTTCCCGTAACAACTATGCAGAAGCATTCTCAGAAACTTGTTTGTGATGTGTGCCCTCTACTGACAGAGTTGAACCTTTCTTTTCATAGAGCAGTTTTGAAACACTCTTTTTGTAGAATCTGCAAGAGGATATTTGCATAGCTTTGAGGATTTCGTGGGAAACGGGATTGTCTTCAGGTAAAATCTAGACAGAAGCATTCTCAGAAACTTCTTTGGGATGTTTGCATTCAAGTCACAGAGTAGAACATTCCCTTTGGTAGAGCAGGTTTGAAACACTCTTTTTGTAGTATCTGGAAGTGGACATTTGGAGCGCTTTCAGGCCCATGTTGGAAAGGGAAATATCTTCCCGTAACAACTAGGCAGAAGCATTCTCAGAAACTTATTTGAGATGTGTGTACTCAACTAAGAGAATTGAACCACCGTTTTGAAGGAGCAGTTTTGAAACACTCTTTTTCTGGAATCTGCAAGAGTATATTTGCCTAGCCTTGAGGATTTCGTTGGAAACGGGATTGTCTTCAGAGAAAATCTAGACAGAAGCATTCTCAGAAACTTCTTTGGGATGTTTGCATTCAAGTCACAGAGTAGAACATTCCCTTTGGTAGAGCAGGTTTGAAACACTCTTTTTGTAGTATCTGGAAGTGGACATTTGGAGCGCTTTCAGGCCTACGTTGGAAAAGGAAATATCTTCCCATAACAACTAGACAGAAGCATTCTCAGAAACTAGTTTCTGATGTGTGTCCTCAACTAACACAGTTGAACATTTCTTTAGACAGAACAGTTTTGAAACACTCTTTTTGTGGAATCTGCAAGTGGCTATTTGGCTAGATTTGAGGATTTCGTTGGAAACGGGATTACATATAAAAAGCAGTCAGCAGCATTCTCAGAAAGTTCTTTGTGATGATTGCATTCAAGTCACAGAATTGAACATTCCCTTTCACAGAGCAGGTTTGAAACACTCTTTTTGTAGTGTGTGTAAGTGGACATTTGGAGCACTTACCGGCCTAAGGTGAAAAAGGAAATATCTTCCCATAAAAACTAGACAGAAGCATTCTCAGAAACTTACTCGTGATGTGTGTCCTCAACTAAAGGAGTAGAACCTTTCTTTTCATAGAGAAGTTTTGAAACGCTCTTTTTGTGGAATCTGCAAGTGGATATTTGGCTAGTTTTGAGGATTTCGTTGGAAGCGGGAATTCATACAAATTGCAGACTGCAGCGTTCTGAGAAACATCTTTGTGATGTTTGTATTCAGGACACAGAGTTGAACATTCCCTATCATAGAGCAGGTTGGAATCACTCCTTTTGTAGTATCTGGAAGTGGACATTTGGAGCGCTTTCAGGCCTATGTTGGAAAAGGAAATATCTTCCCATAACAACTAGACAGAAGCATTCTCAGAAACTTATTTGAGATGTGTGTACTCAACTAAGAGAATTGAACCACCGTTTTGAAGGAGCAGTTTTGAAACTCTCTTTTTCTGGAATCTGCAAGTGGATATTTGGCTAGCTTTGGGGATTTCGCTGGAAGCGGGAATACATATAAAAAGCACACAGCAGCGTTCTGAGAAACTGCTTTCTGATGTTTGCATTCAAGTCAAAAGTTGAACACTCCCTTTCATAGAGCAGTCTTGAAACACCCCTTTTGTAGTATCTGGAACTGGACTTTTGGAGCGATTTCAGGGCTAAGGTGAAAAAGGAAATATCTTCCCATAAAAACTGGACAGAAGCATTCTCAGAAACTTGTTTATGCTGTATCTACTCAACTAACAAAGTTGAACCTTTCTTTTGATAGAGCAGTTTTGAAATGGTCTTTTTGTGGAATCTGCAAGTGGATATTTGGCTAGTTTTGAGGATTTCGTTGGAAGCGGGAATTCATACAAATTGCAGACTGCAGCGTTCTGAGAAACATCTTTGTGATGTTTGTATTCAGGACACAGAGTTGAACATTCCCTATCATAGAGCAGGTTGGAATCACTCCTTTTGTAGTATCTGGAAGTGGACATTTGGAGCGCTTTCAGGCCTATTTTGGAAAGGGAAATATCTTCCCGTAACAACTATGCAGAAGCATTCTCAGAAACTTGTTTGTGATGTGTGCCCTCTACTGACAGAGTTGAACCTTTCTTTTCATAGAGCAGTTTTGAAACACTCTTTTTGTAGAATCTGCAAGAGGATATTTGCATAGCTTTGAGGATTTCGTGGGAAACGGGATTGTCTTCAGGTAAAATCTAGACAGAAGCATTCTCAGAAACTTCTTTGGGATGTTTGCATTCAAGTCACAGAGTAGAACATTCCCTTTGGTAGAGCAGGTTTGAAACACTCTTTTTGTAGTATCTGGAAGTGGACATTTGGAGCGCTTTCAGGCCTATGTTGGAAAGGGAAATATCTTCCCGTAACAACTAGGCAGAAGCATTCTCAGAAACTTATTTGAGATGTGTGTACTCAACTAAGAGAATTGAATCACCGTTTTGAAGGAGCAGTTTTGAAACACTCTTTTTCTGGAATCTGCAAGAGGATATTTGCCTAGCTTTGAGGATTTCGTTGGAAACGGGATTGTGTTCAGATCAAATCTAGACAGAAGCATTCTCAGAAACTTCTTTGGGATGTTTGCATTCAAGTCACAGAGTAGAACATTCCCTTTGGTAGAGCAGGTGTGAAACACTCTTTTTTTAGTATATGGAAGTGGACATTTGGAGCGCTTTCAGGCCTACGTTGGAAAAGGAAATATCTTCCCATAACAACTAGACAGAAGCATTCTCAGAAACTAGTTTCTGATGTGTGTCCTCAACTAACACAGTTGAACATTTCTTTAGACAGAACAGTTTTGAAACTCTCTTTTTGTGGAATCTGCAAGTGGCTATTTGGCTAGATTTGAGGATTTCGTTGGAAACGGGATTACATATAAAAAGCAGACACCAGCATTCTCAGAAAGTTCTTTGTGATGATTGCATTCAAGTCACAGAATTGAACATTCCCTTTCACAGAGCAGGTTTGAAACACTCTTTTTGTAGTGTGTGTAAGTGGACATTTGGAGCACTTTCCGGCCTAAGGTGAGAAAGGAAATATCTTCCCATAAAAACTAGACAGAAGCATTCTCAGAAACTTACTCGTGATGTGTGTCCTCAACTAAAGGAGTAGAACCTTTCTTTCATAGAGAAGTTTTGAAACGCTCTTTTTGTGGAATCTGCAAGTGGATATTTGGCTAGTTTGGAGGATTTCGTTGGAAGCGGGAATTCTTACAAATTGCAGACTGCAGCGTTCTGAGAAACATCTTTGTGATGTTTGTATTCAGGACACAGAGTTGAACATTCCCTATCATAGAGCAGGTTTGAATCACTCCTTTTCTAGTATCTGGAAGTGGACATTTGGAGCGCTTTCAGGCCTATGTTGGAAAAGGAAATATCTTCCCATAACAAATAGACAGAAGCATTCTCAGAAACTTATTTGAGATGTGTGTACTCAACTAAGAGAATTGAACCACCGTTTTGAAGGAGCAGTTTTGAAACTCTCTTTTTCTGGAATCTGCAAGTGGATATTTGGCTAGCTTTGGGGATTTCGCTGGAAGCGGGAATACATATAAAAAGCACACAGCAGCGTTCTGAGAAACTGCTTTCTGATGTTTGCATTCAAGTCAAAAGTTGAACACTCCCTTTCATAGAGCAGTCCTGAAACACCCCTTTTGTAGTATCTGGAACTGGACTTTTGGAGCGATTTCAGGGCTAAGGTGAAAAAGGAAATATCTTCCCATAAAAACTGGACAGAAGCATTCTCAGAAACTTGTTTATGCTGTATCTACTCAACTAACAAAGTTGAACCTTTCTTTTGATAGAGCAGTTTTGAAATGGTCTTTTTGTGGAATCTGCAAGTGGATATTTGGCTAGTTTTGAGGATTTCGTTGGAAGCGGGAATTCATACAAATTGCAGACTGCAGCGTTCTGAGAAACATCTTTGTGATGTTTGTATTCAGGACACAGAGTTGAACATTCCCTATCATAGAGCAGGTTGGAATCACTCCTTTTGTAGTATCTGGAAGTGGACATTTGGAGCGCTTTCAGGCCTATTTTGGAAAGGGAAATATCTTCCCGTAACAACTATGCAGAAGCATTCTCAGAAACTTGTTTGTGATGTGTGCCCTCTACTGACAGAGTTGAACCTTTCTTTTCATAGAGCAGTTTTGAAACACTCTTTTTGTAGAATCTGCAAGAGGATATTTGCATAGCTTTGAGGATTTCGTGGGAAACGGGATTGTCTTCAGGTAAAATCTAGACAGAAGCATTCTCAGAAACTTCTTTGGGATGTTTGCATTCAAGTCACAGAGTAGAACATTCCCTTTGGTAGAGCAGGTTTGAAACACTCTTTTTGTAGTATCTGGAAGTGGACATTTGGAGCGCTTTCAGGCCCATGTTGGAAAGGGAAATATCTTCCCGTAACAACTAGGCAGAAGCATTCTCAGAAACTTATTTGAGATGTGTGTACTCAACTAAGAGAATTGAACCACCGTTTTGAAGGAGCAGTTTTGAAACACTCTTTTTCTGGAATCTGCAAGAGTATATTTGCCTAGCCTTGAGGATTTCGTTGGAAACGGGATTGTCTTCAGAGAAAATCTAGACAGAAGCATTCTCAGAAACTTCTTTGGGATGCTTGCATTCAAGTCACAGAGTAGAACATTCCCTTTGGTAGAGCAGGTTTGAAACACTCTTTTTGTAGTATCTGGAAGTGGACATTTGGAGCGCTTTCAGGCCTACGTTGGAAAAGGAAATATCTTCCCATAACAACTAGACAGAAGCATTCTCAGAAACTAGTTTCTGATGTGTGTCCTCAACTAACACAGTTGAACATTTCTTTAGACAGAACAGTTTTGAAACACTCTTTTTGTGGAATCTGCAAGTGGCTATTTGGCTAGATTTGAGGATTTCGTTGGAAACGGGATTACATATAAAAAGCAGTCAGCGGCATTCTCAGAAAGTTCTTTGTGATGATTGCATTCAAGTCACAGAATTGAACATTCCCTTTCACAGAGCAGGTTTGAAACACTCTTTTTGTAGTGTGTGTAAGTGGACATTTGGAGCACTTACCGGCCTAAGGTGAAAAAGGAAATAATCTTCCCATAAAAACTAGACAGAAGCATTCTCAGAAACTTACTCGTGATGTGTGTCCTCAACTAAAGGAGTAGAACCTTTCTTTTCATAGAGAAGTTTTGAAACGCTCTTTTTGTGGAATCTGCAAGTGGATATTTGGCTAGTTTTGAGGATTTCGTTGGAAGCGGGAATTCATACAAATTGCAGACTGCAGCGTTCTGAGAAACATCTTTGTGATGTTTGTATTCAGGACACAGAGTTGAACATTCCCTATCATAGAGCAGGTTTGAATCACTCCTTTTGTAGTATCTGGAAGTGGACATTTGGAGCGCTTTCAGGCCTATGTTGGAAAAGGAAATATCTTCCCATAACAACTAGACAGAAGCATTCTCAGAAACTTATTTGAGATGTGTGTACTCAACTAAGAGAATTGAACCACCGTTTTGAAGGAGCAGTTTTGAAACACTCTTTTTCTGGAATCTGCAAGTGGATATTTGGCTAGCTTTGGGGATTTCGCTGGAAGCGGGAATACATATAAAAAGCACACAGCAGCGTTCTGAGAAACTGCTTTCTGATGTTTGCATTCAAGTCAAAAGTTGAACACTCCCTTTCATAGAGCAGTCTTGAAACACCCCTTTTGTAGTATCTGGAACTGGACATTTGGAGCGCTTTCAGGGCTAAGGTGAAAAAGGAAATATCTTCCCATAAAAACTGGACAGGAAGCATTCTCAGAAACTTCTTTATGCTGTATCTACTCAACTAACAAAGTTGAACCTTTCTTTTGATAGAGCAGTTTTGAAATGCTCTTTCTGTGGAATCTGCAAGTGGATATTTGGCTAGGTTTGAGGATTTCGTTGGAAGCGGGAATTCATACAAATTGCAGACTGCAGCGTTCTGAGAAACATCTTTGTGATGTTTGTATTCAGGACACAGAGTTGAACATTCCCTATCATAGAGCAGGTTGGAATCACTCCTTTTGTAGTATCTGGAAGTGGACATTTGGAGCGCTTTCAGGCCTATGTTGAAAAAGGAAATATCTTCCCATAACAACTAGGCAGAAGCATTCTCAGAAACTTGTTTGTGATGTGTGCCCTCTACTGACACAGTTGATCCTTTCTTTTCATAGAGCAGTTTCGAAACACTCTTTTTGTAGAATCTGCAAGAGGATATTTGCATAGCTTTGAGGATTTCGTGGGAAACGGGATTGTATTCAGGTAAAATCTAGACAGAAGCATTCTCAGAAACTTCTTTGGGATGTTTGCATTCAAGTCACAGAGTAGAACATTCCCTTTGGTAGAGCAGGTTTGAAACACTCTTTTTGTAGTGTGTGTAAGTGGACATTTGGAGCGCTTTCAGGCCTATGTTGGAAAAGGAAATATCTTCCCATAACAACTAGACAGAAGCATTCTCAGAAACTAGTTTCTGATGTGTGTCCTCAACTAACACAGTTGAACATTTCTTTAGACAGAACAGTTTTGAAACACTCTTTTTGTGGAATCTGCAAGTGGATATTTGGCTAGATTTGAGGATTTCGTTGGAAACGGGATTACATATAAAAAGCAGACAGCCAGCATTCTCAGAAACTTCTTTGTGATGATTGCATTCAAGTCACAGAATTGAACATTCCCTTTCACAGAGCAGGTTTGAAACACTCTTTTTGTAGTGTGTGTAAGTGGACATTTAGAGCGCTTTCCGGCCTAAGGTGAACAAGGAAATATCTTCCCATAAAAACTAGACAGAAGCATTCTCAGAAACTTACTCGTGATGTGTGTCCTCAACTAAAGGAGTAGAACCTTTCTTTTCATAGAGAAGTTTTGAAACGCTCTTTTTGTGGAATCTGCAAGTGGATATTTGGCTAGTTTTGAGGATTTCGTTGGAAGCGGGAATTCATACAAGATGCAGACTGCAGCGTTCTGAGAAACATCTTTGTGATGTTTGTATTCAGGACACAGAGTTGAACATTCCCTATCATAGAGCAGGTTTGAATCACTCCTTTTGTAGTATCTGGAAGTGGACATTTGGAGCGCTTTCAGGCCTATGTTGGAAGAGGAAATATCTTCCCATAACAACTAGACAGAAGCATTCTCAGAAACTTATTTGAGATGTGTGTACTCAACTAAGAGAATTGAACCACCGTTTTGAAGGAGCAGTTTTGAAACACTCTTTTTCTGGAATCTGCAAGTGGATATTTGGCTAGCTTTGGGGATTTCGCTGGAAGCGGGAATACATATAAAAAGCACACAGCAGCGTTCTGAGAAACTGCTTTCTGATGTTTGCATTCAAGTCAAAAGTTGAACACTCCCTTTCATAGAGCAGTCCTGAAACACCCCTTTTGTAGTATCTGGAACTGGACTTTTGGAGCGCTTTCAGGGCTAAGGTGAAAAAGGAAATATCTTCCCATAAAAACTGGACAGAAGCATTCTCAGAAACTTGTTTATGCTGTATCTACTCAACTAACAAAGTTGAACCTTTCTTTTGATAGAGCAGTTTTGAAATGCTCTTTTTGTGGAATCTGCAAGTGGATATTTGGCTAGTTTTGAGGATTTCGTTGGAAGCGGGAATTCATACAAATTGCAGACTGCAGCGTTCTGAGAAACATCTTTGTGATGTTTGTATTCAGGACAGAGAGTTGAACATTCCCTATCATAGAGCAGGTTGGAATCACTCCTTTTGTAGTATCTGGAAGTGGACATTTGGAGCGCTTTCAGGCCTATGTTGAAAAAGGAAATATCTTCCCATAACAACTAGACACAAGCATTCTCAGAAACTTGTTTGTGATGTGTGCCCTCTACTGACACAGTTGAACCTTTCTTTTCATAGAGCAGTTTTGAAACACTCTTTTTGTAGAATCTGCAAGAGGATATTTGCATAGCTTTGAGGATTTCGTGGGAAACGGGATTGTCTTCAGGTAAAATCTAGACAGAAGCATTCTCAGAAACTTCTTTGGGATGTTTGCATTCAAGTCACAGAGTAGAACATTCCCTTTGGTAGAGCAGGTTTGAAACACTCTTTTTGTAGTATCTGGAAGTGGACATTTGGAGCGCTTTCAGGCCTATGTTGGAAAGGGAAATATCTTCCCGTAACAACTAGGCAGAAGCATTCTCAAAAACTTATTTGAGATGTGTGTACTCAACTAAGAGAATTGAACCACCGTTTTGAAGGAGCAGTTTTGAAACACTCTTTTTCTGGAATCTGCAAGAGGATATTTGCCTAGCCTTGAGGATTTCGTTGGAAACGGGATTGTCTTCAGATCAAATCTAGACAGAAGCATTCTCAGAAACTTCTTTGGGATGTTTGCATTCAAGTCACAGAGTAGAACATTCCCTTTGGTAGAGCAGGTTTGAAACACTCTTTTTTTAGTATATGGAAGTGGACATTTGGAGCGCTTTCAGGCCTACGTTGGAAAAGGAAATATCTTCCCATAACAACTAGACAGAAGCATTCTCAGAAACTAGTTTCTGATGTGTGTCCTCAACTAACACAGTTGAACATTTCTTTAGACAGAACAGTTTTGAAACACTCTTTTTGTGGAATCTGCAAGTGGCTATTTGGCTAGATTTGAGGATTTCGTTGGAAACGGGATTACATATAAAAAGCAGACAGCAGCATTCTCAGAAAGTTCTTTGTGATGATTGCATTCAAGTCACAGAATTGAACATTCCCTTTCACAGAGCAGGTTTGAAACACTCTTTTTGTAGTGTGTGTAAGTGGACATTTGGAGCACTTTCCGGCCTAAGGTGAAAAAGGAAATATCTTCCCATAACAACTAGACAGAAGCATTCTCAGAAACTTACTCGTGATGTGTGTCCTCAACTAAAGGGGTAGAACCTTTCTTTTCATAGAGAAGTTTTGAAACGCTCTTTTTGTGGAATCTGCAAGTGGATATTTGGCTAGTTTTGAGGATTTCGTTGGAAGCGGGAATTCATACAAATTGCAGACTGCAGCGTTCTGAGAAACATCTTTGTGATGTTTGTATTCAGGACACAGAGTTGAACATTCCCTATCATAGAGCAGGTTTGAATCACTCCTTTTGTAGTATCTGGAAGTGGACATTTGGAGCGCTTTCAGGCCTATGTTGGAAAAGGAAATATCTTCCCATAACAACTAGACAGAAGCATTCTCAGAAACTTATTTGAGATGTGTGTACTCAACTAAGAGAATTGAACCACCGTTTTGAAGGAGCAGTTTTGAAACTCTCTTTTTCTGGAATCTGCAAGTGGATATTTGGCTAGCTTTGGGGATTTCGCTGGAAGCGGGAATACATATAAAAAGCACACAGCAGCGTTCTGAGAAACTGCTTTCTGATGTTTGCATTCAAGTCAAAAGTTGAACACTCCCTTTCATAGAGCAGTCTTGAAACACCCCTTTTGTAGTATCTGGAACTGGACTTTTGGAGCGATTTCAGGGCTAAGGTGAAAAAGGAAATATCTTCCCATAAAAACTGGACAGAAGCATTCTCAGAAACTTGTTTATGCTGTATCTACTCAACTAACAAAGTTGAACCTTTCTTTTGATAGAGCAGTTTTGAAATGGTCTTTTTGTGGAATCTGCAAGTGGATATTTGGCTAGTTTTGAGGATTTCGTTGGAAGCGGGAATTCATACAAATTGCAGACTGCAGCGTTCTGAGAAACATCTTTGTGATGTTTGTATTCAGGACACAGAGTTGAACATTCCCTATCATAGAGCAGGTTGGAATCACTCCTTTTGTAGTATCTGGAAGTGGACATTTGGAGCGCTTTCAGGCCTATTTTGGAAAGGGAAATATCTTCCCGTAACAACTATGCAGAAGCATTCTCAGAAACTTGTTTGTGATGTGTGCCCTCTACTGACAGAGTTGAACCTTTCTTTTCATAGAGCAGTTTTGAAACACTCTTTTTGTAGAATCTGCAAGAGGATATTTGCATAGCTTTGAGGATTTCGTGGGAAACGGGATTGTCTTCAGGTAAAATCTAGACAGAAGCATTCTCAGAAACTTCTTTGGGATGTTTGCATTCAAGTCACAGAGTAGAACATTCCCTTTGGTAGAGCAGGTTTGAAACACTCTTTTTGTAGTATCTGGAAGTGGACATTTGGAGCGCTTTCAGGCCCATGTTGGAAAGGGAAATATCTTCCCGTAACAACTAGGCAGAAGCATTCTCAGAAACTTATTTGAGATGTGTGTACTCAACTAAGAGAATTGAACCACCGTTTTGAAGGAGCAGTTTTGAAACACTCTTTTTCTGGAATCTGCAAGAGTATATTTGCCTAGCCTTGAGGATTTCGTTGGAAACGGGATTGTCTTCAGAGAAAATCTAGACAGAAGCATTCTCAGAAACTTCTTTGGGATGCTTGCATTCAAGTCACAGAGTAGAACATTCCCTTTGGTAGAGCAGGTTTGAAACACTCTTTTTGTAGTATCTGGAAGTGGACATTTGGAGCGCTTTCAGGCCTACGTTGGAAAAGGAAATATCTTCCCATAACAACTAGACAGAAGCATTCTCAGAAACTAGTTTCTGATGTGTGTCCTCAACTAACACAGTTGAACATTTCTTTAGACAGAACAGTTTTGAAACACTCTTTTTGTGGAATCTGCAAGTGGCTATTTGGCTAGATTTGAGGATTTCGTTGGAAACGGGATTACATATAAAAAGCAGTCAGCGGCATTCTCAGAAAGTTCTTTGTGATGATTGCATTCAAGTCACAGAATTGAACATTCCCTTTCACAGAGCAGGTTTGAAACACTCTTTTTGTAGTGTGTGTAAGTGGACATTTGGAGCACTTACCGGCCTAAGGTGAAAAAGGAAATATCTTCCCATAAAAACTAGACAGAAGCATTCTCAGAAACTTACTCGTGATGTGTGTCCTCAACTAAAGGAGTAGAACCTTTCTTTTCATAGAGAAGTTTTGAAACGCTCTTTTTGTGGAATCTGCAAGTGGATATTTGGCTAGTTTTGAGGATTTCGTTGGAAGCGGGAATTCATACAAATTGCAGACTGCAGCGTTCTGAGAAACATCTTTGTGATGTTTGTATTCAGGACACAGAGTTGAACATTCCCTATCATAGAGCAGGTTTGAATCACTCCTTTTGTAGTATCTGGAAGTGGACATTTGGAGCGCTTTCAGGCCTATGTTGGAAAAGGAAATATCTTCCCATAACAACTAGACAGAAGCATTCTCAGAAACTTATTTGAGATGTGTGTACTCAACTAAGAGAATTGAACCACCGTTTTGAAGGAGCAGTTTTGAAACTCTCTTTTTCTGGAATCTGCAAGTGGATATTTGGCTAGCTTTGGGGATTTCGCTGGAAGCGGGAATACATATAAAAAGCACACAGCAGCGTTCTGAGAAACTGCTTTCTGATGTTTGCATTCAAGTCAAAAGTTGAACACTCCCTTTCATAGAGCAGTCTTGAAACACCCCTTTTGTAGTATCTGGAACTGGACTTTTGGAGCGATTTCAGGGCTAAGGTGAAAAAGGAAATATCTTCCCATAAAAACTGGACAGAAGCATTCTCAGAAACTTGTTTATGCTGTATCTACTCAACTAACAAAGTTGAACCTTTCTTTTGATAGAGCAGTTTTGAAATGGTCTTTTTGTGGAATCTGCAAGTGGATATTTGGCTAGTTTTGAGGATTTCGTTGGAAGCGGGAATTCATACAAATTGCAGACTGCAGCGTTCTGAGAAACATCTTTGTGATGTTTTTATTCAGGACACAGAGTTGAACATTCCCTGTCCTAGAGCAGGTTGGAATCACTCCTTTTGTAGTATCTGGAAGTGGACATTTGGAGCGCTTTCAGGCCTATTTTGGAAAGGGAAATATCTTCCCATAACAACTATGCAGAAGCATTCTCAGAAACTTGTTTGTGATGTGTGCCCTCTACTGACAGAGTTGAACCTTTCTTTTCATAGAGCAGTTTTGAAACTCTCTTTTTGTAGAATCTGCAAGAGGATATTTGCATAGCTTTGAGGATTTCGTGGGAAACGGGATTGTCTTCAGGTAAAATCTAGACAGAAGCATTCTCAGAAACTTCTTTGGGATGTTTGCATTCAAGTCACAGAGTAGAACATTCCCTTTGGTAGAGCAGGTTTGAAACACTCTTTTTGTAGTATCTGGAAGTGGACATTTGGAGCGCTTTCAGGCCTATGTTGGAAAGGGAAATATCTTCCCGTAACAACTAGGCAGAAGCATTCTCAGAAACTTATTTGAGATGTGTGTACTCAACTAAGAGAATTGAACCACCGTTTTGAAGGAGCAGTTTTGAAACACTCTTTTTCTGGAATCTGCAAGAGTATATTTGCCTAGCCTTGAGGATTTCGTTGGAAACGGGATTGTCTTCAGATAAAATCTAGACAGAAGCATTCTCAGAAACTTCTTTGGGATGTTTGCATTCAAGTCACAGAGTAGAACATTCCCTTTGGTAGAGCAGGTTTGAAACACTCTTTTTTTAGTATATGGAAGTGGACATTTGGAGCGCTTTCAGGCCTACGTTGGAAAAGGAAATATCTTCCCATAACAACTAGACAGAAGCATTCTCAGAAACTAGTTTCTGATGTGTGTCCTCAACTAACACAGTTGAACTTTTCTTTAGACAGAACAGTTTTGAAACACTCTTTTTGTGGAATCTGCAAGTGGATATTTGGCTAGATTTGAGGATTTCGTTGGAAACGGGATTACATATAAAAAGCAGACAGCAGCATTCTCAGAAAGTTCTTTGTGATGATTGCATTCAAGTCACAGAATTGAACATTCCCTTTCACAGAGCAGGTTTGAAACCCTCTTTTTGTAGTGTGTGTAAGTGGACATTTGGAGCGCTTTCCGGCCTCAGGTGAAAAAGGACATATCTTCCCATAAAAACTAGACAGAAGCATTCTCAGAAACTTACTCGTGATGTGTGTCCTCAACTAAAGGAGTAGAACATTTCTATTCATAGAGAAGTTTTGAAACGCTCTTTTTGTGGAATCTCCAAGTGGATATTTGGCTAGTTTTGAGGATTTCGTTGGAAGCGGGAATTCATACAAATTGCAGACTGCAGCGTTCTGAGAAACATCTTTGTGATGTTTGTATTCAGGACACAGAGATGAACATTCCCTATCATAGAGCAGGTTGGAATCACTCCTTTTGTAGTATCTGGAAGTGGACATTTGGAGCGCTTTCAGGCCTATGTTGAAAAAGGAAATATCTTCCCATAACAACTAGACACAAGCATTCTCAGAAACTTGTTTGTGATGTGTGCCCTCTACTGACAGAGTTGAACCTTTCTTTTCATAGAGCAGTTTTGAAACACTCTTTTTGTAGAATCCGCAAGAGGATATTTGCATAGCTTTGAGGATTTCGTGGGAAACGGGATTGTCTTCAGGTAAAATCTAGACAGAAGCATTCTCAGAAACTTCTTTGGGATGTTTGCATTCAAGTCACAGAGTAGAACATTCCCTTTGGTAGAGCAGGTTTGAAACACTCTTTTTGTAGTATCTGGAAGTGGACATTTGGAGCGCTTTCAGGCCTATGTTGGAAAGGGAAATATCTTCCCGTAACAACTAGGCAGAAGCATTCTCAGAAACTTATTTGAGATGTGTGTACTCAACTAAGAGAATTGAACCACCGTTTTGAAGGAGCAGTTTTGAAACCCTCTTTTTCTGGAATCTGCAAGAGTATATTTGCCTAGCCTTGAGGATTTCGTTGGAAACGGGATTGTCTTCAGATAAAATCTAGACAGAAGCATTCTCAGAAACTTCTTTGGGATGTTTGCATTCAAGTCACAGAGTAGAACATTCCCTTTGGTAGAGCAGGTTTGAAACACTCTTTTTTTAGTATATGGAAGTGGACATTTGGAGCGCTTTCAGGCCTACGTTGGAAAAGGAAATATCTTCCCATAACAACTAGACAGAAGCATTCTCAGAAACTAGTTTCTGATGTGTGTCCTCAACTAACACAGTTGTACATTTCTTTATACAGAACAGTTTTGAAACACTCTTTTTGTGGAATCTGCAAGTGGATATTGGGCTAGATTTGAGGATTTCGTTGGAAACGGGATTACATATAAAAAGCAGACAGCAGCATTCTCAGAAAGTTCTTTGTGATGATTGCATTCAAGTCACAGAATTGAACATTCCCTTTCACAGAGCAGGTTTGAAACACTCTTTTTGTAGTGTGTGTAAGTGGACATTTGGAGCGCTTTCCGGCCTAAGGTGAAAAGGACATATCTTCCCATAAAAACTAGACAGAAGCACTCTCAGAAACTTACTCGTGATGTGTGTCCTCAACTAAAGGAGTAGAACCTTTCTTTTCATAGAGAAGTTTTGAAACGCTCTTTTTGTGGAATCTGCAAGTGGATATTTGGCTAGTTTGGAGGATTTCGTTGGAAGCGGGAATTCATACAAATTGCAGACTGCAGCGTTCTGAGAAACATCTTTGTGATGTTTGTATTCAGGACACAGAGTTGAACATTCCCTATCATAGAGCAGGTTTGAATCACTCCTTTTGTAGTATCTGGAAGTGGACATTTGGAGCGCTTTCAGGCCCTATGTTGGAAAAGGAAATATCTTCCCATAACAAATAGACAGGAAGCATTCTCAGAAACTTATTTGAGATGTGTGTACTCAACTAAGAGAATTGAACCACCGTTTTGAAGGAGCAGTTTTGAAACACTCTTTTTCTGGAATCTGCAAGTGGATATTTGGCTAGCTTTGGGGGATTTCGCTGGAAGCGGGAATACATATAAAAAGCACACAGCAGCGTTCTGAGAAACTGCTTTCTGATGTTTGCATTCAAGTCAAAAGTTGAACACTCCCTTTCATAGTGCAGTCCTGAAACACTCCTTTTGTAGTATCTGGAACTGGACTTTTGGAGCGCTTTCAGGGCTAAGGTGAAAAAGGAAATATCTTCCCATAAAAACTGGACAGAAGCATTCTCAGAAACTTGTTTATGCTGTATCTACTCAACTAACAAAGTTGAACCTTTCTTTTGATAGAGCAGTTTTGAAATGCTCTTTTTGTGGAATCTGCAAGTGGATATTTGGCTAGTTTTGAGGATTTCGTTGGAAGCGGGAATTCATACAAATTGCAGACTGCAGCGTTCTGAGAAACATCTTTGTGATGTTTGTATTCAGGACAGAGAGTTGAACATTCCCTATCATAGAGCAGGTTTGAATCACTCCTTTTGTAGTATCTGGAAGTGGACATTTGGAGCGCTTTCAGGCCTATGTTGAAAAAGGAAATATCTTCCCATAACAACTAGACACAAGCATTCTCAGAAACTTGTTTGTGATGTGTGCCCTCTACTGACAGAGTTGAACCTTTCTTTTCATAGAGCAGTTTTGAAACACTCTTTTTGTAGAATCTGCAAGAGGATATTTGCATAGCTTTGAGGATTTCGTGGGAAACGGGATTGTCTTCAGGTAAAATCTAGACAGAAGCATTCTCAGAAACTTCTTTGGGATGTTTGCATTCAAGTCACAGAGCAGAACATTCCCTTTGGTAGAGCAGGTTTGAATCACTCCTTTTGTAGTATCTGGAAGTGGACATTTGGAGCGATTTCAGGCCCATGTTGGAAAGGGAAATATCTTCCCGTAACAACTAGGCAGAAGCATTCTCAGAAACTTATTTGAGATGTGTGTACTCAACTAAGAGAATTGAACCACCGTTTTGAAGGAGCAGTTTTGAAACACTCTTTTTCTGGAATCTGCAAGAGGATATTTGCCTAGCCTTGAGGATTTCGTTGGAAACGGGATTGTCTTCAGATAAAATCTAGACAGAAGCATTCTCAGAAACTTCTTTGGGATGTTTGCATTCAAGTCACAGAGTAGAACATTCCCTTTGGTAGAGCAGGTTTGAAACACTCTTTTTTTAGTATATGGAAGTGGACATTTGGAGCGCTTTCAGGCCTACGTTGGAAAAGGAAATATCTTCCCATAACAACTAGACAGAAGCATTCTCAGAAACTAGTTTCTGATGTGTGTCCTCAACTAACACAGTTGAACATTTCTTTAGACAGAACAGTTTTGAAACTCTCTTTTTGTGGAATCTGCAAGTGGCTATTTGGCTAGATTTGAGGATTTCGTTGGAAACGGGATTACATATAAAAAGCAGACAGCAGCATTCTCAGAAAGTTCTTTGTGATGATTGCATTCAAGTCACAGAATTGAACATTCCCTTTCACAGAGCAGGTTTGAAACACTCTTTTTATAGTGTGTGTAAGTGGACCTTTGGAGCACTTTCCGGCCTAAGGTGAAAAAGGAAATATCTTCCCATAAAAACTAGACAGAAGCATTCTCAGAAACTTACTCGTGATGTGTGTCCTCAACTAAAGGAGTAGAACCTTTGTTTTCATAGAGAAGTTTTGAAACGCTCTTTTTGTGGAATCTGCAAGTGGATATTTGTCTAGTTTTGAGGATTTCGTTGGAAGCGGGAATTCATACAAATTGCAGACTGCAGCGTTCTGAGAAACTGCTTTCTGATGTTTGCATTCAAGTCAAAAGTTGAACACTCCCTTTCATAGAGCAGTCCTGAAACACTCCTTTTGTAGTATCTGGAACTGGACTTTTGGAGCGCTTTCAGGGCTAAGGTGGAAAAGGAAATATCTTCCCATAAAAACTGGACAGAAGCATTCTCAGAAACTTATTTGAGATGTGTGTACTCAACTAAGAGAATTAAACCACCGTTTTGAAGGAGCAGTTTTGAAACACTCTTTTTCTGGAATCTGCAAGTGGATATTTGGCTAGATTTGGGGATTTCGCTGGAAGCGGGAATACATATAAAAAGCACACAGCAGCGTTCTGAGAAACTGCTTTCTGATGTTTGCATTCAAGTCAAAAGTTGAACAGTCCCTTTCATAGAGCAGGCCTGAAACACCCCTTTTGTAGTATCTGGAAGTGGACATTGGGAGCGCTTTCAGGGCTAAGGTGAAAAAGGAAATATCTTCCCATAAAAACTGGACAGAAGCATTCTCAGAAACTTGTTTATGCTATATCTACTCAACTAACAAAGTTGAACCTTTCTTTTGATAGAGCAGTTTGAAATGCTCTTTTTGTGGAATCTGCAAGTGGATATTTGGCTAGGTTTGAGGATTTCGTTGGAAGCGGGAATTCATACAAATTGCAGACTGCAGCGTTCTGAGAAACGTCTTTGTAATGTTTGTATTCAGGACACAGAGTTGAACATTCCCTATCATAGAGCAGGTTGGAATCACTCCTTTTGTAGTATCTGGAAGTGGACATTTGGAGCGCTTTCAGGCCTATGTTGAAAAAGGAAATATCTTCCCATAACAACTAGACAGAAGCATTCTCAGAAACTTGTTTGTGATGTGTGCCCTCTACTGACAGAGTTGAACCTTTCTTTTCATAGAGCAGTTTTGAAACACTCTTTTTGTAGAATCTGCAAGAGGATATTTGCATAGCTTTGAGGATTTCGTGGGAAACGGGATTGTCTTCAGGTAAAATCTAGACAGAAGCATTCTCAGAAACTTCTTTGGGATGTTTGCATTCAAGTCACAGAGCAGAACATTCCCTTTGGTAGAGCAGGTTTGAAACACTCTTTTTGTAGTATCTGGAAGTGGACATTTGGAGCGCTTTCAGGCCTATGTTGGAAAGGGAAATATCTTCCCGTAACAACTAGGCAGAAGCATTCTCAGAAACTTATTTGAGATGTGGATGTGTGTACTCAACTAAGAGAATTGAACCACCGTTTTGAAGGAGCAGTTTTGAAACACTCTTTTTCTGGAAGCTGCAAGAGGATATTTGCCTAGCCTTGAGGATTTCGTTGGAAACGGGATTGTCTTCAGATCAAATCTAGACAGAAGCATTCTCAGAAACTTCTTTGGGATGTTTGCATTCAAGTCACAGAGTAGAACATTCCCTTTGGTAGAGCAGGTTTGAAACACTCTTTTTTTAGTATATGGAAGTGGACATTTGGAGCGCTTTCAGGCCTACGTTGGAAAAGGAAATATCTTCCCATAACAACTAGACAGAAGCATTCTCAGAAACTAGTTTCTGATGTGTGTCCTCAACTAACACAGTTGAACATTTCTTTAGACAGAACAGTTTTGAAACTCTCTTTTTGTGGAATCTGCAAGTGGCTATTTGGCTAGATTTGAGGATTTCGTTGGAAACGGGATTACATATAAAAAGCAGACAGCAGCATTCTCAGAAAGTTCTTTGTGATGATTGCATTCAAGTCACAGAATTGAACATTCCCTTTCACAGAGCAGGTTTGAAAGACTCTTTTTGTAGTGTGTGTAAGTGGACATTTGGAGCACTTACCGGCCTAAGGTGAAAAAGGAAATATCTTCCCATAAAAACTAGACAGAAGCATTCTCAGAAACTTACTCGTGATGTGTGTCCTCAACTAAAGGAGTAGAACCTTTCTTTTCATAGAGAAGTTTTGAAACGCTCTTTTTGTGGAATCTGCAAGTGGATATTTGGCTAGTTTGGAGGATTTCGTTGGAAGCGGGAATTCATACAAATTGCAGACTGCAGCGTTCTGAGAAACATCTTTGTGATGTTTGTATTCAGGACACAGAGTTGAACATTCCCTATAATAGAGCAGGTTGGAATCACTCCTTTTGTAGTATCTGGAAGTGGACATTTGGAGCGCTTTCAGGCCTATGTTGAAAAAGGAAATATCTTCCCATAACAACTAGACAGAAGCATTCTCAGAAACTTGTTTGTGATGTGTGCCCTCTACTGACACAGTTGAATCTTTCTTTTCATAGAGTAGTTTCGAAACACTCTTTTTGTAGAATCTGCAAGAGGATATTTGCATAGCTTTGAGGATTTCGTGGGAAACGGGATTGTCTTCAGGTAAAATCTAGACAGAACCATTCTCAGAAACTTCTTTGGGATGTTTGCATTCAAGTCACAGAGTAGAACATTCCCTTTGGTAGAGCAGGTTTGAAACACTCTTTTTTTAGTATATGGAAATGGACATTTGGAGCGCTTTCAGGCCTACTTTGGAAAAGGAAATATCTTCCCATAACAACTAGACAGAAGCATTCTCAGAAACTAGTTTCTGATGTGTGTCCTCAACTAACAGAGTTGAACATTTCTTTTGACAGAACAGTTTTGAAACACTCTTTTTGTGGAATCTGCAAGTGGATATTTGGCTACATTTGAGGATTTCGTTGGAAACGGGATTACATATAAAAACCAGACAGCAGCATTCTCAGAAACTTCTTTGTGATGATTGCATTCAAGTCACAGAATTGAACATTCCCTTTCACAGAGCAGGTTTGAAACACTCTTTTTGTAGTGTGTGTAAGTGGACATTTGGAGCGCTTTCCGGCCTAAGGTGAACAAGGAAAATATCTTCCCATAAAAACTAGACAGAAGCATTCTCAGAAACTTACTCGTGATGTGTGTCCTCAACTAAAGGAGTAGAACCTTTCTTTTCATAGAGAAGTTTTGAAACGCTCTTTTTGTGGAATCTGCAAGTGGATATTTGGCTAGTTTGGAGGATTTCGTTGGAAGCGGGAATTCATACAAATTGCAGACTGCAGCGTTCTGAGAAACATCTTTGTGATGTTTGTATTCAGGACACAGAGTTGAACATTCCCTATCATAGAGCAGGTTTGAATCACTCCTTTTGTAGTATCTGGAAGTGGACATTTGGAGCGCTTTCAGGCCTATGTTGGAAAAGGAAATATCTTCCCGTAACAACTAGACAGAAGCATTCTCAGAAACTTATTTGAGATGTGTGTACTCAACTAAGAGAATTGAACCACCGTTTTGAAGGAGCAGTTTTGAAACACTCTTTTTCTGGAATCTGCAAGTGGATATTTGGCTAGCTTTGGGGATTTCGCTGGAAGCGGGAATACATATAAAAAGCACACAGCAGCGTTCTGAGAAACTGCTTTCTGATGTTTGCATTCAAGTCAAAAGTTGAACACTCCCTTTCATAGAGCAGTCTTGAAACACCCCTTTTGTAGTATCTGGAACTGGACTTTTGGAGCGATTTCAGGGCTAAGGTGAAAAAGGAAATATCTTCCCATACAAACTGGACAGAAGCATTCTCAGAAACTTGTTTATGCTGTATCTACTCAACTAACAAAGTTGAACCTTTCTTTTGATAGAGCAGTTTTGAAATGGTCTTTTTGTGGAATCTGCAAGTGGATATTTGGCTAGTTTTGAGGATTTCGTTGGAAGCGGGAATTCATACAAATTGCAGACTGCAGCGTTCTGAGAAACATCTTTGTGATGTTTGTATTCAGGACACAGAGTTGAACATTCCCTATCATAGAGCAGGTTGGAATCACTCCTTTTGTAGTATCTGGAAGTGGACATTTGGAGCGCTTTCAGGCCTATGTTGAAAAAGGAAATATCTTCCCATAACAACTAGACACAAGCATTCTCAGAAACTTGTTTGTGATGTGTGCCCTCTACTGACAGAGTTGAACCTTTCTTTTCATAGAGCAGTTTTGAAACACTCTTTTTGTAGAATCTGCAAGAGGATATTTGCATAGATTTGAGGATTTCGTGGGAAACGGGATTGTCTTCAGGTAAAATCTAGACAGAAGCATTCTCAGAAACTTCTTTGGGATGTTTGCATTCAAGTCACAGAGTAGAACATTCCCTTTGGTAGAGCAGGTTTGAAACACTCTTTTTGTAGTATCTGGAAGTGGACATTTGGAGCGCTTTCAGGCCTATGTTGGAAAGGGAAATATCTTCCGGTAACAACTAGGCAGAAGCATTCTCAGAAACTTATTTGAGATGTGTGTACTCAACTAAGAGAATTGAACCACCGTTTTGAAGGAGCAGTTTTGAAACACTCTTTTTCTGGAATCTGCAAGAGGATATTTGCCTAGCTTTGAGGATTTCGTTGGAAACGGGATTGTGTTCAGATCAAATCTAGACAGAAGCATTCTCAGAAACTTCTTTGGGATGTTTGCATTCAAGTCACAGAGTAGAACATTCCCTTTGGTAGAGCAGGTGTGAAACACTCTTTTTTTAGTATATGGAAGTGGACATTTGGAGCGCTTTCAGGCCTACGTTGGAAAACGAAATATCTTCCCATAACAACTAGACAGAAGCATTCTCAGAAACTAGTTTCTGATGTGTGTCCTCAACTAACACAGTTGAACATTTCTTTAGACAGAACAGTTTTGAAACTCTCTTTTTGTGGAATCTGCAAGTGGCTATTTGGCTAGATTTGAGGATTTCGTTGGAAACGGGATTACATATAAAAAGCAGACAGCAGCATTCTCAGAAAGTTCTTTGTGATGATTGCATTCAAGTCACAGAATTGAACATTCCCTTTCACAGAGCAGGTTTGAAACACTCTTTTTGTAGTGTGTGTAAGTGGACATTTGGAGCACTTTCCGGCCTAAGGTGAGAAAGGAAATATCTTCCCATAAAAACTAGACAGAAGCATTCTCAGAAACTTACTCGTGATGTGTGTCCTCAACTAAAGGAGTAGAACCTTTCTTTTCATAGAGAAGTTTTGAAACGCTCTTTTTGTGGAATCTGCAAGTGGATATTTGGCTTGTTTGGAGGATTTCGTTGGAAGCGGGAATTCATACAAATTGCAGACTGCAGCGTTCTGAGAAACATCTTTGTGATGTTTGTATTCAGGACACAGAGTTGAACATTCCCTATCATAGAGCAGGTTGGAATCACTCCTTTTGTAGTATCTGGAAGTGGACATTTGGAGCGCTTTCAGGCCTACGTTGGAAAAGGAAATATCTTCCCATAACAACTAGACAGAAGCATTCTCAGAAACTAGTTTCTGATGTGTGTCCTCAACTAACACAGTTGAACATTTCTGTAGACAGAACAGTTTTGAAACACTCTTTTTGTGGAATCTGCAAGTGGCTATTTGGCTAGATTTGAGGATTTCGTTGGAAACGGGATTACATATAAAAAGCAGACAGCAGCATTCTCAGAAAGTTCTTTGTGATGATTGCATTCAAGTCACAGAATTGAACATTCCCTTTCACAGAGCAGGTTTGAAAGACTCTTTTTGTAGTGTGTGTAAGTGGACATTTGGAGCACTTACCGGCCTAAGGTGAAAAAGGAAATATCTTCCCATAAAAACTAGACAGAAAGCATTCTCAGGAAACTTACTCGTGATGTGTGTCCTCAACTAAAGGAGTAGAACCTTTCTTTTCATAGAGAAGTTTTGAAACGCTCTTTTTGTGGAATCTGCAAGTGGATATTTGGCTAGTTTGGAGGATTTCGTTGGAAGCGGGAATTCATACAAATTGCAGACTGCAGCGTTCTGAGAAACATCTTTGTGATGTTTGTATTCAGGACACAGAGTTGAACATTCCCTATCATAGAGCAGGTTGGAATCACTCCTTTTGTAGTATCTGGAAGTGGACATTTGGAGCGCTTTCAGGCCTATGTTGGAAAAGGAAATATCTTCCCATAACAACTAGACAGAAGCATTCTCAGAAACTTATTTGAGATGTGTGTACTCAACTAAGAGAATTGAACCACCGTTTTGAAGGAGCAGTTTTGAAACACTCTTTTTCTGGAATCTGCAAGTGGATATTTGGCTAGCTTTGGGGATTTCGCTGGAAGCGGGAATACATATAAAAAGCACACAGCAGCGTTCTGAGAAACTGCTTTCTGATGTTTGCATTCAAGTCAAAAGTTGAACACTCCCTTTCATAGAGCAGTCCTGAAACACTCCTTTTGTAGTATCTGGAACTGGACTTTTGGAGCGCTTTCAGGGCTAAGGTGAAAAAGGAAATATCTTCCCATAAAAACTGGACAGAAGCATTCTCAGAAACTTGTTTATGCTGTATCTACTCTACTAAAAAAGTTGAACCTTTCTTTTGATAGAGCAGTTTTGAAATGCTCTTTTTGTGGAATCTGCACGTGGATATTTGGCTAGATTTGAGGATTTCGTTGGAAGCTGGAATACATACAAATTGCAGACTGCAGCGTTCTGAGAAACATCTTTGTGATGTTTGTATTCAGGACACAGAGTTGAACATTCCCTATCATAGAGCAGGTTTGAATCACTCCTTTTGTAGTATCTGGAAGTGGACATTTGGAGCGCTTTCAGGCCTATGTTGGAAAAGGAAATATCTTCCCATAACAACTAGACAGAAGCATTCTCAGAAACTTATTTGAGATGTGTGTACTCAACTAAGAGAATTGAACCACCGTTTTGAAGGAGCAGTTTTGAAACACTCTTTTTCTGGAATCTGCAAGTGGATATTTGGCTAGCTTTGGGGATTTCGCTGGAAGCGGGAATACATATAAAAAGCACACAGCAGCGTTCTGAGAAACTGCTTTCTGATGTTTGCATTCAAGTCAAAAGTTGAACACTCCCTTTCATAGAGCAGTCTTGAAACACCCCTTTTGTAGTATCTGGAACTGGACTTTTGGAGCGCTTTCAGGGCTAAGGTGAAAAAGGAAATATCTTCCCATAAAAACTGGACAGAAGCATTCTCAGAAACTTGTTTATGCTGTATCTACTCAACTAACAAAGTTGAACCTTTCTTTTGATAGAGCAGTTTTGAAATGCTCTTTTTGTGGAATCTGCAAGTGGATATTTGGCTAGTTTTGAGGATTTCTTTGGAAGCGGGAATTCATACAAATTGCAGACTGCAGCGTTCTGAGAAACATCTTTGTGATGTTTGTATTCAGGACAGAGAGTTGAACATTCCCTATCATAGAGCAGGTTGGAATCACTCCTTTTGTAGTATCTGGAAGTGGACATTTGGAGCGCTTTCAGGCCTATGTTGAAAAAGGAAATATCTTCCCATAACAACTAGACACAAGCATTCTCAGAAACTTGTTTGTGATGTGTGCCCTCTACTGACAGAGTTGAACCTTTCTTTTCATAGAGCAGTTTTGAAACACTCTTTTTGTAGAATCTGCAAGAGGATATTTGCATAGCTTTGAGGATTTCGTGGGAAACGGGATTGTCTTCAGGTAAAATCTAGACAGAAGCATTCTCAGAAACTTCTTTGGGATGTTTGCATTCAAGTCACAGAGTAGAACATTCCCTTTGGTAGAGTAGGTTTGAAACACTCTTTTTGTAGTATCTGGAAGTGGACATTTGGAGCGCTTTCAGGCCTATGTTGGAAAGGGAAATATCTTCCCGTAACAACTAGGCAGAAGCATTCTCAGAAACTTATTTGAGATGTGTGTACTCAACTAAGAGAATTGAACCACCGTTTTGAAGGAGCAGTTTTGAAACACTCTTTTTCTGGAATCTGCAAGAGGATATTTGCCTAGCCTTGAGGATTTCGTTGGAAACGGGATTGTCTTCAGATCAAATCTAGACAGAAGCATTCTCAGAAACTTCTTTGGGATGTTTGCATTCAAGTCAGAGAGTAGAACATTCCCTTTGGTAGAGCAGGTTTGAAACACTCTTTTTTTGGTATATGGAAGTGGACATTTGGAGCGCATTCAGGCCTACGATGGAAAAGGAAATATCTTCCCATAACAACTAGACAGAAGCATTCTCAGAAACTAGTTTCTGATGTGTGTCCTCAACTAACACAGTTGCACATTTCTTTAGACAGAACAGTTTTGAAACACTCTTTTTGTGGAATCTGCAAGTGGCTATTTGGCTAGATTTGAGGATTTCGTTGGAAACGGGATTACATATAAAAAGCAGTCAGCAGCATTCTCAGAAAGTTCTTTGTGATGATTGCATTCAAGTCACAGAATTGAACATTCCCTTTCACAGAGCAGGTTTGAAATACTCTTTTTTAGTGTGTGTAATTGGACATTTGGAGCACTTTCCGGCCTAAGGTGAAAAAGGAAATATCTTCCCATAAAAACTAGACAGAAGCATTCTCAGAAACTTACTCGTGATGTGTGTCCTCCACTAAATGAGTAGAACCTTTCTTTTCATAGAGAAGTTTTGAAACGCTTTTTGTAGAATCTGCAAGAGGATATTTGCATAGCTTTGAGGATTTCGTGGGAAACGGGATTGTCTTCAGGTAAAATCTAGACAGAAGCATTCTCAGAAACTTCTTTGGGATGTTTGCATTCAAGTCACAGAGTAGAACGTTCCCTTTGGTAGAGCAGGTTTGAAACACTCTTTTTGTATTATCTGGAAGTGGACATTTGGAGCGCTTTCAGGCCTATGTTGGAAAGGGAAATATCTTCCCGTAACAACTAGGCAGAAGCATTCTCAGAAACTTATTTGAGATGTGTGTACTCAACTAAGAGAATTGAATCACCGTTTTGAAGGAGCAGTTTTGAAACACTCTTTTTCTGGAATCTGCAAGAGGATATTTGCCTAGCCTTGAGGATTTCATTGGAAACGGGATTGTCTTCAGATCAAATCTAGACAGAAGCATTCTCAGAAACTTCTTTGGGATGTTTTCATTCAAGTCACAGAGTAGAACATTCCCTTTGGTAGAGCAGGTTTGAAACACTCTTTTTTTAGTATATGGAAGTGGACATTTGGAGCGCTTTCAGGCCTACGTTGGAAAAGGAAATATCTTCCCATAACAACTAGACAGAAGCATTCTCAGAAACTAGTTTCTGATATGTGTCCTCAACTAACACAGTTGAACTTTTCTTTAGACAGAACAGTTTTGAAACACTCTTTTTGTGGAATCTGCAAGTGGATATTGGGCTAGATTTGAGGATTTCGTTGGAAACGGGATTACATATAAAAAACAGTCAGCAGCATTCTCAGAAAGTTCTTTGTGATGATGGCATTCAAGTCACAGAATTGAACATTCCCTTTCACAGAGCAGGTTTGAAACACTCTTTTTGTAGTGTGTGTAAGTGGACATTTGGAGCGCTTTCCGGCCTAAGGTGAAAAAGGACATATCTTCCCATAAAAACTAGACAGAAGCATTCTCAGAAACTTACTCGTGATGTGTGTCCTCAACTAAAGGAGTAGAACCTTTCTTTTCATAGAGAAGTTTTGAAACGCTCTTTTTGTGGAATCTGCAAGTGGATATTTGGCTAGTTTTGAGGATTTCGTTGGAAGCGGGAATTCATACAAATTGCAGACTGCAGCGTTCTGAGAAACATCTTTGTGATGTTTGTATTCAGGACACAGAGTTGAACATTCCCTATCATAGAGCAGGTTGGAATCACTCCTTTTGTAGTATCTGGAAGTGGACATTTGGAGCGCTTTCAGGCCTATGTTGGAAAAGGAAATATCTTCCCATAACAACTAGACAGAAGCATTCTCAGAAACTTATTTGAGATGTGTGTACTCAACTAAGAGAATTGAACCACCGTTTTGAAGGAGCAGTTTTGAAACTCTCTTTTTCTGGAATCTGCAAGTGGATATTTGGCTAGCTTTGGGGATTTCGCTGGAAGCGGGAATACATATAAAAAGCACACAGCAGCGTTCTGAGAAACTGCTTTCTGATGTTTGCATTCAAGTCAAAAGTTGAACACTCCCTTTCATAGAGCAGTCTTGAAACACCCGTTTTGTAGTATCTGGAACTGGACTTTTGGAGCGATTTCAGGGCTAAGGTGAAAAAGGAAATATCTTCCCATAAAAACTGGACAGAAGCATTCTCAGAAACTTGTTTATGCTGTATCTACTCAACTAACAAAGTTGAACCTTTCTTTTGATAGAGCAGTTTTGAAATGGTCTTTTTGTGGAATCTGCAAGTGGATATTTGGCTAGTTTTGAGGATTTCGTTGGAAGCGGGAATTCATACAAATTGCAGACTGCAGCGTTCTGAGAAACATCTTTGTGATGTTTGTATTCAGGACACAGAGTTGAACATTCCCTATCATAGAGCAGGTTGGAATCACTCCTTTTGTAGTATCTGGAAGTGGACATTTGGAGCGCTTTCAGGCCTATTTTGGAAAGGGAAATATCTTCCCGTAACAACTATGCAGAAGCATTCTCAGAAACTTGTTTGTGATGTGTGCCCTCTACTGACAGAGTTGAACCTTTCTTTTCATAGAGCAGTTTTGAAACACTCTTTTTGTAGAATCTGCAAGAGGATATTTGCATAGCTTTGAGGATTTCGTGGGAAACGGGATTGTCTTCAGGTAAAATCTAGACAGAAGCATTCTCAGAAACATCTTTGGGATGATTGCATTCAAGTCACAGAGTAGAACATTCCCTTTGGCAGAGCAGGTTTGAAACACTCTTTTTGTTGTATCTGGAAGTGGACATTTGGAGCGCTTTCAGGCCCATGTTGGAAAGGGAAATATCTTCCCGTAATAACTAGGCAGAAGCATTCTCAGAAACTTATTTGAGATGTGTGTACTCAACTAAGAGAATTGAACCACCGTTTTGAAGGAGCAGTTTTGAAACACTCTTTTTCTGGAATCTGCAAGAGTATATTTGCCTAGCCTTGAGGATTTCGTTGGAAACGGGATTGTCTTCAGATCAAATCTAGACAGAAGCATTCTCAGAAACTTCTTTGGGATGTTTGCATTCAAGTCACAGAGTAGAACATTCCCTTTGGTAGAGCAGGTTTGAAACACTCTTTTTTTAGTATATGGAAGTGGACATTTGGAGCGCTTTCAGGCCTACGTTGGAAAAGGAAATATCTTCCCATAACAACTAGACAGAAGCATTCTCAGAAACTAGTTTCTGATATGTGTCCTCAACTAACACAGTTGAACTTTTCTTTAGACAGAACAGTTTTGAAACACTCTTTTTGTGGAATCTGCAAGTGGATATTGGGCAAGATTTGAGGATTTCGTTGGAAACGGGATTACATATAAAAAACAGTCAGCAGCATTCTCAGAAAGTTCTTTGTGATGATTGCATTCAAGTCACAGAATTGAACATTCCCTTTCACAGAGCAGGTTTGAAACACTCTTTTTGTAGTGTGTGTAAGTGGACATTTGGAGCGCTTTCCGGCCTAAGGTGAAAAAGGACATATCTTCCCATAAAAACTAGAGAGAAGCATTCTCAGAAACTTACTCGTGATGTGTGTCCTCAACTAAAGGAGTAGAACCTTTCTATTCATAGAGAAGTTTTGAAACGCTCTTTTTGTGGAATCTCCAAGTGGATATTTGGCTAGTTTTGAGGATTTCGTTGGAAGCGGGAATTCATACAAATTGCAGACTGCAGCGTTCTGAGAAACATCTTTGTGATGTTTGTATTCAAGACACAGAGATGAACATTCCCTACCATAGAGCATGTTGGAATCACTCCTTTTGTAGTATCTGGAAGTGGACATTTGGAGCGCTTTCAGGCCTATGTTGAAAAAGGAAATATCTTCCCATAACAACTAGACACAAGCATTCTCAGAAACTTGTTTGTGATGTGTGCCCTCTACTGACAGAGTTGAACCTTTCTTTTCATAGAGCAGTTTTGAAACACTCTTTTTGTAGAATCCGCAAGAGGATATTTGCATAACTTTGAGGATTTCGTGGGAAACGGGATTGTCTTCAGGTAAAATCTAGACAGAAGCATTCTCAGAAACTTCTTTGGGATGTTTGCATTCAAGTCACAGAGTAGAACATTCCCTTTGGTAGAGCAGGTTTGAAACACTCTTTTTGTAGTATCTGGAAGTGGACATTTGGAGCGCTTTCAGGCCCATGTTGGAAAGGGAAATATCTTCCCGTAACAACTAGGCAGAAGCATTCTCAGAAACTTATTTGAGATGTGTGTACTCAACTAAGAGAATTGAACCACCGTTTTGAAGGAGCAGTTTTGAAACACTCTTTTTCTGGAATCTGCAAGAGTATATTTGCCTAGCCTTGAGGATTTCGTTGGAAACGGGATTGTCTTCAGATAAAATCTAGACAGAAGCATTCTCAGAAACTTCTTTGGGATGTTTGCATTCAAGTCACAGAGTAGAACATTCCCTTTGGTAGAGCAGGTTTGAAACACTCTTTTTTTAGTATATGGAAGTGGACATTTGGAGCACTTTCAGGCCTACGTTGGAAAAGGAAATATCTTCCCATAACAACTAGACAGAGAGCATTCTCAGAAACTAGTTTGTGATGTGTGTCCTCAACTAACACAGTTGTACATTTCTTTATACAGAACAGTTTTGAAACACTCTTTTTGTGGAATCTGCAAGTGGATATTGGGCTAGATTTGAGGATTTCGTTGGAAACGGGATTACATATAAAAAGCAGACAGCAGCATTCTCAGAAAGTTCTTTGTGATGATTGCATTCAAGTCACAGAATTGAACATTCCCTTTCACAGAGCAGGTTTGAAACACTCTTTTTGTAGTGTGTGTAAGTGGACATTTGGAGCGCTTTCCGGCCTAAGGTGAAAAAGGAAATATCTTCCCATAAAAACTAGACAGAAGCATTCTCAGAAACTTACTCGTGATGTGTGTCCTCAACTAAAGGAGTAGAACCTTTCTATTCATAGAGAAGTTTTGAAACGCTCTTTTTGTGGAATCTCCAAGTGGATATTTGGCTAGTTTTGAGGATTTCGTTGGAAGCGGGAATTCATACAAATTGCAGACTGCAGCGTTCTGAGAAACATCTTTGTGATGTTTGTATTCAGGACACAGAGATGAACATTCCCTATCATAGAGCAGGTTGGAATCACTCCTTTTGTAGTATCTGGAAGTGGACATTTGGAGCGCTTTCAGGCCTATGTTGAAAAAGGAAATATCTTCCCATAACAACTAGACACAAGCATTCTCAGAAACTTGTTTGTGATGTGTGCCCTCTACTGACAGAGTTGAACCTTTCTTTTCATAGAGCAGTTTTGAAACACTCTTTTTGTAGAATCTGCAAGAGGATATTTGCATAGCTTTGAGGATTTCGTGGGAAACGGGATTGTCTTCAGGTAAAATCTAGACAGAAGCATTCTCAGAAACTTCTTTGGGATGTTTGCATTCAAGTCACAGAGTAGAACATTCCCTTTGGTAGAGCAGGTTTGAAACCCTCTTTTTGTAGTATCTGGAAGTGGACATTTGGAGCGCTTTCAGGCCCATGTTGGAAAGGGAAATATCTTCCCGTAACAACTAGGCAGAAGCATTCTCAGAAACTTATTTGAGATGTGTGTACTCAACTGAGAGAACTGAACCACCGTTTTGAAGGAGCAGTTTTGAAACACTCTTTTTCTGGAATCTGCAAGAGTATATTTGCCTAGCCTTGAAGATTTCGTTGGAAACGGGATTGTCTTCAGATAAAATCTAGACAGAAGCATTCTCAGAAACTTCTTTGGGATGTTTGCATTCAAGTCACAGAGTAGAACATTCCCTTTGGTAGAGCAGGTTTGCAACACTCTTTTTTTCGTATATGGAAGTGGACATTTGGAGCGCTTTCAGGCCTACTTTGGAAAAGGAAATATCTTCCCATAACAACTAGACAGAAGCATTCTCAGAAACTAGTTTCTGATGTGTGTCCTCAACTAACACAGTTTGAACATTTCTTTAGACAGAACAGTTTTGAAACTCTCTTTTTGTGGAATCTGCAAGTGGCTATTTGGCTAGATTTGAGGATTTCGTTGGAAACGGGATTACATATAAAAAGCAGACAGCAGCATTCTCAGAAAGTTCTTTGTGATGATTGCATTCAAGTCACAGAATTGAACATTCCCTTTCACAGAGCAGGTTTGAAACACTCTTTTTGTAGTGTGTGTAAGTGGACATTTGGAGCACTTTACCGGCCTAAGGTGAAAAAGGAAATATCTTCCCATAAAAACTAGACAGAAGCATTCTCAGAAACTTACTCGTGATGTGTGTCCTCAACTAAAGGAGTAGAACCTTTCTATTCATAGAGAAGTTTTGAAACGCTCTTTTTGTGGAATCTCCAAGTGGATATTTGGCTAGTTTTGAGGATTTCTTTGGAAGCGGGAATTCATACAAATTGCAGACTGCAGCGTTCTGAGAAACATCTTTGTGATGTTTGTATTCAGGACACAGAGATGAACATTCCCTATCATAGAGCATGTTGGAATCACTCCTTTTGTAGCATCTGGAAGTGGACATTTGGAGCGCTTTCAGGCCTATGTTGAAAAAGGAAATATCTTCCCATAAAAACTAGACACAAGCATTCTCAGAAACTTGTTTGTGATGTGTGCCCTCTACTGACAGAGTTGAACCTTTCTTTTCATAGAGCAGTTTTGAAACACTCTTTTTGTAGAATCCGCAAGAGGATATTTGCATAGCTTTGAGGATTTCGTGGGAAACGGGATTGTCTTCAGGTAAAATCTAGACAGAAGCATTCTCAGAAACTTCTTTGGGATGTTTGCATTCAAGTCACAGAGTAGAACATTCCCTTTGGTAGAGCAGGTTTGAAACACTCTTTTTGTAGTATCTGGAAGTGGACATTTGGAGCGCTTTCAGGCCCATGTTGGAAAGGGAAATATCTTCCCGTAACAACTAGGCAGAAGCATTCTCAGAAACTTATTTGAGATGTGTGTACTCAACTAAGAGAATTGAACCACCGTTTTGAAGGAGCAGTTTTGAAACACTCTTTTTCTGGAATCTGCAAGAGTATATTTGCCTAGCCTTGAGGATTTCGTTGGAAACGGGATTGTCTTCAGATAAAATCTAGACAGAAGCATTCTCAGAAACTTCTTTGGGATGTTTGCATTCAAGTCACAGAGTAGAACATTCCCTTTGGTAGAGCAGGTTTGAAACACTCTTTTTTTAGTATATGGAAGTGGACATTTGGAGCGCTTTCAGGCCTACGTTGGAAAAGGAAATATCTTCCCATAACAACTAAACAGAAGCCTTCTCAGAAACTAGTTTCTGACGTGTGTCCTCAACTAACAGAGTTGAACCTTTCTTTTGACAGACCAGTTTTGAAACACTCTTTTTGAGGAATCTGCAAGTGGATATTTGGCTAGATTTGAGGATTTCGTTGGACACGGGATTACGAATAAAAAGCAGACAGCAGCATTCTCAGAAAGTTCTTTGTGATGATTGCATTCAAGTCACAGAATTGAACATTCCCTTTCACAGAGCAGGTTTGAAACACTCTTTTTGTAGTGTGTGTAAGTGGACATTTGGAGCGCTTTCCGGCCTAAGGTGAAAAAGGAAATATCTTCCCATAAAAACTAGACTAGAAGCATTCTCAGAAACTTACTCGTGATGTGTGTCCTCAACTAAAGGAGTAGAACCTTTCTTTTCATAGAGAAGTTTTGAAACGCTCTTTTTGTGGAATCTGCAAGTGGATATTTGGCTAGTTTTGAGGATTTCGTTGGAAGCAGGAATTCATACAAATTGCAGACTGCAGCGTTCTGAGAAACATCTTTGTGATGTTTGTATTCAGGACACAGAGTTGAACATTCCCTATCATAGAGCAGGTTTGAATCACTCCTTTTGTAGTATCTGGAAGTGGACATTTGGAGCGCTTTCAGGCCTATGTTGGAAAAGGAAATATCTTCCCATAACAACTAGACAGAAGCATTCCCAGAAACTTATTTGAGATGTGTGTACTCAACTAAGAGAATTGAACCACCGTTTTGAAGGAGCAGTTTGGAAACACTCTTTTTCTGGAATCTGCAAGTGGATATTTGGCTAGCTTTGGGGATTTCGCTGGAAGCGGGAATACATATAAAAAGCACACAGCAGCGTTCTGAGAAACTGCTTTCTGATGTTTGCATTCAAGTCAAAAGTTGAACACTCCCTTTCATAGAGCAGTCTTGAAACACCCCTTTTGTAGTATCTGGAACTGGACATTTGGAGCGCTTTCAGGGCTAAGGTGAAAAAGGAAATATCTTCCCATAAAAACTGGACAGAAGCATTCTCAGAAACTTGTTTATGCTGTATCTGCTCAACTAACAAAGTTGAACCTTTCTTTTGATAGAGCAGTTTTGAAATGCTCTTTTTGTGGAATCTGCAAGTGGATATTTGGCTAGTTTTGAGGATTTCGTTGGAAGCGGGAATTCATACAAATTGCAGACTGCAGCGTTCTGAGAAACATCTTTGTGATGTTTGTATTCAGGACACAGAGTTGAACATTCCCTATCATAGAGCAGGTTGGGATCACTCCTTTTGTAGTATCTGGAAGTGGACATTTGGAGCGCTTTCAGGCCTATGTTGAAAAAGGAAAAATCTTCCCATAACAACTAGACAGAAGCATTCTCAGAAACTTGTTGGTGATGTGTTTCCTCTACTGACAGAGTTGAACCTTTCTTTTCATAGAGCAGTTTCGAAACACTCTTTTTGTAGAATCTGCAAGAGGATATTTGCATAGCTCTGAGGATTTCGTGGGAAACGGGATTGTCTTCAGGTAAAATCTAGACAGAAGCATTCTCAGAAACTTCTTCGGGATGTTTGCATTCAAGTCACAGAGTAGAACATTCCCTTCGGTAGAGCAGGTTTGAAACACTCTTTTTGTCGTATCTGGAAGTGGACATTTGTTGCGCTTTCAAGCCTATGTTGGAAAGGGAAATATCTTCCCGTAACAACTAGGCAGAAGCATTCTCAGAAACTTATTTGAGATGTGTGTACTCAACTAAGAGAATTGAACCACCGTTTTGAAGGAGCAGTTTGGAAACACTCTTTTTCTGGAATCTGCAAGAGGATATTTGCCTAGCTTTGAGGATTTCGTTGGAAAAGGGATTGTCTTCAGATCAAATCTAGACAGAAGCATTCTCAGAAACTTCTTTGGGATGTTTGCATTCAAGTCACAGAGTAGAACATTCCTTTGGTAGAGCAGGTTTGAAACACTCTTTTTTTAGTATATGGAAGTGGACATTTGGAGCGCTTTCAGGCCTACGTTGGAAAAGGAAATATCTTCCCATAACAACTAGACGGAAGCATTCTCAGAAACTAGTTTCTGATGTGTGTCCTCAACTAACACAGTTGAACATTTCTTTAGACAGAACAGTTTTGAAACACTCTTTTTGTGGAATCTGCAAGTGGATATTTGGCTAGATTTGAGGATTTCGTTGGAAACGGGATTACATATAAAAAGCAGACAGCAAGCATTCTCAGAAAGTTCTTTGTGATGATTTCATTCAAGTCACAGAATTGAACATTCCCTTTCACAGAGCAGGTTTGAAACACTCTTTTTGTAGTGTGTGTAAGTGGACATTTGGAGCACTTTCCGGCCTAAGGTGAAAAAGGAAATATCTTCCCATAAAAACTAGACAGAAGCATTCTCAGAAACTTACTCGTGATGTGTGTCCTCAACTAAAGGAGTAGAACCTTTCTTTTCATAGAGAAGTTTTGAAACGCTCTTTTTGTGGAATCTGCAAGTGGATATTTGGCTAGTTTTGAGGATTTCGTTGGAAGCGGGAATTCATACAAATTGCAGACTGCAGCGTTCTGAGAAACATCTTTGTGATGTTTGTATTCAGGACACAGAGTTGAACATTCCCTATCATAGAGCAGGTTTGAATCACTCCTTTTGTAGTATCTGGAAGTGGACATTTGGAGCGCTTTCAGGCCTATGTTGGAAAAGGAAATATCTTCCCATAACAACTAGACAGAAGCATTCTCAGAAACTTATTTGAGATGTGTGTACTCAACTAAGAGAATTGAACCACCGTTTTGAAGGAGCAGTTTTGAAACACTCTTTTTCTGGAATCTGCAAGTGGATATTTGGCTAGCTTTGGGGATTTCGCTGGAAGCGGGAATACATATAAAAAGCACACAGCAGCGTTCTGAGAAACTGCTTTCTGATGTTTGCATTCAAGTCAAAAGTTGAACACTCCCTTTCATAGAGCAGTCCTGAAACACTCCTTTTGTAGTATCTGGAACTGGACTTTTGGAGCGCTTTCAGGGCTAAGGTGAAAAAGGAAATATCTTCCCATAAAAACTGGACAGAAGCATTCTCAGAAACTTGTTTATGCTGTATCTACTCAACTAACAAAGTTGAACCTTTCTTTTGATAGAGCAGTTTTGAAATGCTCTTTTTGTGGAATCTGCAAGTGGATATTTGGCTAGTTTTGAGGATTTCGCTGGAAGCGGGAATTCATACAAATTGCAGACTGCAGCGTTCTGAGAAACATCTTTGTGATGTTTGTATTCAGGACACAGAGTTGAACATTCCCTATCATAGAGCAGGTTGGAATCACTCCTTTTGTAGTATCTGGAAGTGGACATTTGGAGCGCTTTCAGGCCTATGTTGAAAAAGGAAATATCTTCCCATAACAACTAGACACAAGCATTCTCAGAAACTTGTTTGTGATGTGTGCCCTCTACTGACAGAGTTGAACCTTTCTTTTCATAGAGCAGTTTTGAAACACTCTTTTTGTAGAATCTGCAAGAGGATATTTGCATAGCTTTGAGGATTTCGTGGGAAACGGGATTGTCTTCAGGTAAAATCTAGACAGAAGCATTCTCAGAAACTTCTTTGGGATGTTTGCATTCAAGTCACAGAGTAGAACATTCCCTTTGGTAGAGCAGGTTTGAAACACTCTTTTTGTAGTATCTGGAAGTGGACATTTGGAGCGCTTTCAGGCCCATGTTGGAAAGGGAAATATCTTCCCGTAACAACTAGGCAGAAGCATTCTCAGAAACTTATTTGAGATGTGTGTACTCAACTAAGAGAATTGAACCACCGTTTTGAAGGAGCAGTTTTGAAACACTCTTTTTCTGGAATCTGCAAGAGTATATTTGCCTAGCCTTGAGGATTTCGTTGGAAACGGGATTGTCTTCAGAGAAAATCTAGACAGAAGCATTCTCAGAAACTTCTTTGGGATGTTTGCATTCAAGTCACAGAGTAGAACATTCCCTTTGGTAGAGCAGGTTTGAAACACTCTTTTTTTAGTATATGGAAGTGGACATTTTGATCGCTTTCAGGCCTACGTTGGAAAAGGAAATATCTTCCCATAACAACTAGACAGAAGCATTCTCAGAAACTAGTTTCTGATGTGTGTCCTCAACTAACACAGTTGAACATTTCTTTAGACAGAACAGTTTTGAAACACTCTTTTTGTGGAATCTGCAAGTGGCTATTTGGCTGGATTTGAGGATTTCGTTGGAAACGGGATTACATATAAAAAGCAGTCAGCAGCATTCTCAGAAAGTTCTTTGTGATGATTGCATTCAAGTCACAGAATTGAACATTCCCTTTCACAGAGCAGGTTTGAAACACTCTTTTTGTAGTGTGTGTAAGTGGACATTTGGAGCACTTACCGGCCTAAGGTGAAAAAGGAAATATCTTCCCATAAAAACTAGACAGAAGCATTCTCAGAAACTTACTCGTGATGTGTGTCCTCAACTAAAGGAGTAGAACCTTTCTTTTCATAGAGAAGTTTTGAAACGCTCTTTTTGTGGAATCTGCAAGTGGATATTTGGCTAGTTTTGAGGATTTCGTTGGAAGCGGGAATTCATACAAATTGCAGACTGCAGCGTTCTGAGAAACATCTTTGTGATGTTTGTATTCAGGACACAGAGTTGAACGTTCCCTATCATAGAGCAGGTTTGAATCACTCCTTTTGTAGTATCTGGAAGTGGACATTTGGAGCGCTTTCCGGCCTCAGGTGAAAAAGGAAATATCTTCCCATAAAAACTAGACAGAAGCATTCTCAGAAACTTATTTGAGATGTGTGTACTCAACTAAGAGAATTGAACCACCGTTTTGAAGGAGCAGTTTTGAAACACTCTTTTTCTGGAATCTGCAAGTGGATATTTGGCTAGCTTTGGGGATTTCGCTGGAAGCGGGAATACATATAAAAAGCACACAGCAGCGTTCTGAGAAACTGCTTTCTGATGTTTGCATTCAAGTCAAAAGTTGAACATTCCCTTTCATAGAGCAGTCTTGAAACACCCCTTTTGTAGTATCTGGAACTGGACTTTTGGAGCGCTTTCAGGGCTAAGGTGAAAAAGGAAATATCTTCCCATAAAAACTGGACAGAAGCATTCTCAGAAACTTGTTTATGCTGTATCTACTCAACTAACAAAGTTGAACCTTTCTTTTGATAGAGCAGTTTTGAAATGCTCTTTTTGTGGAATCTGCAAGTGGATATTTGGCTAGTTTTGAGGATTTCGTTGGAAGCGGGAATTCATACAAATTGCAGACTGCAGCGTTCTGAGAAACATCTTTGTGATGTTTGTATTCAGGACAGAGAGTTGAACATTCCCTATCATAGAGCAGGTTGGAATCACTCCTTTTGTAGTATCTGGAAGTGGACATTTGGAGCGCTTTCAGGCCTATGTTGAAAAAGGAAATATCTTCCCATAACAACTAGACACAAGCATTCTCAGAAACTTGTTTGTGATGTGTGCCCTCTACTGACAGAGTTGAACCTTTCTTTTCATAGAGCAGTTTTGAAACACTCTTTTTGTAGAATCTGCAAGAGGATATTTGCATAGCTTTGAGGATTTCGTGGGAAACGGGATTGTCTTCAGGTAAAATCTAGACAGAAGCATTCTCAGAAACTTCTTTGGGATGTTTGCATTCAAGTCACAGAGCAGAACATTCCCTTTGGTAGAGCAGGTTTGAAACACTCTTTTTGTAGTATCTGGAAGTGGACATTTGGAGCGCTTTCAGGCCTATGTTGGAAAGGGAAATATCTTCCCGTAACAACTAGGCAGAAGCATTCTCAGAAACTTATTTGAGATGTGTGTACTCAACTAAGAGAATTGAACCACCGTTTTGAAGGAGCAGTTTTGAAACACTCTTTTTCTGGAATCTGCAAGAGGATATTTGCCTAGCCTTGAGGATTTCGTTGGAAACGGGATTGTCTTCAGATCAAATCTAGACAGAAGCATTCTCAGAAACTTCTTTGGGATGTTTGCATTCAAGTCACAGAGTAGAACATTCCCTTTGGTAGAGCAGGTTTGAAACACTCTTTTTTTAGTATATGGAAGTGGACATTTGGAGCGCTTTCAGGCCTACGTTGGAAAAGGAAATATCTTCCCATAACAACTAGACAGAAGCATTCTCAGAAACTAGTTTCTGATGTGTGTCCTCAACTAACACAGTTGAACATTTCTTTAGACAGAACAGTTTTGAAACACTCTTTTTGTGGAATCTGCAAGTGGCTATTTGGCTAGATTTGAGGATTTCGTTGGAAACGGGATTACATATAAAAAGCAGACAGCAGCATTCTCAGAAAGTTCTTTGTGATGATTGCATTCAAGTCACAGAATTGAACATTCCCTTTCACAGAGCAGGTTTGAAAGACTCTTTTTGTAGTGTGTGTAAGTGGACATTTGGAGCACTTACCGGCCTAAGGTGAAAAAGGAAATATCTTCCCATAAAAACTAGACAGAAGCATTCTCAGAAACTTACTCGTGATGTGTGTCCTCAACTAAAGGAGTAGAACCTTTCTTTTCATAGAGAAGTTTTGAAACGCTCTTTTTGTGGAATCTGCAAGTGGATATTTGGCTAGTTTGGAGGATTTCGTTGGAAGCGGGAATTCATACAAATTGCAGACTGCAGCGTTCTGAGAAACATCTTTGTGATGTTTGTATTCAGGACACAGAGTTGAACATTCCCTATCATAGAACAGGTTTGAATCACTCCTTTTGTAGTATCTGGAAGTGGACATTTGGAGCGCTTTCAGGCCTATGTTGGAAAAGGAAATATCTTCCCATAACAACTAGACAGAAGCATTCTCAGAAACTTATTTGAGATGTGTGTACTCAACTAAGAGAATTGAACCACCGTTTTGAAGGAGCAGTTTTGAAACTCTCTTTTTCTGGAATCTGCAAGTGGATATTTGGCTAGCTTTGGGGATTTCGCTGGAAGCGGGAATACATATAAAAAGCACACAGCAGCGTTCTGAGAAACTGCTTTCTGATGTTTGCATTCAAGTCAAAAGTTGAACACTCCCTTTCATAGAGCAGTCCTGAAACACCCCTTTTGTAGTATCTGGAACTGGACTTTTGGAGCGATTTCAGGGCTAAGGTGAAAAAGGAAATATCTTCCCATAAAAACTGGACAGAAGCATTCTCAGAAACTTGTTTATGCTGTATCTACTCAACTAACAAAGTTGAACCTTTCTTTTGATAGAGCAGTTTTGAAATGGTCTTTTTGTGGAATCTGCAAGTGGATATTTGGCTAGTTTTGAGGATTTCGTTGGAAGCGGGAATTCATACAAATTGCAGACTGCAGCGTTCTGAGAAACATCTTTGTGATGTTTGTATTCAGGACACAGAGTTGAACATTCCCTATCATAGAGCAGGTTGAAATCACTCCTTTTGTAGTATCTGGAAGTGGACATTTGGAGCGCTTTCAGGCCTATTTTGGAAAGGGAAATATCTTCCCGTAACAACTATGCAGAAGCATTCTCAGAAACTTGTTTGTGATGTGTGCCCTCTACTGACAGAGTTGAACCTTTCTTTTCATAGAGCAGTTTTGAAACACTCTTTTTGTAGAATCTGCAAGAGGATATTTGCATAGCTTTGAGGATTTCGTGGGAAACGGGATTGTCTTCAGGTAAAATCTAGACAGAAGCATTCTCAGAAACTTCTTTGGGATGTTTGCATTCAAGTCACAGAGTAGAACATTCCCTTTGGTAGAGCAGGTTTGAAACACTCTTTTTGTAGTATCTGGAAGTGGACATTTGGAGCGCTTTCAGGCCCATGTTGGAAAGGGAAATATCTTCCCGTAACAACTAGGCAGAAGAATTCTCTGAAACTTTTTTGAGATGTGTGTACTCAACTAAGAGAATTGAACCACCGTTTTGAAGGAGCAGTTTTGAAACACTCTTTTTCTGGAATCTGCTAGAGGATATTTGCCTAGCTTTGAGGATTTCGTTGGAAACGGGATTGTCTTCAGATAAAATCTAGACAGAAGCATTCTCAGAAACTTCTTTGGGATGTTTGCATTCAAGTCACAGAGTAGAACATTCCCTTTGGTAGAGCAGGTTTGAAACACTCTTTTTTTAGTATATGGAAGTGGACATTTGGAGCGCTTTCAGGCCTACGTTGGAAAAGGAAATATCTTCCCATAACAACTAGACAGAAGCATTCTCAGAAACTAGTTTCTGATGTGTGTCCTCAACTAACACAGTTGTACATTTCTTTAGACAGAACAGTTTTGAAACACTCTGTTTGTGGAATCTGCAAGTGGATACTGGGCTAGATTTGAGGATTTCGTTGGAAACGGGATTACATATAAAAAGCAGTCAGCAGCATTCTCAGAAAGTTCTTTGTGATGATTGCATTCAAGTCACAGAATTGAACATTCCCTTTCACAGAGCAGGTTTGAAACACTCTTTTTGTAGTGTGTGTAAGTGGACATTTGGAGCGCTTTCCGGCCTAAGGTGAAAAAGGACATATCTTCCCATAAAAACTAGACAGAAGCATTCTCAGAAACTTACTCGTGATGTGTGTCCTCAACTAAAGGAGTAGAACCTTTCTATTCATAGAGAAGTTTTGAAACGCTCTTTTTGTGGAATCTCCAAGTGGATATTTGGCTAGTTTTGAGGATTTCGTTGGAAGCGGGAATTCATACAAATTGCAGACTGCAGCGTTCTGAGAAACATCTTTGAGATGTTTGTATTCAAGACACAGAGATGAACATTCCCTATCATAGAGCATGTTGGAATCACTCCTTTTGTAGTATCTGGAAGTGGACATTTGGAGCGCTTTCAGGCCTATGTTGAAAAAGGAAATATCTTCCCATAACAACTAGACACAAGCATTCTCAGAAACTTGTTTGTGATGTGTGCCCTCTACTGACAGATTTGAACCTTTCTTTTCATAGAGCAGTTTTGAAACACTCTTTTATAGAATCCGCAAGAGGATATTTGCATAGCTTTGAGGATTTCGTGGGAAACGGGATTGTCTTCAGGTAAAATCTAGACAGAAGCATTCTCAGAAACTTCTTTGGGATGTTTGCATTCAAGTCACAGAGTAGAACATTCCCTTTGGTAGAGCAGGTTTGAAACACTCTTTTTGTAGTATCTGGAAGTGGACATTTGGAGCGCTTTCAGGCCTATGTTGGAAAGGGAAATATCTTCCCGTAACAACTAGGCAGAAGCATTCTCAGAAACTTATTTGAGATGTGTGTACTCAACTAAGAGAATTGAACCACCGTTTTGAAGGAGCAGTTTTGAAACACTCTTTTTCTGGAATCTGCAAGAGGATATTTGCCTAGCCTTGAGGATTTCGTTGGAAACGGGATTGTCTTCAGATCAAATCTAGACAGAAGCATTCTCAGAAACTTCTTTGGGATGTTTGCATTCATGTCACAGAGTAGAACATTCCCTTTGGTAGAGCAGGTTTGAAACACTCTTTTTTAAGTATATGGAAGTGGACATTTGGAGCGCTTTCAGGCCTACGTTGGAAAAGGAAATATCTTCCCATAACAACTAGACAGAAGCATTCTCAGAAACTAGTTTCTGATGTGTGTCCTCAACTAACACAGTTGAACATTTCTTTAGACAGAACAATTTTGAAACACTCTTTTTGTGGAATCTGCAAGTGGCTATTTGGCTAGATTTGAGGATTTCGTTGGAAATGGGATTACATATAAAAAGCAGACAGCAGCATTCTCAGAATCTTCTTTGTGATGATTGCATTCAAGTCACAGAATTGAACATTCCCTTTCACAGAGCAGGTTTGAAACACTCTTTTTGTAGTGTGTGTAAGTGGACATTTGGAGCGCTTTTCGGCCTAAGGTGAAAAAGGAAATATCTTCCCATAAAAACTAGACAGAAGCATTCTCAGAAACTTACTCGTGATGAGTGTCCTCAACTAAAGGAGTAGAACCTTTCTTTTCATAGAGAAGTTTTGAAACGCTCTTTTTGTGGAATCTGCAAGTGGGTATTTGGCTAGTTTTGAGGATTTCGTTGGAAGCGGGAATTCATACAAATTGCAGACTGCAGCGTTCTGAGAAACTGCTTTCTGATGTTTGCATTCAAGTCAAAAGTTGAACACTCCCTTTCATAGAGCAGTCTTGAAACACCCCTTTTGTAGTATCTGGAACTGGACTTTTGGAGCGATTTTAGGGCTAAGGTGAAAAAGGAAATATCTTCCCATAAAAACTGGACAGAAGCATTCTCAGAAACTTGTTTATGCTGTATCTACTCAACTAACAAAGTTGAACCTTTCTTTTGATAGAGCAGTTTTGAAATGGTCTTTTTGTGGAATCTGCAAGTGGATATTTGGCTAGTTTTGAGGATTTCGTTGGAAGCGGGAATTCATACAAATTGCAGACTGCAGCGTTCTGAGAAACATCTTTGTGATGTTTGTATTCAGGACACAGAGTTGAACATTCCCTATCATAGAGCAGGTTGGAATCACTCCTTTTGTAGTATCTGGAAGTGGACATTTGGAGCGCTTTCAGGCCTATTTTGGAAAGGGAAATATCTTCCCGTAACAACTATGCAGAAGCATTCTCAGAAACTTGTTTGTGATGTGTGCCCTCTACTGACAGAGTTGAACCTTTCTTTTCATAGAGCAGTTTTGAAACACTCTTTTTGTAGAATCTGCAAGAGGATATTTGCATAGCTTTGAGGATTTCGTGGGAAACGGGATTGTCTTCAGGTAAAATCTAGACAGAAGCATTCTCAGAAACTTCTTTGGGATGTTTGCATTCAAGTCACAGAGTAGAACATTCCCTTTGGTAGAGCAGGTTTGAAACACTCTTTTTGTAGTATCTGGAAGTGGACATTTGGAGCGCTTTCAGGCCCATGTTGGAAAGGGAAATATCTTCCCGTAACAACTAGGCAGAAGCATTCTCAGAAACTTATTTGAGATGTGTGTACTCAACTAAGAGAATTGAACCACCGTTTTGAAGGAGCAGTTTTGAAACACTCTTTTTCTGGAATCTGCAAGAGTATATTTGCCTAGCCTTGAGGATTTCGTTGGAAACGGGATTGTCTTCAGAGAAAATCTAGACAGAAGCATTCTCAGAAACTTCTTTGGGATGCTTGCATTCAAGTCACAGAGTAGAACATTCCCTTTGGTAGAGCAGGTTTGAAACACTCTTTTTTTAGTATCTGGAAGTGGACATTTGGAGCGCTTTCAGGCCTACGTTGGAAAAGGAAATATCTTCCCATAACAACTAGACAGAAGCATTCTCAGAAACTAGTTTCTGATGTGTGTCCTCAACTAACACAGTTGAACATTTCTTTAGACAGAACAGTTTTGAAACACTCTTTTTGTGGAATCTGCAAGTGGCTATTTGGCTAGATTTGAGGATTTCGTTGGAAACGGGATTACATATAAAAAGCAGTCAGCGGCATTCTCAGAAAGTTCTTTGTGATGATTGCATTCAAGTCACAGAATTGAACATTCCCTTTCACAGAGCAGGTTTGAAACACTCTTTTTGTAGTGTGTGTAAGTGGACATTTGGAGCACTTACCGGCCTAAGGTGAAAAAGGAAATAATCTTCCCATAAAAACTAGACAGAAGCATTCTCAGAAACTTACTCGTGATGTGTGTCCTCAACTAAAGGAGTAGAACCTTTCTTTTCATAGAGAAGTTTTGAAACGCTCTTTTTGTGGAATCTGCAAGTGGATATTTGGCTAGTTTTGAGGATTTCGTTGGAAGCGGGAATTCATACAAATTGCAGACTGCAGCGTTCTGAGAAACATCTTTGTGATGTTTGTATTCAGGACACAGAGTTGAATATTCCCTATCATAGAGCAGGTTTGAATCACTCCTTTTGTAGTATCTGGAAGTGGACATTTGGAGCGCTTTCCGGCCTCAGGTGAAAAAGGAAATATCTTCCCATAAAAACTAGACAGAAGCATTCTCAGAAACTTATTTGAGATGTGTGTACTCAACTAAGAGAATTGAACCACCGTTTTGAAGGAGCAGTTTTGAAACACTCTTTTTCTGGAATCTGCAAGTGGATATTTGGCTAGCTTTGGGGATTTCGCTGGAAGCGGGAATACATATTAAAAGCACACAGCAGCGTTCTGAGAAACTGCTTTCTGATGTTTGCATTCAAGTCAAAAGTTGAACACTCCCTTTCATAGAGCAGTCTTGAAACACCCCTTTTGTAGTATCTGGAACTGCACATTTGGAGCGCTTTCAGGGCTAAGGTGAAAAAGGAAATATCTTCCCATAAAAACTGGACAGAAGCATTCTCAGAAACTTGTTTATGCTGTAACTACTCAACTAACAAAGTTGAACCTTTCTTTTGATAGAGCAGTTTTGAAATGGTCTTTTTGTGGAATCTGCAAGTGGATATTTGGCTAGTTTTGAGGATTTCGTTGGAAGCGGGAATTCATACAAATTGCAGACTGCAGCGTTCTGAGAAACATCTTTGTGATGTTTGTATTCAGGACACAGAGTTGAACATTCCCTATCATAGAGCAGGTTGGAATCACTCCTTTTGTAGTATCTGGAAGTGGACATTTGGAGCGCTTTCAGGCCTATTTTGGAAAGGGAAATATGTTCCCGTAACAACTATGCAGAAGCATTCTCAGAAACTTGTTTGTGATGTGTGCCCTCTACTGACAGAGTTGAACCTTTCTTTTCATAGAGCAGTTTTGAAACACTCTTTTTGTAGAATCTGCAAGAGGATATTTGCATAGCTTTGAGGATTTCGTGGGAAACGGGATTGTCTTCAGGTAAAATCTAGACAGAAGCATTCTCAGAAACTTCTTTGGGATGTTTGCATTCAAGTCACAGAGTAGAACATTCCCTTTGGTAGAGCAGGTTTGAAACACTCTTTTTGTAGTATCTGGAAGTGGACATTTGGAGCGCTTGCAGGCCCATGATGGAAAGGGAAATATCTTCCCGTAACAACTAGGCAGAAGCATTCTCAGAAACTTATTTGAGATGTGTGTACTCAACTAAGAGAATTGAACCACCGTTTTGAAGGAGCAGTTTTGAAACACTCTTTTTCTGGAATCTGCAAGAGTATATTTGCCTAGCCTTGAGGATTTCGTTGGAAACGGGATTGTCTTCAGAGAAAATCTAGACAGAAGCATTCTCAGAAACTTCTTTGGGATGTTTGCATTCAAGTCACAGAGTAGAACATTCCCTTTGGTAGAGCAGGTTTGAAACACTCTTTTTTTAGTATATGGAAGTGGACATTTGGAGCGCTTTCAGGCCTACGTTGGAAAAGGAAATATCTTCCCATAACAACTAGACAGAAGCATTCTCAGAAACTAGTTTCTGATGTGTGTCCTCAACTAACACAGTTGAACATTTCTTTAGACAGAACAGTTTTGAAACACTCTTTTTGTGGAATCTGCAAGTGGCTATTTGGCTAGATATGAGGATTTCGTTGGAAACGGGATTACATATAAAAAGCAGTCAGCAGCATTCTCAGAAACTTCTTTGTGATGATTGCATTCAAGTCACAGAATTGAACATTCCCTTTCACAGAGCAGGTATGAAACACTCTTTTTCTAGTGTGTGTAAGTGGACATTTGGAGCGCTTTCCGGCCTAAGGTGAACAAGGAAATATCTTCCCATAAAAACTAGACTGAAGCATTCTCAGAAACTTACTCGTGATGTGTGTCCTCAACTAAAGGAGTAGAACCTTTCTTTTCATAGAGAAGTTTTGAAACGCTCTTTTTGTGGAATCTGCAAGTGGATATTTGGCTAGTTTGGAGGATTTCGTTGGAAGCGGGAATTCATACAAATTGCAGACTGCAGCGTTCTGAGAAACATCTTTGTGATGTTTGTATTCAGGACACAGAGTTGAACATTCCCTATCATAGAGCAGGTTGGAATCACTCCTTTTGTAGTATCTGGAAGTGGACATTTGGAGCGCTTTCAGGCCTATGTTGAAAAAGGAAATATCTTCCCATAACAACTAGACAGAAGCATTCTCAGAAACTTGTTTGTGATGTGTGCCCTCTACTGACACAGTTGAACCTTTCTTTTCATAGAGCACTTTCGAAACACTCTTTTTGTAGAATCTGCAAGAGGATATTTGCATAGCTTTGAGGATTTCGTGGGAAACGGGATTGTCTTCAGGTAAAATCTAGACAGAAGCATTCTCAGAAACTTCTTTGGGATGTTTGCATTCAAGTCACAGAGTAGAACATTCCCTTTGGTAGAGCAGGTTTGAAACACTCTTTTTGTAGTGTGTGTAAGTGGACATTTGGAGCGCTTTCAGGCCTACGTTGGAAAAGGAAATATCTTCCCATAACAACTAGACAGAAGCATTCTCAGAAACTAGTTTCTGATGTGTGTCCTCAACTAACACAGTTGAACATTTCTTTAGACAGAACAGTTTTGAAACACTCTTTTTGTGGAATCTGCAAGTGGATATTTGGCTAGATTTGAGGATTTCGTTGGAAACGGGATTACATATAAAAAGCAGACAGCAGCATTCTCAGAAACTTCTTTGTGATGATTGCATTCAAGTCACAGAATTGAACATTCCCTTTCACAGAGCAGGTTTGAAACACTCTTTTTGTAGTGTGTGTAAGTGGACATTTGGAGCGCTTTTCGGCCTAAGGTGAACAAGGAAATACCTTCCCATAAAAATTAGACAGAAGCATTCTCAGAAACTTACTCGTGATGTGTGTCCTCAACTAAAGGAGTAGAACCTTTCTTTTCATAGAGAAGTTTTGAAACGCTCTTTTTGTGGAATCTGCAAGTGGATATTTGGCTAGTTTGGAGGATTTCGTTGGAAGCGGGAATTCATACAAATTGCAGACTGCAGCGTTCTGAGAAACATCTTTGTGATGTTTGTATTCAGGACACAGAGTTGAACATTCCCTATCATAGAGCAGGTTGGAATCACTCCTTTTGTAGTATCTGGAAGTGGACATTTGGAGCGCTTTCAGGCCTATGTTGGAAAAGGAAATATCTTCCCATAACAACTAGACAGAAGCATTCTCAGAAACTTATTTGAGATGTGTGTACTCAACTAAGAGAATTGAACCACCGTTTTGAAGGAGCAGTTTTGAAACACTCTTTTTCTGGAATCTGCAAGTGGATATTTGGCTAGCTTTGGGGATTTCGCTGGAAGCGGGAATACATATAAAAAGCACACAGCAGCGTTCTGAGAAACTGCTTTCTGATGTTTGCATTCAAGTCAAAAGTTGAACACTCCCTTTCATAGAGCAGTCTTGAAACACCCCTTTTGTAGTATCTGGAACTGGACTTTTGGAGCGATTTCAGGGCTAAGGTGAAAAAGGAAATATCTTCCCATAAAAACTGGACAGAAGCATTCTCAGAAACTTGGTTATGCTGTATCTACTCAACTAACAAAGTTGAACCTTTCTTTTGATAGAGCAGTTTTGAAATGGTCTTTTTGTGGAATCTGCAAGTGGATATTTGGCTAGTTTTGAGGATTTCGTTGGAAGCGGGAATTCATACAAATTGCAGACTGCAGCGTTCTGAGAAACATCTTTGTGATGTTTGTATTCAGGACACAGAGTTGAACATTCCCTATCATAGAGCAGGTTGGAATCACTCCTTTTGTAGTATCTGGAAGTGGACATTTGGAGCGCTTTCAGGCCTATTTTGGAAAGGGAAATATCTTCCCGTAACAACTATGCAGAAGCATTCTCAGAAACTTGTTTGTGATGTGTGCCCTCTACTGACAGAGTTGAACCTTTCTTTTCATAGAGCAGTTTTGAAACACTCTTTTTGTAGAATCTGCAAGAGGATATTTGCATAGCTTTGAGGATTTCGTGGGAAACGGGATTGTCTTCAGGTAAAATCTAGACAGAAGCATTCTCAGAAACTTCTTTGGGATGTTTGCATTCAAGTCACAGAGTAGAACATTCCCTTTGGTAGAGCAGGTTTGAAACACTCTTTTTGTAGTATCTGGAAGTGGACATTTGGAGCGCTTTCAGGCCCATGTTGGAAAGGGAAATATCTTCCCGTAACAACTAGGCAGAAGCATTCTCAGAAACTTATTTGAGATGTGTGTACTCAACTAAGAGAATTGAACCACCGTTTTGAAGGAGCAGTTTTGAAACACTCTTTTTCTGGAATCTGCAAGAGTATATTTGCCTAGCCATGAGGATTTCGTTGGAAACGGGATTGTCTTCAGAGAAAATCTAGACAGAAGCATTCTCAGAAACTTCTTTGGGATGTTTGCATTCAAGTCACAGAGTAGAACATTCCCTTTGGTAGAGCAGGTTTGAAACACTCTTTTTTTAGTATATGGAAGTGGACATTTTGATCGCTTTCAGGCCTACGTTGGAAAAGGAAATATCTTCCCATAACAACTAGACAGAAGCATTCTCAGAAACTAGTTTCTGATGTGTGTCCTCAACTAACACAGTTGAACATTTCTATAGACAGAACAGTTTTGAAACACTCTTTTTGTGGAATCTGCAAGTGGCTATTTGGCTAGATTTGAGGATTTCGTTGGAAACGGGATTACATATAAAAAGCAGTCAGCAGCATTCTCAGAAAGTTCTTTGTGATGATTGCATTCAAGTCACAGAATTGAACATTCCCTTTCACAGAGCAGGTTTGAAACACTCTTTTTGTAGTGTGTGTAAGTGGACATTTGGAGCACTTTCCGGCCTAAGGTGAAAAAGGAAATATCTTCCCTTAAAAACTAGACAGATAAGCATTCTCAGCAAACTTACTCGTGATGTGTGTCCTCAACTAAAGGAGTAGAACCTTTCTTTTCATAGAGAAGTTTTGAAACGCTCTTTTTGTGGAATCTGCAAGTGGATATTTGGCTAGTTTTGAGGATTTCGTTGGAAGCGGGAATTCATACAAATTGCAGACTGCAGCGTTCTGAGAAACATCTTTGTGATGTTTGTATTCAGGACAGAGAGTTGAACATTCCCTATCATAGACCAGGTTGGAATCCCTCCTTTTGTAGTATCTGGAAGTGGACATTTGGAGCGATTTCAGGCCTATGTTGGAAAAGGAAATATCTTCCCATAACAACTAGACACAAGCATTCTCAGAAACTTATTTGAGATGTGTGTACTCAACTAAGAGAATTGAACCACCGTTTTGAAGGAGCAGTTTTGAAACTCTCTTTTTCTGGAATCTGCAAGTGGATATTTGGCTAGCTTTGGGGATTTCGCTGGAAGCGGGAATACATATAAAAAGCACACAGCAGCGTTCTGAGAAACTGCTTTCTGATGTTTGCATTCAAGTCAAAAGTTGAACACTCCCTTTCATAGAGCAGTCTTGAAACACCCCTTTTGTAGTATCTGGAACTGGACTTTTGGAGCGATTTCAGGGCTAAGGTGAAAAAGGAAATATCTTCCCATAAAAACTGGACAGAAGCATTCTCAGAAACTTGTTTATGCTGTATCTACTCAACTAACAAAGTTGAACCTTTCTTTTGATAGAGCAGTTTTGAAATGGTCTTTTTGTGGAATCTGCAAGTGGATATTTGGCTAGTTTTGAGGATTTCGTTGGAAGCGGGAATTCATACAAATTGCAGACTGCAGCGTTCTGAGAAACATCTTTGTGATGTTTGTATTCAGGACACAGAGTTGAACATTCCCTATCATAGAGCAGGTTGGAATCACTCCTTTTGTAGTATCTGGAAGTGGACATTTGGAGCGCTTTCAGGCCTATTTTGGAAAGGGAAATATCTTCCCGTAACAACTATGCAGAAGCATTCTCAGAAACTTGTTTGTGATGTGTGCCCTCTACTGACAGAGTTGAACCTTTCTTTTCATAGAGCAGTTTTGAAACACTCTTTTTGTAGAATCTGCAAGAGGATATTTGCATAGCTTTGAGGATTTCGTGGGAAACGGGATTGTCTTCAGGTAAAATCTAGACAGAAGCATTCTCAGAAACTTCTTTGGGATGTTTGCATTCAAGTCACAGAGTAGAACATTCCCTTTGGTAGAGCAGGTTTGAAACACTCTTTTTGTAGTATCTGGAAGTGGACATTTGGAGCGCTTTCAGGCCCATGTTGGAAAGGGAAATATCTTCCCGTAACAACTAGGCAGAAGCATTCTCAGAAACTTATTTGAGATGTGTGTACTCAACTAAGAGAATTGAACCACCGTTTTGAAGGAGCAGTTTTGAAACACTCTTTTTCTGGAATCTGCAAGAGTATATTTGCCTAGCCTTGAGGATTTCGTTGGAAACGGGATTGTCTTCAGAGAAAATCTAGACAGAAGCATTCTCAGAAACTTCTTTGGGATGTTTGCATTCAAGTCACAGAGTAGAACATTCCCTTTGGTAGAGCAGGTTTGAAACACTCTTTTTTTAGTATATGGAAGTGGACATTTGGAGCGCTTTCAGGCCTACGTTAGAAAAGGAAATATCTTCCCATAACAACTAGACAGAAGCATTCTCAGAAACTACTTTCTGATGTGTGTCCTCAACTAACACAGTTGTACATTTCTTTAGACAGAACAGTTTTGAAACACTCTTTTGGTGGAATCTGCAAGTGGCTATTTGGCTAGATTTGAGGATTTCGTTGGAAACGGGATTACATATAAAAAGCAGTCAGCAGCATTCTCAGAAAGTTCTTTGTGATGATTGCATTCAAGTCACAGAATTGAACATTCCCTTTCACAGAGCAGGTTTGAAAGACTCTTTTTGTAGTGTGTGTAAGTGGACATTTGGAGCACTTACCGGCCTAAGGTGAAAAAGGAAATATCTTCCCATAAAAACTAGACAGAAGCATTCTCAGAAACTTACTCGTGATGTGTGTCCTCAACTAAAGGAGTAGAACCTTTCTTTTCATAGAGAAGTTTTGAAACGCTCTTTTTGTGGAATCTGCAAGTGGATATTTGGCTAGTTTTGAGGATTTCGTTGGAAGCGGGAATTCATACAAATTGCAGACTGCAGCGTTCTGAGAAACATCTTTGTGATGTTTGTATTCAGGACACAGAGTTGAACATTCCCTATCATAGAGCAGGTTTGAATCACTCCTTTTGTAGTATCTGGAAGTGGACATTTGGAGCGCTTTCAGGCCTATGTTGGAAAAGGAAATATCTTCCCATAACAACTAGACAGAAGCATTCTCAGAAACTTATTTGAGATGTGTGTACTCAACTAAGAGAATTGAACCACCGTTTTGAAGGAGCAGTTTTGAAACTCTCTTTTTCTGGAATCTGCAAGTGGATATTTGGCTAGCTTTGGGGATTTCGCTGGAAGCGGGAATACATATAAAAAGCACACAGCAGCGTTCTGAGAAACTGCTTTCTGATGTTTGCATTCAAGTCAAAAGTTGAACACTCCCTTTCATAGGGCAGTCCTGAAACACCCCTTTTGTAGTATCTGGAACTGGACTTTTGGAGCGATTTCAGGGCTAAGGTGAAAAAGGAAATATCTTCCCATAAAAACTGGACAGAAGCATTCTCAGAAACTTGTTTATGCTGTATCTACTCAACTAACAAAGTTGAACCTTTCTTTTGATAGAGCAGTTTTGAAATGGTCTTTTTGTGGAATCTGCAAGTGGATATTTGGCTAGTTTTGAGGATTTCGTTGGAAGCGGGAATTCATACAAATTGCAGACTGCAGCGTTCTGAGAAACATCTTTGTGATGTTTGTATTCAGGACACAGAGTTGAACATTCCCTATCATAGAGCAGGTTGGAATCACTCCTTTTGTAGTATCTGGAAGTGGACATTTGGAGCGCTTTCAGGCCTATTTTGGAAAGGGAAATATCTTCCCGTAACAACTATGCAGAAGCATTCTCAGAAACTTGTTTGTGATGTGTGCCCTCTACTGACAGAGTTGAACCTTTCTTTTCATAGAGCAGTTTTGAAACACTCTTTTTGTAGAATCTGCAAGAGGATATTTGCATAGCTTTGAGGATTTCGTGGGAAACGGGATTGTCTTCAGGTAAAATCTAGACAGAAGCATTCTCAGAAACTTCTTTGGGATGTTTGCATTCAAGTCACAGAGTAGAACATTCCCTTTGGTAGAGCAGGTTTGAAACACTCTTTTTGTAGTATCTGGAAGTGGACATTTGGAGCGCTTTCAGGCCCATGTTGGAAAGGGAAATATCTTCCCGTAACAACTAGGCAGAAGCATTCTCAGAAACTTATTTGAGATGTGTGTACTCAACTAAGAGAATTGAACCACCGTTTTGAAGGAGCAGTTTTGAAACACTCTTTTTCTGGAATCTGCAAGAGTATATTTGCCTAGCCTTGAGGATTTCGTTGGAAACGGGATTGTCTTCAGATAAAATCTAGACAGAAGCATTCTCAGAAACTTCTTTGGGATGTTTGCATTCAAGTCACAGAGTAGAACATTCCCTTTGGTAGAGCAGGTTTGAAACACTCTTTTTTTAGTATATGGAAGTGGACATTTGGAGCGCTTTCAGGCCTACGTTGGAAAAGGAAATATCTTCCCATAACAACTAGACAGAAGCATTCTCAGAAACTAGTTTCTGATGTGTGTCCTCAACTAACACAGTTGAACTTTTCTTTAGACAGAACAGTTTTGAAACACTCTTTTTGTGGAATCTGCAAGTGGATATTTGGCTAGATTTGAGGATTTCGTTGGAAACGGGATTACATATAAAAAGCAGACTGCAGCATTCTCAGAAAGTTCTTTGTGGTGATTGCATTCAAGTCACAGAATTGAACATTCCCTTTCACAGAGCAGGTTTGAAACACTCTTTTTGTAGTGTGTGTAAGTGGACAGTTGGAGCGCTTTCCGGCCTAAGGTGAAAAAGGAAATATCTTCCCATAAAAACTAGACAGAAGCATTCTCAGAAACTTACTCGTGATGTGTGTCCTCAACTAAAGGAGTAGAACCTTTCTATTCATAGAGAAGTTTTGAAACGCTCTTTTTGTGGAATCTCCAAGTGGATATTTGGCTAGTTTTGAGGATTTCGTTGGAAGCGGGAATTCATACAAATTGCAGACTGCAGCGTTCTGAGAAACATCTTTGTGATGTTTGTATTCAGGACACAGAGATGAACATTCCCTATCATAGAGCAGGTTGGAATCACTCCTTTTGTAGTATCTGGAAGTGGACATTTGGAGCGCTTTCAGGCCTATGTTGAAAAAGGAAATATCTTCCCATAACAACTAGACACAAGCATTCTCAGAAACTTGTTTGTGATGTGTGCCCTCTACTGACAGAGTTGAACCTTTCTTTTCATAGAGCAGTTTTGAAACACTCTTTTTGTAGAATCCGCAAGAGGATATTTGCATAGCTTTGAGGATTTCGTGGGAAACGGGATTGTCTTCAGGTAAAATCTAGACAGAAGCATTCTCAGAAACTTCTTTGGGATGTTTGCATTCAAGTCACAGAGTAGAACATTCCCTTTGGTAGAGTAGGTTTGAAACACTCTTTTTGTAGTATCTGGAAGTGGACATTTGGAGCGCTTTCAGGCCCATGTTGGAAAGGGAAATATCTTCCCGTAACAACTAGGCAGAAGCATTCTCAGAAACTTATTTGAGATGTGTGTACTCAACTAAGAGAATTGAACCACCGTTTTGAAGGAGCAGTTTTGAAACACTCTTTTTCTGGAATCTGCAAGAGTATATTTGCCTAGCCTTGAGGATTTCGTTGGAAACGGGATTGTCTTCAGATAAAATCTAGACAGAAGCATTCTCAGAAACTTCTTTGGGATGTTTGCATTCAAGTCACAGAGTAGAACATTCCCTTTGGTAGAGCAGGTTTGAAACACTCTTTTTTTAGTATATGGAAGTGGACATTTGGAGCGCTTTCAGGCCTACGTTGGAAAAGGAAATATCTTCCCATAACAACTAGACAGAAGCATTCTCAGAAACTAGTTTCTGATGTGTGTCCTCAACTAACACAGTTGAACTTTTCTTTAGACAGAACAGTTTTGAAACACTCTTTTTGTGGAATCTGCAAGTGGATATTTGGCTAGATTTGAGGATTTCGTTGGAAACGGGATTACATATAAAAAGCAGACAGCAGCATTCTCAGAAAGTTCTTTGTGATGATTGCATTCAAGTCACAGAATTGAACATTCCCTTTCACAGAGCAGGTTTGAAACACTCTTTTTGTAGTGTGTGTAAGTGGACATTTGGAGCACTTACCGGCCTAAGGTGAAAAAGGAAATATCTTCCCATAAAAACTAGACAGAAGCATTCTCAGAAACTTACTCGTGATGTGTGTCCTCAACTAAAGGAGTAGAACCTTTCTTTTCATAGAGAAGTTTTGAAACGCTCTTTTTGTGGAATCTGCAAGTGGATATTTGGCTAGTTTGGAGGATTTCGTTGGAAGCGGGAATTCATACAAATTGCAGACTGCAGCGTTCTGAGAAACATCTTTGTGATGTTTGTATTCAGGACACAGAGTTGAACATTCCCTATCATAGAGCAGGTTTGAATCACTCCTTTTGTAGTATCTGGAAGTGGACATTTGGAGCGCTTTCAGGCCTATGTTGGAAAAGGAAATATCTTCCCATAACAACTAGACAGAAGCATTCTCAGAAACTTATTTGAGATGTGTGTACTCAACTAAGAGAATTGAACCACCGTTTTGAAGGAGCAGTTTTGAAACACTCTTTTTCTGGAATCTGCAAGTGGATATTTGGCTAGATTTGGGGATTTCGCTGGAAGCGGGAATACATATAAAAAGCACACAGCAGCGTTCTGAGAAACTGCTTTCTGATGTTTGCATTCAAGTCAAAAGTTGAACACTCCCTTTCATAGAGCAGTCCTGAAACACTCCTTTTGTAGTATCTGGAACTGGACTTTTGGAGCGCTTTCAGGGCTAAGGTGAAAAAGGAAATATCTTCCCATAAAAACTGGACAGAAGCATTCTCAGAAACTTGTTTATGCTGTATCTACTCAACTAACAAAGTTGAACCTTTCTTTTGATAGAGCAGTTTTGAAATGCTCTTTTTGTGGAATCTGCAAGTGGATATTTGGCTAGTTTTGAGGATTTCGTTGGAAGCGGGAATTCATACAAATTGCAGACTGCAGCGTTCTGAGAAACATCTTTGTGATGTTTGTATTCAGGACAGAGAGTTGAACATTCCCTATCATAGAGCAGGTTGGAATCACTCCTTTTGTAGTATCTGGAAGTGGACATTTGGAGCGCTTTCAGGACTATGTTGAAAAAGGAAATATCTTCCCATAACAACTAGACACAAGCATTCTCAGAAACTTGTTTGTGATGTGTGCCCTCTACTGACAGAGTTGAACCTTTCTTTTCATAGAGCAGTTTTGAAACACTCTTTTTGTAGAATCTGAAAGAGGATATTTGCATAGCTTTGAGGATTTCGTGGGAAACGGGATTGTCTTCAGGTAAAATCTAGACAGAAGCATTCTCAGAAACTTCTTTGGGATGTTTGCATTCAAGTCACAGAGTAGAACATTCCCTTTGGTAGAGCAGGTTTGAAACCCTCTTTTTGTAGTATCTGGAAGTGGACATTTGGAGCGCTGTCAGGCCCATGTTGGAAAGGGAAATATCTTCCCGTAACAACTAGGCAGAAGCATTCTCAGAAACTTATTTGAGATGTGTGTACTCAACTAAGAGAATTGAACCACCGTTTTGAAGGAGCAGTTTTGAAACACTCTTTTTCTGGAATCTGCAAGAGTATATTTGCCTAGCCTTGAGGATTTCGTTGGAAACGGGATTGTCTTCAGATAAAATGTAGACAGAAGCATTCTCAGAAACTTCTTTGGGATGTTTGCATTCAAGTCACAGAGTAGAACATTCCCTTTGGTAGAGCAGGTTTGAAACACTCTTTTTTTATTATATGGAAGTGGACATTTGGAGCGCTTTCAGGCCTACGTTGGAAAAGGAAATATTTTCCCATAACAACTAGACAGAAGCATTCTCAGAAACTAGTTTCTGATGTGTGTCCTCAACTAACACAGTTGAACTTTTCTTTAGACAGAACAGTTTGGAAACACTCTTTTTGTGGAATCTGCAAGTGGATATTTGGCTAGATTTGAGGATTTCGTTGGAAACGGGATTACATATAAAAAGCAGACTGCAGCATTCTCAGAAAGTTCTTTGTGATGATTGCATTCAAGTCACAGAATTGAACATTCGCTTTCACAGAGCAGGTTTGAAACACTCTTTTTGTAGTGTGTGTAAGTGGACATTTGGAGCGCTTTCCGGCCTAAGGTGAAAAAGGAAATATCTTCCCATAAAAACTAGACAGAAGCATTCTCAGAAACTTACTCGTGATGTGTGTCCTCAACTAAAGGAGTAGAACCTTTCTATTCATAGAGAAGTTTTGAAACGCTCATTTTGTGGAATCTCCAAGTGGATATTTGGCTAGTTTTGAGGATTTCGTTGGAAGCGGGAATTCATACAAATTGCAGACTGCAGCGTTCTGAGAAACATCTTTGTGATGTTTGTATTCAGGACACAGAGATGAACATTCCCTATCATAGAGCAGGTTGGAATCACTCCTTTTGTAGTATCTGGAAGTGGACATTTGGAGCGCTTTCAGGCCTATGTTGAAAAAGGAAATATGTTCCCATAACAACTAGACACAAGCATTCTCAGAAACTTGTTTGTGATGTGTGCCCTCTACTGACAGAGTTGAACCTTTCTTTTCATAGAGCAGTTTTGAAACACTCTTTTTGTAGAATCTGCAAGAGGATATTTGCATAGCTTTGAGGATTTCGTGGGAAACGGGATTGTCTTCAGGTAAAATCTAGACAGAAGCATTCTCAGAAACTTCTTTGGGATGTTTGCATTCAAGTCACAGAGTAGAACATTCCCTTTGGTAGAGCAGGTTTGAAACCCTCTTTTTGTAGTATCTGGAAGTGGACATTTGGAGCGCTTTCAGGCCCATGTTGGAAAGGGAAATATCTTCCCGTAACAACTAGGCAGAAGCATTCTCAGAAACTTATTTGAGATGTGTGTACTCAACTAAGAGAATTTAACCAACGTTTTGAAGGAGCAGTTTTGAAACACTCTTTTTCTGGAATCTGCAAGAGTATATTTGCCTAGCCGTGAGAATTTCGTTGGAAACGGGATTGTCTTCAGATAAAATCTAGACAGAAGCATTCTCAGAAACTTCTTTGGGATGTTTGCATTCAAGTCACAGAGTAGAACATTCCCTTTGGTAGAGCAGGTTTGAAACACTCTTTTTTTAGTATATGGAAGTGGACATTTGGAGCGCTTTCAGGCCTACGTTGGAAAAGGAAATATCTTCCCGTAACAACTAGACAGAAGCATTCTCAGAAACTAGTTTCTGATGTGTGTCCTCAACTAACACAGTTGAACTTTTCTTTAGACAGAACAGTTTTGAAACACTCTTTTTGTGGAATCTGCAAGTGGATATTTGGCTAGATTTGAGGATTTCGTTGGAAACGGGATTACATATAAAAAGCAGACAGCAGCATTCTCAGAAACTTCTTTGTGATGATTGCATTCAAGTCACAGAATTGAACATTCCCTTTCACAGAGCAGGTTTGAAACACTCTTTTTGTAGTGTGTGTAAGTGGACATTTGGAGCACTTTCCGGCCTAAGGTGAAAAAGGAAATATCTTCCCATAAAAACTAGACAGAAGCATTCTCAGAAACTTACTCGTGATGTGTGTCCTCAACTAAAGGAGTAGAACCTTTCGTTTCATAGAGAAGTTTTGAAACGCTCTTTTTGTGGAATCTGCAAGTGGATATTTGGCTAGTTTTGAGGATTTCGTTGGAAGCGGGAATTCATACAAATTGCAGACTGCAGCGTTCTGAGAAACATCTTTGTGATGTTTGTATTCAGGACACAGAGTTGAACATTCCCTATCATAGAGCAGGTTTGAATCACTCCTTTTGTAGTATCTGGAAGTGGACATTTGGAGCGCTTTCAGGCCTATGTTGGAAAAGGAAATATCTTCCCATAACAACTAGACAGAAGCATTCTCAGAAACTTATTTGAGATGTGTGTACTCAACTAAGAGAATTGAACCACCGTTTTGAAGGAGCAGTTTTGAAACTCTCTTTTTCTGGAATCTGCAAGTGGATATTTGGCTAGCTTTGGGGATTTCGCTGGAAGCGGGAATACATATAAAAAGCACACAGCAGCGTTCTGAGAAACTGCTTTCTGATGTTTGCATTCAAGTCAAAAGTTGAACACTCCCTTTCATAGAGCAGTCCTGAAACACCCCTTTTGTAGTATCTGGAACTGGACTTTTGGAGCGATTTCAGGGCTAAGGTGAAAAAGGAAATATCTTCCCATAAAAACTGGACAGAAGCATTCTCAGAAACTTGTTTATGCTGTATCTACTCAACTAACAAAGTTGAACCTTTCTTTTGATAGAGCAGTTTTGAAATGGTCTTTTTGTGGAATCTGCAAGTGGATATTTGGCTAGTTTTGAGGATTTCGTTGGAAGCGGGAATTCATACAAATTGCAGACTGCAGCGTTCTGAGAAACATCTTTGTGATGTTTGTATTCAGGACACAGAGTTGAACATTCCCTATCATAGAGCAGGTTGGAATCACTCCTTTTGTAGTATCTGGAAGTGGACATTTGGAGCGCTTTCAGGCCTATGTTGGAAAAGGAAATATCTTCCCATAACAACTAGACAGAAGCATTCTCAGAAACTTGTTTGTGATGTGTGCCCTCTACTGACAGAGTTGAACCTTTCTTTTCATAGAGCAGTTTTGAAACACTCTTTTTGTAGAATCTGCAAGAGGATATTTGCATAGCTTTGAGGATTTCGTGGGAAACGGGATTGTCTTCAGGTAAAATCTAGACAGAAGCATTCTCAGAAACTTCTTTGGGATGTTTGCATTCAAGTCACAGAGTAGAACATTCCCTTTGGTAGAGTAGGATTGAAACACTCTTTTTGTAGTATCTGGAAGTGGACATTTGGAGCGCTTTCAGGCCCATGTTGGAAAGGGAAATATCTTCCCGTAACAACTAGGCAGAAGCATTCTCAGAAACTTATTTGAGATGTGTGTACTCAACTAAGAGAATTGAACCACCGTTTTGAAGGAGCAGTTTTGAAACACTCTTTTTCTGGAATCTGCAAGAGTATATTTGCCTAGCCTTGAGGATTTCGTTGGAAACGGGATTGTCTTCAGATCAAATCTAGACAGAAGCATTCTCAGAAACTTCTTTGGGATGTTTGCATTCATGTCACAGAGTAGAACATTCCCTTTGGTAGAGCAGGTTTGAAACACTCTTTTTTAAGTATATGGAAGTGGACATTTGGAGCGCTTTCAGGCCTACGTTGGAAAAGGAAATATCTTCCCATAACAACTAGACAGAAGCATTCTCAGAAACTAGTTTCTGATGTGTGTCCTCAACTAACACAGTTGAACATTTCTTTAGACAGAACAGTTTTGAAACACTCTTTTTGTGGAATCTGCAAGTGGCTATTTGGCTAGATTTGAGGATTTCGTTGGAAACGGGATTACATATAAAAAGCAGACAGCAGCATTCTCAGAAAGTTCTTTGTGATGATTGCATTCAAGTCACAGAATTGAACATTCCCTTTCACAGAGCAGGTTTGAAACACTCTTTTTGTAGTGTGTGTAAGTGGACATTTGGAGCACTTTCCGGCCTAAGGTGAAAAAGGAAATATCTTCCCTTAAAAACTAGACAGAAGCATTCTCAGAAACTTACTCGTGATGTGTGTCCTCAACTAAAGGAGTAGAACCTTTCTTTTCATAGAGAAGTTTTGAAACGCTCTTTTTGTGGAATCTGCAAGTGGATATTTGGCTAGTTTTGAGGATTTCGTTGGAAGCGGGAATTCATACAAATTGCAGACTGCAGCGTTCTGAGAAACATCTTTGTGATGTTTGTATTCAGGACAGAGAGTTGAACATTCCCTATCATAGACCAGGTTGGAATCCCTCCTTTTGTAGTATCTGGAAGTGGACATTTGGAGCGCTTTCAGGCCTATGTTGGAAAAGGAAATATCTTCCCATAACAACTAGACACAAGCATTCTCAGAAACTTGTTTGTGATGTGTGCCCTCTACTGACAGAGTTGAACCTTTCTTTTCATAGAGCAGTTTTGAAACACTCTTTTTGTAGAATCTGCAAGAGGATATTTGCATAGCTTTGAGGATTTCGTGGGAAACGGGATTGTCTTCAGGAAAAATCTAGACAGAAGCATTCTCAGAAACTTCTTTGGGATGTTTGCATTCAAGTCACAGAATAGAACATTCCCTTTGGTAGAGCAGGTTTCAAACACTCTTTTTGTAGTATCTGGAAGTGGACATTTGGAGCGCTTTCAGGCCTATATTGGAAAGGGAAATATCTTCCCGTAACAACTAGGCAGAAGCATTCTCAGAAACTTATTTGAGATGTGTGTACTCAACTAAGAGAATTGAACCACCGTTTTGAAGGACCAGTTTTGAAACACACTTTTTCTGGAATCTGCTAGAGGATATTTGCCTAGCTTTGAGGATTTCGTTGGAAACGGGATTGTCTTCAGATAAAATCTAGACAGAAGCATTCTCAGAAACTTCTTTGGGATGTTTGCATTCAAGTCACAGAGTAGAACATTCCCTTTGGTAGAGCAGGTTTGAAACACTCTTTTTGTAGTATCTGGAAGTGGACATTTGGAGCGCTTTCAGGCCTATGTTGGAAAGGGAAATATCTTCCCGTAACAACTAGGCAGAAGCATTCTCAGAAACTTATTTGAGATGTGTGTACTCAACTAAGAGAATTGAACCACCGTTTTGAAGGAGCAGTTTTGAAACACTCTTTTTCTGGAATCTGCAAGAGGATATTTGCCTAGCCTTGAGGATTTCGTTGGAAACGGGATTGTCTTCAGATCAAATCTAGACAGAAGCATTCTCAGAAACTTCTTTGGGATGTTTGCATTCAAGTCACAGAGTAGAACATTCCCTTTGGTTGAGCAGGTTTGAAACACTCTTTTTTTAGTATATGGAAGTGGACATTTGGAGCGCTTTCAGGTCTACGTTGGAAAAGGAAATATCTTCCCATAACAACTAGACAGAAGCATTCTCAGAAACTAGTTTCTGATGTGTGTCCTCAACTAACACAGTTGAACATTTCTTTAGACAGAACAGTTTTGAAACACTCTTTTTGTGGAATCTGCAAGTGGCTATTTGGCTAGATTTGAGGATTTCGTTGGAAACGGGATTACATATAAAAAGCAGTCAGCAGCATTCTCAGAAAGTTCTTTGTGATGATTGCATTCAAGTCACAGAATTGAAGATTCCCTTTCACAGAGCAGGTTTGAAACACTCTTTTTGTAGTGTGTTTAAGTGGACATTTGGAGCACTTACCGGCCTAAGGTGAAAAAGGAAATATCTTCCCATAAAAACTAGACAGAAGCATTCTCAGAAACTTACTCGTGATGTGTGTCCTCAACTAAAGGAGTAGAACCTTTCTTTTCATAGGGAAGTTTTGAAACGCTCTTTTTGTGGAATCTGCAAGTGGATATTTGGCTAGTTTTGAGGATTTCGTTGGAAGCGGGAATTCATACAAATTGCAGACTGCAGCATTCTCAGAAACTTATTTGAGATGTGTGTACTCAACTAAGAGAATTGAACCACCGTTTTGAAGGAGCAGTTTTGAAACTCTCTTTTTCTGGAATCTGCAAGTGGATATTTGGCTAGCTTTGGGGATTTCGCTGGAAGCGGGAATACATATAAAAAGCACACAGCAGCGTTCTGAGAAACTGCTTTCTGATGTTTGCATTCAAGTCAAAAGTTGAACACTCCCTTTCATAGAGCAGTCTTGAAACACCCCTTTTGTAGTATCTGGAACTGGACTTTTGGAGCGATTTCAGGGCTAAGGTGAAAAAGGAAATATCTTCCCATAAAAACTGGACAGAAGCATTCTCAGAAACTTGTTTATGCTGTATCTACTCAACTAACAAAGTTGAACCTTTCTTTTGATAGAGCAGTTTTGAAATGCTCTTTTTGTGGAATCTGCAAGTGGATATTTGGCTAGTTTTGAGGATTTCGTTGGAAGCGGGAATTCATACAAATTGCAGACTGCAGCGTTCTGAGAAACATCTTTGTGATGTTTGTATTCAGGACACAGAGTTGAACATTCCCTATCATAGAGCAGGTTTGAATCACTCCTTTTGTAGTATCTGGAAGTGGACATTTGGAGCGCTTTCAGGCCTATGTTGGAAAAGGAAATATCTTCCCATAACAACTAGACAGAAGCATTCTCAGAAACTTGTTTGTGATGTGTGCCCTCTACTGACAGAGTTGAACCTTTCTTTTCATAGAGCAGTTTTGAAACACTCTTTTTGTAGAATCTGCAAGAGGATATTTGCATAGCTTTGAGGATTTCGTGGGAAACGGGATTGTCTTCAGGTAAAATCTAGACAGAAGCATTCTCAGAAACTTCTTTGGGATGTTTGCATTCAAGTCACAGAGTAGAACATTCCCTTTGGTAGAGCAGGTTTGAAACACTCTTTTTTTAGTATATGGAAGTGGACATTTGGAGCGCTTTCAGGCCTACGTTGGAAAAGGAAATATCTTCCCATAACAACTAGACAGAAGCATTCTCAGAAACTAGTTTCTGATGTGTGTCCTCAACTAACACAGTTGAACATTTCTTTAGACAGAACAGTTTTGAAACACTCTTTTTGTGGAATCTGCAAGTGGCTATTTGGCTAGATTTGAGGATTTCGTTGGAAACGGGATTACATATAAAAAGCAGTCAGCAGCATTCTCAGAAAGTTCTTTGTGATGATTGCATTCAAGTCACAGAATTGAACATTCCCTTTCACAGAGCAGGTTTGAAACACTCTTTTTGTAGTGTGTGTAAGTGGACATTTGGAGCACTTTCCGGCCTAAGGTGAAAAAGGAAATATCTTCCCATAAAAACTAGACGGAAGCATTCTCAGAAACTTACTCGTGATGTGTGTCCTCAACTAAAGGAGTAGAACCTTTCTATTCATAGAGAAGGTTTGAAACGCTCTTTTTGTGGAATCTCCAAGTGGATATTTGGCTAGTTTTGAGGATTTCGTTGGATGCGGGAATTCATACAAATTGCAGACTGCAGCGTTCTGAGAAACATCTTTGTGATGTTTGTATTCAGGACACAGAGATGAACATTCCCTATCATAGAGCAGGTTGGAATCACTCCTTTTGTAGTATCTGGAAGTGGACATTTGGAGCGCTTTCAGGCCTGTGTTGAAAAAGGAAATATCTTCCCATAACAACTAGACACAAGCATTCTCAGAAACTTGTTTGTGATGTGTGCCCTCTGCTGACAGAGTTGAACCTTTCTTTTCATAGAGCAGTTTTGAAACACTCTTTTTGTAGAATCTGCAAGAGGATATTTGCATAGCTTTGAGGATTTCGTGGGAAACGGGATTGTGTTCAGGTAAAATCTAGACAGAAGCATTCTCAGAAACTTCTTTGGGATGTTTGCATTCAAGTCACAGAGTAGAACATTCCCTTTGGTAGAGCAGGTTTGAAACCCTCTTTTTGTAGTATCTGGAAGTGGACATTTGGAGCGCTGTCAGGCCCATGTTGGAAAGGGAAATATCTTCCCGTAACAACTAGGTAGAAGCATTCTCAGAAACTTATTTGAGATGTGTGTACTCAACTAAGAGAATTGAACCACCGTTTTGAAGGAGCAGTTTTGAAACACTCTTTTTCTGGAATCTGCAAGAGTATATTTGCCTAGCCTTGAAGATTTCGTTGGAAACGGGATTGTCTTCAGATAAAATCTAGACAGAAGCATTCTCAGAAACTTCTTTGGGATGTTTGCATTCAAGTCACAGAGTAGAACATTCCCTTTGGTAGAGCAGGTTTGAAACACTCTTTTTTTAGTATATGGAAGTGGACATTTGGAGCGCTTTCAGGCCTACGTTGGAAAAGGAAATATCTTCCCATAACAACTAGACAGAAGCATTCTCAGAAACTAGTTTCTGATGTGTGTCCTCAACTAACACAGTTGAACTTTTCTTTAGACAGAACAGTTTTGAAACACTCTTTTTGTGGAATCTGCAAGTGGATATTTGGCTAGATTTGAGGATTTCGTTGGAAACGGGATTACATATAAAAAGCAGACAGCAGCATTCTCAGAAAGTTCTTTGTGATGATTGCATTCAAGTCACAGAATTGAACATTCCCTTTCACAGAGCAGGTTTGAAACACTCTTTTTGTAGTGTGTGTAAGTGGACATTTGGAGCGCTTTCCGGCCTAAGGTGAAAAAGGAAATATCTTCCCATAAAAACTAGACAGAAGCATTCTCAGAAACTTACTCGTGATGTGTGTCCTCAACTAAAGGAGTAGAACCTTTCTATTCATAGAGAAGTTTTGAAACGCTCTTTTTGTGGAATCTCCAAGTGGATATTTGGCTAGTTTTGAGGATTTCGTTGGATGCGGGAATTCATACAAATTGCAGACAGCAGCGTTCTGAGAAACATCTTTGTGATGTTTGTATTCAGGACACAGAGATGAACATTCCCTATCATAGAGCAGGTTGGAATCACTCCTTTTGTAGTATCTGGAAGTGGACATTTGGAGCGCTTTCAGGCCTATGTTGAAAAAGGAAATATCTTCCCATAACAACTAGACACAAGCATTCTCAGAAACTTGTTTGTGATGTGTGCCCTCTACTGACAGAGTTGAACCTTTCTTTTCATAGAGCAGTTTTGAAACACTCTTTTTGTAGAATCTGCAAGAGGATATTTGCATAGCTTTGAGGATTTCGTGGGAAACGGGATTGTCTTCAGGTAAAATCTAGACAGAAGCATTCTCAGAAACTTCTTTGGGATGTTTGCATTCAAGTCACAGAGTAGAACATTCCCTTTGGTAGAGCAGGTTTGAAACCCTCTTTTTGTAGTATCTGGAAGTGGACATTTGGAGCGCTTTCAGGCCCATGTTGGAAAGGGAAATATCTTCCCGTAACAACTAGGCAGAAGCATTCTCAGAAACTTATTTGAGATGTGTGTACTCAACTAAGAGAATTTAACCAACGTTTTGAAGGAGCAGTTTTGAAACACTCTTTTTCTGGAATCTGCAAGAGTATATTTGCCTAGCCTTGAGGATTTCGTTGGAAACGGGATTGTCTTCAGATAAAATCTAGACAGAAGCATTCTCAGAAACTTCTTTGGGATGTTTGCATTCAAGTCACAGACTAGAACATTCCCTTTGGTAGAACAGTTTTGAAACACTCTTTTTTTAGTATATGGAAGTGGACATTTGGAGCGCTTTCAGGCCTACGTTGGAAAAGGAAATATCTTCCCATAACAAATAGACAGAAGCATTCTCATAAACTAGTTTCTGATGTGTGTCCTCAACTAACACAGTTGAACATTTCTTTAGACAGAACAGTTTTGAAACACTCTTTTTGTGGAATCTGCAAGTGGCTATTTGGCTAGATTTGAGGATTTCGTTGGAAACGGGATTACATATAAAAAGCAGACAGCAGCATTCTCAGAAAGTTCTTTGTGATGATTGCATTCAAGTCACAGAATTGAACATTCCCTTTCACAGAGCAGGTTTGAAACACTCTTTTTGTAGTGTGTGTAAGTGGACATTTGGAGCGCTTTCCGGCCTAAGGTGAAAAAGGAAATATCTTCCCATAAAAACTAGACAGAAGCATTCTCAGAAACTTACTCGTGATGTGTGTCCTCAACTAAAGGAGTAGAACCTTTCTATTCATAGAGAAGGTTTGAAACGCTCTTTTTGTGGAATCTCCAAGTGGATATTTGGCTAGTTTTGAGGATTTCGTTGGAAGCGGGAATTCATACAAATTGCAGACTGCAGCGTTCTGAGAAACATCTACGTGATGTTTGTATTCAGGACACAGAGATGAACATTCCCTATCATAGAGCAGGTTGGAATCACTCCTTTTGTAGTATCTGGAAGTGGACATTTGGAGCGCTTTCAGGCCTATGTTGAAAAAGGAAATATCTTCCCATAACAACTAGACACAAGCATTCTCAGAAACTTATTTGAGATGTGTGTACTCAACTAAGAGAATTGAACCACCGTTTTGAAGGAGCAGTTTTGAAACACTCTTTTTCTGGAATCTGCAAGTGGATATTTGGCTAGCTTTGGGGATTTCGCTGGAAGCGGGAATACATATAAAAAGCACACAGCAGCGTTCTGAGAAACTGCTTTCTGATGTTTGCATTCAAGTCAAAAGTTGAACACTCCCTTTCATAGAGCAGTCTTGAAACACCCCTTTTGTAGTATCTGGAACTGGACATTTGGAGCGCTTTCAGGGCTAAGGTGAAAAAGGAAATATCTTCCCATAAAAACTGGACAGAAGCATTCTCAGAAACTTGTTTATGCTGTATCTACTCAACTAACAAAGTTGAACCTTTCTTTTGATAGAGCAGTTTTGAAATGCTCTTTTTGTGGAATCTGGAAGTGGATATTTGGCTAGGTTTGAGGATTTCGTTGGAAGCGGGAATTCATACAAATTGCAGACTGCAGCGTTCTGAGAAACATCTTTGTGATGTTTGTATTCAGGACACAGAGTTGAACATTCCCTATCATAGAGCAGGTTGGAATCACTCCTTTTGTAGTATCTGGAAGTGGACATTTGGAGCGCTTTCAGGCCTATTTTGGAAAGGGAAATATCTTCCCGTAACAACTATGCAGAAGCATTCTCAGAAACTTGTTTGTGATGTGTGCCCTCTACTGACAGAGTTGAACCTTTCTTTTCATAGAGCAGTTTTGAAACACTCTTTTTGTAGAATCTGCAAGAGGATATTTGCATAGCTTTGAGGATTTCGTGGGAAACGGGATTGTCTTCAGGTAAAATCTAGACAGAAGCATTCTCAGAAACTTCTTTGGGATGTTTGCATTCAAGTCACAGAGTAGAACATTCCCTTTGGTAGAGCAGGTTTGAAACACTCTTTTTGTAGTATCTGGAAGTGGACATTTGGAGCGCTTTCAGGCCTATGTTGGAAAGGGAAATATCTTCCCGTAACAACTAGGCAGAAGCATTCTCAGAAACTTATTTGAGATGTGTGTACTCAACTAAGAGAATTGAACCACCGTTTTGAAGGAGCAGTTTTGAAACACTCTTTTTCTGGAATCTGCAAGAGGATATTTGCCTAGCCTTGAGGATTTCGTTGGAAACGGGATTGTCTTCAGATCAAATCTAGACAGAAGCATTCTCAGAAACTTCTTTGGGATGTTTGCATTCAAGTCACAGAGTAGAACATTCCCTTTGGTAGAGCAGGTTTGAAACACTCTTTTTTTAGTATATGGAAGTGCACATTTGGAGCGCTTTCAGGCCTACGTTGGAAAAGGAAATATCTTCCCATAACAACTAGACAGAAGCATTCTCAGAAACTAGTTTCTGATGTGTTTCCTCAACTAACACAGTTGAACATTTCTTTAGACAGAACAGTTTTGAAACACTCTTTTTGTGGAATCTGCAAGTGGCTATTTGGCTAGATTTGAGGATTTAGTTGGAAACGGGATTACATATAAAAAGCAGACAGCAGCATTCTCAGAAAGTTCTTTGTGATGATTGCATTCAAGTCACAGAATTGAACATTCCCTTTCACAGAGCAGGTTTGAAACACTCTTTTTGTAGTGTGTGTAAGTGGACATTTGGAGCACTTTCCGGCCTAAGGTGAAGAAGGGAATATCTTCCCATAAAAACTAGACAGAAGCATTCTCAGAAACTTACTCGTGATGTGTGTCCTCAACTAAAGGAGTAGAACCTTTCTATTCATAGAGAAGTTTTGAAACGCTCTTTTTGTGGAATCTGCAAGTGGATATTTGGCTAGTTTGGAGGATTTCGTTGGAAGCGGGAATTCATACAAATTGCAGACTGCAGCATTCTCAGAAACTTATTTGAGATGTGTGTACTCAACTAAGAGAATTGAACCACCGTTTTGAAGGAGCAGTTTTGAAACACTCTTTTTCTGGAATCTGCAAGTGGATATTTGGCTAGCTTTGGGGATTTCGCTGGAAGCGGGAATACATATAAAAAGCACACAGCAGCGTTCTGAGAAACTGCTTTCTGATGTTTGCATTCAAGTCAAAAGTTGAACACTCCCTTTCATAGAGCAGTCCTGAAACACTCCTTTTGTAGTATCTGGAACTGGACTTTTGGAGCGCTTTCAGGGCTAAGGTGAAAAAGGAAATATCTTCCCATAAAAACTGGACAGAAGCATTCTCAGAAACTTACTCGTATTGTGTGTCCTCAACTAAAGGAGTAGAACCTTTCTTTTCATAGAGAAGTTTTGAAACGCTCTTTTTGTGGAATCTGCAAGTGGATATTTGGCTAGTTTTGAGGATTTCGTTGGAAGCGGGAATTCATACAAATTGCAGACTGCAGCGTTCTGAGAAACATCGTTGTGATGTTTGTATTCAGGACACAGAGTTGAACATTCCCTATCATAGAGCAGGTTTGAATCACTCCTTTTGTAGTATCTGGAAGTGGACATTTGGAGCGCTTTCAGGCCTATGTTGGAAAAGGAAATATCTTCCCATAACAACTAGACAGAAGCATTCTCAGAAACTTATTTGAGATGTGTGTACTCAACTAAGAGAATTGAACCACCGTTTTGAAGGAGCAGTTTTGAAACACTCTTTTTCTGGAATCTGCAAGTGGATATTTGGCTAGCTTTGGGGATTTCGCTGGAAGCGGGAATACATATAAAAAGCACACAGCAGCGTTCTGAGAAACTGCTTTCTGATGTTTGCATTCAAGTCAAAAGTTGAACACTCCCTTTCATAGAGCAGTCTTGAAACACCCCTTTTGTAGTATCTGGAACTGGACATTTGGAGCGCTTTCAGGGCTAAGGTGAAAAAGGAAATATCTTCCCATAAAAACTGGACAGAAGCATTCTCAGAAACTTGTTTATGCTGTATCTACTCAACTAACAAAGTTGAACCTTTCTTTTGATAGAGCAGTTTTGAAATGGTCTTTTTGTGGAATCTGCAAGTGGATATTTGGCTAGTTTTGAGGATTTCGTTGGAAGCGGGAATTCATACAAATTTGCAGACTGCAGCGTTCTGAGAAACATCTTTGTGATGTTTGTATTCAGGACACAGAGTTGAACATTCCCTATCATAGAGCAGGTTGGAATCACTCCTTTTGTAGTATCTGGAAGTGGACATTTGGAGCGCTTTCAGGCCTATGTTAAAAAAGGAAATATCTTCCCATAACAACTAGACACAAGCATTCTCAGAAACTTGTTTGTGATGTGTGCCCTCTACTGACAGAGTTGAACCTTTCTTTTCATAGAGCAGTTTTGAAACACTCTTTTTGTAGAATCTGCAAGAGGATATTTGCATAGCTTTGAGGATTTCGTGGGAAACGGGATTGTCTTCAGGTAAAATCTAGACAGAAGCATTCTCAGAAACTTCTTTGGGATGTTTGCATTCAAGTCACAGAGTAGAACATTCCCTTTGGTAGAGCAGGTTTGAAACACTCTTTTTGTAGTATCTGGAAGTGGACATATGGAGCGCTTTCAGGCTCATGTTGGAAAGGGAAATATCTTCCCTTAACAACTAGGCAGAAGCATTCTCAGAAACTTATTTGAGATGTGTGTACTCAACTAAGAGAATTGAACCACCGTTTTGAAGGAGCAGTTTTGAAACACTCTTTTTCTGGAATCTGCAAGAGTATATTTGCCTAGCCTTGAGGATTTCGTTGGAAACGGGATTGTCTTCAGATAAAATCTAGACAGAAGCATTCTCAGAAACTTCTTTGGGATGTTTGCATTCAAGTCACAGAGTAGAACATTCCCTTTGGTAGAGCAGGTTTGAAACACTCTTTTTTTAGTATATGGAAGTGGACATTTGGAGCGCTTTCAGGCCTACGTTGGAAAAGGAAATATCTTCCCATAACAACTAGACAGAAGCATTCTCAGAAACTAGTTTCTGATGTGTGTCCTCAACTAACACAGTTGAACTTTTCTTTAGACAGAACAGTTTTGAAACACTCTTTTTGTGGAATCTGCAAGTGGATATTTGGCTAGATTTGAGGATTTCGTTGGAAACGGGATTACATATAAAAAGCAGACTGTAGCATTCTCAGAAAGTTCTTTGTGATGATTGCATTCAAGTCACAGAATTGAACATTCCCTTTCACAGAGCAGGTTTGAAACACTCTTTTTGTAGTGTGTGTAAGTGGACATTTGGAGCGCTTTCCGGCCTAAGGTGAAAAAGGAAATATCTTCCCATAAAAACTGGACAGAAGCATTCTCAGAAACTTGTTTATGCTGTATCTACTCAACTAACAAAGTTGGAACCTTTCTTTTGATAGAGCAGTTTTGAAATGGTCTTTTTGTGGAATCTGCAAGTGGATATTTGGCTAGTTTTGAGGATTTCGTTGGAAGCGGGAATTCATACAAATTGCAGACTGCAGCGTTCTGAGAAACATCTTTGTGATGTTTGTATTCAGGACACAGAGATGAACATTCCCTATCATAGAGCAGGTTGGAATCACTCCTTTTGTAGTATCTGGAAGTGGACATTTGGAGCGCTTTCAGGCCTATGTTGAAAAAGGAAATATCTTCCCATAACAACTAGACACAAGCATTCTCAGAAACTTGTTTGTGATGTGTGCCCTCTACTGACAGAGTTGAACCTTTCTTTTCATAGAGCAGTTTTGAAACACTCTTTTTGTAGAATCTGCAAGAGGATATTTGCATAGCTTTGAGGATTTCGTGGGAAACGGGATTGTCTTCAGGTAAAATCTAGACAGAAGCATTCTCAGAAACTTCTTTGGGATGTTTGCATTCAAGTCACAGAGTAGAACATTCCCTTTGGTAGAGCAGGTTTGAAACACTCTTTTTGTAGTATCTGGAAGTGGACATTTGGAGCGCTTTCAGGCCCATGTTGGAAAGGGAAATATCTTCCCGTAACAACTAGGCAGAAGCATTCTCAGAAACTTATTTGAGATGTGTGCACTCAACTAAGAGAATTGAACCACCGTTTTGAAGGAGCAGTTTTGAAACACTCTTTTTCTGGAATCTGCAAGAGGATATTTGCCTAGCTTTGAGGATTTCGTTGGAAACGGGATTGTGTTCAGATCAAATCTAGACAGAAGCATTCTCAGAAACTTCTTTGGGATGTTTGCATTCAAGTCACAGAGTAGAACATTCCCTTTGGTAGAGCAGGTGTGAAACACTCTTTTTTTAGTATATGGAAGTGGACATTTGGAGCGCTTTCAGGCCTACGTTGGAAAAGGAAATATCTTCCCATAACAACTAGACAGAAGCATTCTCAGAAACTAGTTTCTGATGTGTGTCCTCAACTAACACAGTTGAACATTTCTTTAGACAGAACAGTTTTGAAACTCTCTTTTTGTGGAATCTGCAAGTGGCTATTTGGCTAGATTTGAGGATTTCGTTGGAAACGGGATTACATATAAAAAGCAGACAGCAGCATTCTCAGAAAGTTCTTTGTGATGATTGCATTCAAGTCACAGAATTGAACATTCCCTTTCACAGAGCAGGTTTGAAACACTCTTTTTGTAGTGTGTGTAAGTGGACATTTGGAGCACTTACCGGCCTAAGGTGAGAAAGGAAATATCTTCCCATAAAAACTAGACAGAAGCATTCTCAGAAACTTACTCGTGATGTGTGTCCTCAACTAAAGGAGTAGAACCTTTCTTTTCATAGAGAAGTTTTGAAACGCTCTTTTTGTGGAATCTGCAAGTGGATATTTGGCTAGTTTGGAGGATTTCGTTGGAAGCGGGAATTCATACAAATTGCAGACTGCAGCGTTCTGAGAAACATCTTTGTGATGTTTGTATTCAGGACACAGAGTTGAACATTCCCTATCATAGAGCAGGTTTGAATCACTCCTTTTGTAGTATCTGGAAGTGGACATTTGGAGCGCTTTCAGGCCTATGTTGGAAAAGGAAATATCTTCCCATAACAACTAGACAGAAGCATTCTCAGAAACTTATTTGAGATGTGTGTACTCAACTAAGAGAATTGAACCACCGTTTTGAAGGAGCAGTTTTGAAACACTCTTTTTCTGGAATCTGCAAGTGGCTATTTGGCTAGCTTTGGGGATTTCGCTGGAAGCGGGAATACATATAAAAAGCACACAGCAGCGTTCTGAGAAACTGCTTTCTGATGTTTGCATTCAAGTAAAAAGTTGAACACTCCCTTTCATAGAGCAGTCCTGAAACACTCCTTTTGTAGTATCTGGAACTGGACTTTTGGAGCGCTTTCAGGGCTAAGGTGAAAAAGGAAATATCTTCCCATAAAAACTGGACAGAAGCATTCTCAGAAACTTGTTTATGCTGTATCTACTCAATTAACAAAGTTGAACCTTTCTTTTGATAGAGCAGTTTTGAAATGCTCTTTTTGTGGAATCTGCAAGTGGATATTTGGCTAGTTTTGAGGATTTCGTTGGAAGCGGGAATTCATACAAATTGCAGACTGCAGCGTTCTGAGAAACATCTTTGTGATGTTTGTATTCAAGACACAGAGATGAACATTCCCTATCATAGAGCATGTTGGAATCACTCCTTTTGTAGTATCTGGAAGTGGACATTTGGAGCGCTTTCAGGCCTATGTTGAAAAAGGAAATATCTTCCCATAACAACTAGACACAAGCATTCTCAGAAACTTGTTTGTGATGTGTGCCCTCTACTGACAGAGTTGAACCTTTCTTTTCATAGAGCAGTTTTGAAACACTCTTTTTGTAGAATCTGCAAGAGGATATTTGCATAGCTTTGAGGATTTCGTGGGAAACGGGATTGTCTTCAGGTAAAATCTAGACAGAAGCATTCTCAGAAACTTCTTTGGGATGTTTGCATTCAAGTCACAGAGTAGAACACTCCCTTTGGTAGAGCAGGTTTGAAACCCTCTTTTTGTAGTATCTGGAAGTGGACATTTGGAGCGCTTTCAGGCCCATGTTGGAAAGGGAAATATCTTCCCGTAACAACTAGGCAGAAGCATTCTCAGAAACTTATTTGAGATGTGTGTACTCAACTAAGAGAATTGAACCACCGTTTTGAAGGAGCAGTTTTGAAACACTCTTTTTCTGGAATCTGCAAGAGTATATTTGCCTAGCCTTGAAGATTTCGTTGGAAACGGGATTGTCTTCAGATAAAATCTAGACAGAAGCATTCTCAGAAACTTCTTTGGGATGTTTGCATTCAAGTCACAGAGTAGAACATTCCCTTTGGTAGAGCAGGTTTGAAACACTCTTTTTTTAGTATATGGAAGTGGACATTTGGAGCGCTTTCAGGCCTACGTTGGAAAAGGAAATATCTTCCCATAACAACTAGACAGAAGCATTCTCAGAAACTAGTTTCTGATGTGTGTCCTCAACTAACACAGTTGAACTTTTCTTTAGACAGAACAGTTTTGAAACACTCTTTTTGTGGAATCTGCAAGTGGATATTTGGCTAGATTTGAGGATTTCGTTGGAAACGGGATTACATATAAAAAGCAGACAGCAGCATTCTCAGAAAGTTCTTTGTGATGATTGCATTCAAGTCACAGAATTGAACATTCCCTTTCACAGAGCAGGTTTGAAACACTCTTTTTGTAGTGTGTGTAAGTGGACATTTGGAGCGCTTTCCGGCCTAAGGGAAAAAAGAAATATCTTCCCATAAAAACTAGACAGAAGCATTCTCAGAAACTTACTCGTGATGTGTGTACTCAACTAAAGGAGTAGAAACTTTCTTTTCATAGAGAAGTTTTGAAACGCTCTTTTTGTGGAATCTGCAAGTGGATATTTGGCTAGTTTTGATTATTTCGTTGGAAGCGGGAATTCATACAAATTGCAGACTGCAGCGTTCTGAGAAACATCTTTGTGATGTTTGTATTCAGGACACAGAGTTGAACATTCCCTATCATAGAGCAGGTTTGAATCACTCCTTTTGTAGTATCTGGACGTGGACATCTGGAGCGCTTTCAGGCCTATGTTGGAAAAGGAAATATCTTCCCATAACAAATAGACAGAAGCGTTCTGAGAAACATCTTTGTGATGTTTGTATTCAGGACAGAGAGTTGAACATTCCCTATCATAGAGCAGGTTGGAATCACTCCTTTTGTAGTATCTGGAAGTGGACATTTGGAGCGCTTTCAGGACTATGTTGAAAAAGGAAATATCTTCCCATAACAACTAGACACAAGCATTCTCAGAAACTTGTTTGTGATGTGTGCCCTCTACTGACAGAGTTGAACCTTTCTTTTCATAGAGCAGTTTTGAAACACTCTTTTTGTAGAATCTGCAAGAGGATATTTGCATAGCTTTGAGGATTTCGTGGGAAACGGGATTGTCTTCAGGTAAAATCTAGACAGAAGCATTCTCAGAACCTTCTTTGGGATGTTTGCATTCAAGTCACAGAGTAGAACATTCCCTTTGGTAGAGCAGGTTTGAAACACTCTTTTTGTAGTATCTGGAAGTGGACATTTGGAGCGCTTTCTGGCCCATGTTGGAAAGGGAAATATCTTCCCGTAACAACTAGGCAGAAGCATTCTCAGAAACTTATTTGAGATGTGTGTACTCAACTAAGAGAATTGAACCACCGTTTTGAAGGAGCAGTTTTGAAACACTCTTTTTCTGGAATCTGCAAGAGGATATTTGCCTAGCCTTGAGGATTTCGTTGGAAACGGGATTGTCTTCAGATCAAATCTAGACAGAAGCATTCTCAGAAACTTCTTTGGGATGTTTGCATTCAAGTCACAGAGTAGAACATTCCCTTTGGTAGAGCAGGTTTGAAACACTCTTTTTTTAGTATATGGAAGTGGACATTTGGAGCGCTTTCAGGCCTACGTTGGAAAAGGAAATATCTTCCCATAACAACTAGACAGAAGCATTCTCAGAAACTAGTTTCTGATGTGTGTCCTCAACTAACACAGTTGAACATTTCTTTAGACAGAACAGTTTTGAAACTCTCTTTTTGTGGAATCTGCAAGTGGCTATTTGGCTAGATTTGAGGATTTCGTTGGAAACGGGATTACATATAAAAAGCAGACAGCAGCATTCTCAGAAAGTTCTTTGTGATGATTGCATTCAAGTCACAGAATTGAACATTCCCATTCACAGAGCAGGTTTGAAACACTCTTTTTATAGTGTGTGTAAGTGGACATTTGGAGCACTTTCCGACCTAAGGTGAAAAAGGAAATATCTTCCCATAAAAACTAGACAGAAGCATTCTCAGAAACTTACTCGTGATGTGTGTCCTCAACTAAAGGAGTAGAACCTTTCTTTTCATAGAGAAGTTTTGAAACGCTCTTTTTGTGGAATCTGCAAGTGGATATTTGGCTAGTTTGGAGGATTTCGTTGGAAGCGGGAATTCATACAAATTGCAGACTGCAGCGTTCTGAGAAACATCTTTGTGATGTTTGTATTCAGGACACAGAGTTGAACATTCCCTATCATAGAGCAGGTTGGAATCACTCCTTTTGTAGTATCTGGAAGTGGACATTTGGAGCGCTTTCAGGCCTATGTTGGAAAAGGAAATATCTTCCCATAACAACTAGACAGAAGCATTCTCAGAAACTTATTTGAGATGTGTGTACTCAACTAAGAGAATTGAACCACCGTTTTGAAGGAGCAGTTTTGAAACACTCTTTTTCTGGAATCTGCAAGTGGATATTTGGCTAGCTTTGGGGATTTCGCTGGAAGCGGGAATACATATAAAAAGCACACAGCAGCGTTCTGAGAAACTGCTTTCTGATGTTTGCATTCAAGTCAAAAGTTGAACACTCCCTTTCATAGAGCAGTCTTGAAACACCCCTTTTGTAGTATCTGGAACTGGACTTTTGGAGCGATTTCAGGGCTAAGGTGAAAAAGGAAATATCTTCCCATAAAAACTGGACAGAAGCATTCTCAGAAACTTGGTTATGCTGTATCTACTCAACTAACAAAGTTGAACCTTTCTTTTGATAGAGCAGTTTTGAAATGGTCTTTTTGTGGAATCTGCAAGTGGATATTTGGCTAGTTTTGAGGATTTCGTTGGAAGCGGGAATTCATACAAATTGCAGACTGCAGCGTTCTGAGAAACATCTTTGTGATGTTTGTATTCAGGACACAGAGTTGAACATTCCCTATCATAGAGCAGGTTGGAATCACTCCTTTTGTAGTATCTGGAAGTGGACATTTGGAGCGCTTTCAGGCCTATTTTGGAAAGGGAAATATCTTCCCGTAACAACTATGCAGAAGCATTCTCAGAAACTTGTTTGTGATGTGTGCCCTCTACTGACAGAGTTGAACCTTTCTTTTCATAGAGCAGTTTTGAAACACTCTTTTTGTAGAATCTGCAAGAGGATATTTGCATAGCTTTGAGGATTTCGTGGGAAACGGGATTGTCTTCAGGTAAAATCTAGACAGAAGCATTCTCAGAAACTTCTTTGGGATGTTTGCATTCAAGTCACAGAGTAGAACATTCCCTTTGGTAGAGCAGGTTTGAAACACTCTTTTTGTAGTATCTGGAAGTGGACATTTGGAGCGCTTTCAGGCCCATGTTGGAAAGGGAAATATCTTCCCGTAACAACTAGGCAGAAGCATTCTCAGAAACTTATTTGAGATGTGTGTACTCAACTAAGAGAATTGAACCACCGTTTTGAAGGAGCAGTTTTGAAACACTCTTTTTCTGGAATCTGCAAGAGTATATTTGCCTAGCCTTGAGGATTTCGTTGGAAACGGGATTGTCTTCAGAGAAAATCTAGACAGAAGCATTCTCAGAAACTTCTTTGGGATGTTTGCATTCAAGTCACAGAGTAGAACATTCCCTTTGGTAGAGCAGGTTTGAAACACTCTTTTTTTAGTATATGGAAGTGGACATTTGGAGCGCTTTCAGGCCTACGTTGGAAAAGGAAATATCTTCCCATAACAACTAGACAGAAGCATTCTCAGAAACTAGTTTCTGATGTGTGTCCTCAACTAACACAGTTGAACATTTCTTTAGACAGAACAGTTTTGAAACACTCTTTTTGTGGAATCTGCAAGTGGCTATTTGGCTAGATTTGAGGATTTCGTTGGAAACGGGATTACATATAAAAAAACAGACAGCAGCATTCTCAGATAGTTCTTTGTGATGATTGCATTCAAGTCACAGAATTGAACATTCCCTTTCACAGAGCAGGTTTGAAACACTCTTTTTGTAGTGTGTGTAAGTGGACATTTGGAGCGCTTTCCGGCCTAAGGTGAAAAAGGAAATATCTTCCCATAAAAACTAGACAGAAGCATTCTCAGAAACTTACTCGTGATGTGTGTCCTCAACTAAAGGAGTAGAACCTTTCTTTTCATAGAGAAGTTTTGAAACACTCTTTTTGTGGAATCTGCAAGTGGATATTTGGCTAGTTTTGAGGATTTCGTTGGAAGCGGGAATTCATACAAATTGCAGACTGCAGCGTTCTGAGAAACATCTTTGTGATGTTTGTATTCAGGACACAGAGTTGAACATTCCCTATCATAGAGCAGGTTTGAATCACTCCTTTTGTAGTATCTGGAAGTGGACATTTGGAGCGCTTTCAGGCCTATGTTGGAAAAGGAAATATCTTCCCATAACAACTAGACAGAAGCATTCTCAGAAACTTATTTGAGATGTGTGTACTCAACTAAGAGAATTGAACCACCGTTTTGAAGGAGCAGTTTTGAAACACTCTTTTTCTGGAATCTGCAAGTGGATATTTGGCTAGCTTTGGGGATTTCGCTGGAAGCGGGAATACATATAAAAAGCACACAGCAGCGTTCTGAGAAACTGCTTTCTGATGTTTGCATTCAAGTCAAAAGTTGAACACTCCCTTTCATAGAGCAGTCTTGAAACACCCCTTTTGTAGTATCTGGAACTGGACTTTTGGAGCGATTTTAGGGCTAAGGTGAAAAAGGAAATATCTTCCCATAAAAACTGGACAGAAGCATTCTCAGAAACTTGTTTATGCTGTATCTACTCAACTAACAAAGTTGAACCTTTCTTTTGATAGAGCAGTTTTGAAATGGTCTTTTTGTGGAATCTGCAAGTGGATATTTGGCTAGTTTTGACGATTTCGTTGGAAGCGGGAATTCATACAAATTGCAGACTGCAGCGTTCTGAGAAACATCTTTGTGATGTTTGTATTCAGGACACAGAGTTGAACATTCCCTATCATAGAGCAGGTTGGAATCACTCCTTTTGTAGTATCTGGAAGTGGACATTTGGAGCGCTTTCAGGCCTATGTTGAAAAAGGAAATATCTTCCCATAACAACTAGACACAAGCATTCTCAGAAACTTGTTTGTGATGTGTGCCCTCTACTGACAGATTTGAACCTTTCTTTTCATAGAGCAGTTTTGAAACACTCTTTTTGTAGAATCTGCAAGAGGATATTTGCATAGCTTTGAGGATTTCGTGGGAAACGGGATTGTCTTCAGGTAAAATCTAGACAGAAGCATTCTCAGAAACTTCTTTGGGATGTTTGCATTCAAGTCACAGAGTAGAACATTCCCTTTGGTAGAGCAGGTTTGAAACACTCTTTTTGTAGTATCTGGAAGTGGACATTTGGAGCGCTTTCAGGCCTATGTTGGAAAGGGAAATATCTTCCCGTAACAACAAGGCAGAAGCATTCTCAGAAACTTATTTGAGATGTGTGTACTCAACTAAGAGAATTGAACCACAGTTTTGAAGGAGCAGTTTTGAAACACTCTTTTTCTGGAATCTGCAAGAGGATATTTGCCTAGTCTTGAGGATTTCGTTGGAATCGGGATTGTCTTCAGATCAAATCTAGACAGAAGCATTCTCAGAAACTTCTTTGGGATGTTTGCATTCAAGTCACAGAGTAGAACCTTCCCTTTGGTAGAGCAGGTTTGAAACACTCTTTTTTTAGTATATGGAAGTGGACATTTGGAGCGCTTTCAGGCCTACTTTGGAAAAGGAAATATCTTCCCATAACAACTAGACAGAAGCATTCTCAGAAACTAGTTTCTGATGTGTGTCCTCAACTAACACAGTTGAACATTTCTTTAGACAGAACAGTTTTGAAACACTCTTTTTGTGGAATCTGCAAGTGGCTATTTGGCTAGATTTGAGGATTTCGTTGGAAACGGGATTACATATAAAAAGCAGACAGCAGCATTCTCAGAAAGTTCTTTGTGATGATTGCATTCAAGTCACAGAATTGAACATTCCCTTTCACAGAGCAGGTTTGAAACACTCTTTTTGTAGGGTGTGTAAGTGGACATTTGGAGCACTTTCCGGCCTAAGGTGAAAAAGGAAATATCTTCCCATAAAAACTAGACAGAAGCATTCTCAGAAACTTACTCGTGATGTGTGTCCTCAACTAAAGGAGTAGAACCTTTCTTTTCATAGAGAAGTTTTGAAACGCTCTTTTTGTGGAATCTGCAAGTGGATATTTGGCTAGTTTTGAGGATTTCGTTGGAAGCGGGAATTCATACAAATTGCAGACTGCAGCGTTCTGAGAAACATCTTTGTGATGTTTGTATTCAGGACACAGAGTTGAACATTCCCTATCATAGAGCAGGTTTGAATCACTCCTTTTGTAGTATCTGGAAGTGGACATTTGGAGCGCTTTCAGGCCTATGTTGGAAAAGGAAATATCTTCCCATAACAACTAGACAGAAGCATTCTCAGAAACTTATTTGAGATGTGTGTACTCAACTAAGAGAATTGAACCACCGTTTTGAAGGAGCAGTTTTGAAACACTCTTTTTCTGGAATCTGCAAGTGGCTATTTGGCTAGCTTTGGGGATTTCGCTGGAAGCGGGAATACATATAAAAAGCACACAGCAGCGTTCTGAGAAACTGCTTTCTGATGTTTGCATTCAAGTCAAAAGTTGAACACTCCCTTTCATAGAGCAGTCCTGAAACACTCCTTTTGTAGTATCTGGAACTGGACTTTTGGAGCGCTTTCAGGGCTAAGGTGAAAAAGGAAATATCTTCCCATAAAAACTGGACAGAAGCATTCTCAGAAACTTGTTTATGCTGTATCTACTCAACTAACAAAGTTGAACCTTTCTTTTGATAGAGCAGTTTTGAAATGCTCTTTTTGTGGAATCTGCAAGTGGATATTTGGCTAGTTTTGAGGATTTCGTTGGAAGCGGGAATTCATACAAATTGCAGACTGCAGCGTTCTGAGAAACATCTTTGTGATGTTTGTATTCAGGACAGAGAGTTGAACATTCCCTATCATAGAGCAGGTTGGAATCACTCCTTTTGTAGTATCTGGAAGTGGACATTTGGAGCACTTTCCGGCCTAAGGTGAAAAAGGAAATATCTTCCCATAAAAACTAGACAGAAGCATTCTGAGAAACTTACTCGTGATGTGTGTCCTCCACTAAATGAGTAGAACCTTTCTTTTCATAGAGAAGTTTTGAAACGCTCTTTTTGTAGAATCTGCAAGAGGATATTTGCATAGCTTTGAGGATTTCGTGGGAAACGGGATTGTCTTCAGGTAAAATCTAGACAGAAGCATTCTCAGAAACTTCTTTGGGATGTTTGCATTCAAGTCACAGAGTAGAACATTCCCTTTGGTAGAGTAGGTTTGAAACACTCTTTTTGTATTATCTGGAAGTGGACATTTGGAGCGCTTTCAGGCCTATGTTGGAAAGGGAAATATCTTCCCGTAACAACTAGGCAGAAGCATTCTCAGAAACTTATTTGAGATGTGTGTACTCAACTAAGAGAATTGAATCACCGTTTTGAATGAGCAGTTTTGAAACACTCTTTTTCTGGAATCTGCAAGAGGATATTTGCCTAGCCTTGAGGATTTCGTTGGAAACGGGATTGTCTTCAGATCAAATCTAGACAGAAGCATTCTCAGAAACTTCTTTGAGATGTTTGCATTCAAGTCACAGAGTAGAACATTCCCTTTGGTAGAGCAGGTTTGAAACACTCTTTTTTTAGTATATGGAAGTGGACATTTGGAGCGCTTTCAGGCCTACGTTGGAAAAGGAAATATCTTCCCATAACAACTAGACAGAAGCATTCTCAGAAACTAGTTTCTGATGTGTGTCCTCAACTAACACAGTTGAACTTTTCTTTAGACAGAACAGTTTTGAAACACTCTTTTTGTGGAATCTGCAAGTGGATATTGGGCTAGATTTGAGGATTTCGTTGGAAACGGGATTACATATAAAAAGCAGACAGCAGCATTCTCAGGAAAGTTCTTTGTGATGATTGCATTCAAGTCACAGAATTGAACATTCCCTTTCAAAGAGCAGGTTTGAAACACTCTTTTTGTAGTGTGTGTAAGTGGACATTTGGAGCGCTTTCCGGCCTAAGGTGAAAAAGGACATATCTTCCCATAAAAACTAGACGGAAGCATCCTCAGAAACTTACTCGTGATGTGTGTCCTCAACTAAAGGAGTAGAACCTTTCTATTCATAGAGAAGTTTTGAAACGCTCTTTTTGTGGAATCTCCAAGTGGATATTTGGCTAGTTTTGAGGATTTCGTTGGAAGCGGGAATTCATACAAATTGCAGACTGCAGCGTTCTGAGAAACATCTTTGTGATGTTTGTATTCAGGACACAGAGTTGAACATTCCCTATCATAGAGCAGGTTGGAATCACTCCTTTTGTAGTATCTGGAAGTGGACATTTGGAGCGCTTTCAGGCCTATGTTGATAAAGGAAATATCTTCCCATAACAACTAGACACAAGCATTCTCAGAAACTTGTTTGTGATGTGTGCCCTCTACTGACAGAGTTGAACCTTTCTTTTCATAGAGCAGTTTTGAAACACTCTTTTTGTAGAATCTGCAAGAGGATATTTGCATAGCTTTGAGGATTTCGTGGGAAACGGGATTGTCTTCAGGTAAAATCTAGACAGAAGCATTCTCAGAAACTTCTTTGGGATGTTTGCATTCAAGTCACAGAGTAGAACATTCCCTTTGGTAGAGCAGGTTTGAAACACTCTTTTTGTAGTATCTGGAAGTGGACATTTGGAGCGCTTTCAGGCCTATGTTGGAAAGGGAAATATCTTCCCGTAACAACTAGGCAGAAGCATTCTCAGAAACTTATTTGAGATGTGTGTACTCAACTAAGAGAATTGAACCACCGTTTTGAAGGAGCAGTTTTGAAACACTCTTTTTCTGGAATCTGCAAGAGTATATTTGCCTAGCCTTGAGGATTTCGTTGGAAACGGGATTGTCTTCAGATCAAATCTAGACAGAAGCATTCTCAGAAACTTCTTTGGGATGTTTGCATTCAAGTCACAGAGTAGAACATTCCCTTTGGTAGAGCAGGTTTGAAACACTCTTTTTGTAGTATCTGGAAGTGGACATTTGGAGCGCTTTCAGGCCTATGTTGGAAAGGGAAATATCTTCCCGTAACAACTAGGCAGAAGCATTCTCAGAAACTTATTTGAGATGTGTGTACTCAACTAAGAGAATTGAACCACCGTTTTGAAGGAGCAGTTTTGAAACACTCTTTTTCTGGAATCTGCAAGAGGATATTTGCCTAGCCTTGAGGATTTCGTTGGAAACGGGATTGTCTTCAGATCAAATCTAGACAGAAGCATTCTCAGAAACTTCTTTGGGATGTTTGCATTCAAGTCACAGAGTAGAACATTCCCTTTGGTAGAGCAGGTTTGAAACACTCTTTTTTTAGTATATGGAAGTGGACATTTGGAGCGCTTTCAGGCCTACGTTGGAAACGGAAATATCTTCCCATAACAACTAGACAGAAGCATTCTCAGAAACTAGTTTCTGATGTGTGTCCTCAACTAACACAGTTGAACATTTCTTTAGACAGAACAGTTTTGAAACACTCTTTTTGTGGAATCTGCAAGTGGCTATTTGGCTAGATTTGAGGATTTCGTTGGAAACGGGATTACATATAAAAAGCAGTCAGCAGCATTCTCAGAAAGTTCTTTGTGATGATTGCATTCAAGTCACAGAATTGAACATTCCCTTTCACAGAGCAGGTTTGAAACACTCTTTTTGTAGTGTGTGTAAGTGGACATTTGGAGCACTTACCGGCCTAAGGTGAAAAAGGAAATAATCTTCCCATAAAAACTAGACAGAAGCATTCTCAGAAACTTACTCGTGATGTGTGTCCTCAACTAAAGGAGTAGAACCTTTCTTTTCATAGAGAAGTTTTGAAACGCTCTTTTTGTGGAATCTGCAAGTGGATATTTGGCTAGTTTTGAGGATTTCGTTGGAAGCGGGAATTCATACAAATTGCAGACTGCAGCGTTCTGAGAAACATCTTTGTGATGTTTGTATTCAGGACACAGAGTTGAACATTCCCTATCATAGAGCAGGTTGGAATCACTCCTTTTGTAGTATCTGGAAGTGGACATTTGGAGCGCTTTCAGGCCTATGTTGGAAAAGGAAATATCTTCCCATAACAACTAGACAGAAGCATTCTCAGAAACTTATTTGAGATGTGTGTACTCAACTAAGAGAATTGAACCACCGTTTTGAAGGAGCAGTTTTGAAACTCTCTTTTTCTGGAATCTGCAAGTGGATATTTGGCTAGCTTTGGGGATTTCGCTGGAAGCGGGAATACATATAAAAAGCACACAGCAGCGTTCTGAGAAACTGCTTTCTGATGTTTGCATTCAAGTCAAAAGTTGAACACTCCCTTTCATAGAGCAGTCTTGAAACACCCCTTTTGTAGTATCTGGAACTGGACTTTTGGAGCGATTTCAGGGCTAAGGTGAAAAAGGAAATATCTTCCCATAAAAACTGGACAGAAGCATTCTCAGAAACTTGGTTATGCTGTATCTACTCAACTAACAAAGTTGAACCTTTCTTTTGATAGAGCAGTTTTGAAATGGTCTTTTTGTGGAATCTGCAAGTGGATATTTGGCTAGTTTTGAGGATTTCGTTGGAAGCGGGAATTCATACAAATTGCAGACTGCAGCGTTCTGAGAAACATCTTTGTGATGTTTGTATTCAGGACACAGAGTTGAACATTCCCTATCATAGAGCAGGTTGGAATCACTCCTTTTGTAGTATCTGGAAGTGGACATTTGGAGCGCTTTCAGGCCTATTTTGGAAAGGGAAATATCTTCCCGTAACAACTATGCAGAAGCATTCTCAGAAACTTGTTTGTGATGTGTGCCCTCTACTGACAGAGTTGAACCTTTCTTTTCATAGAGCAGTTTTGAAACACTCTTTTTGTAGAATCTGCAAGAGGATATTTGCATAGCTTTGAGGATTTCGTGGGAAACGGGATTGTCTTCAGGTAAAATCTAGACAGAAGCATTCTCAGAAACTTCTTTGGGATGTTTGCATTCAAGTCACAGAGTAGAACATTCCCTTTGGTAGAGCAGGTTTGAAACACTCTTTTTGTAGTATCTGGAAGTGGACATTTGGAGCGCTTTCAGGCCCATGTTGGAAAGGGAAATATCTTCCCGTAACAACTAGGCAGAAGCATTCTCAGAAACTTATTTGAGATGTGTGTACTCAACTAAGAGAATTGAACCACCGTTTTGAAGGAGCAGTTTTGAAACACTCTTTTTCTGGAATCTGCAAGAGTATATTTGCCTAGCCTTGAGGATTTCGTTGGAAACGGGATTGTCTTCAGAGAAAATCTAGACAGAAGCATTCTCAGAAACTTCTTTGGGATGTTTGCATTCAAGTCACAGAGTAGAACATTCCCTTTGGTAGAGCAGGTTTGAAACACTCTTTTTGTAGTATCTGGAAGTGGACATTTGGAGCGCTTTCAGGCCTACGTTGGAAAAGGAAATATCTTCCCATAACAACTAGACAGAAGCATTCTCAGAAACTAGTTTCTGATGTGTGTCCTCAACTAACACAGTTGAACATTTCTTTAGACAGAACAGTTTTGAAACACTCTTTTTGTGGAATCTGCAAGTGGCTATTTGGCTAGATTTGAGGATTTCGTTGGAAACGGGATTACATATAAAAAGCAGTCAGCAGCATTCTCAGAAAGTTCTTTGTGATGATTGCATTCAAGTCACAGAATTGAACATTCCCTTTCACAGAGCAGGTTTGAAACACTCTTTTTGTAGTGTGTGTAAGTGGACATTTGGAGCACTTACCGGCCTAAGGTGAAAAAGGAAATATCTTCCCATAAAAACTAGACAGAAGCATTCTCAGAAACTTACTCGTGATGTGTGTCCTCAACTAAAGGAGTAGAACCTTTCTTTTCATAGAGAAGTTTTGAAACGCTCTTTTTGTGGAATCTGCAAGTGGATATTTGGCTAGTTTTGAGGATTTCGTTGGAAGCGGGGAATTCATACAAATTGCAGACTGCAGCGTTCTGAGAAACATCTTTGTGATGTTTGTATTCAGGACACAGAGTTGAACATTCCCTATCATAGAGCAGGTTGGAATCACTCCTTTTGTAGTATCTGGAAGTGGACATTTGGAGCGCTTTCAGGCCTATGTTGGAAAAGGAAATATCTTCCCATAACAACTAGACAGAAGCATTCTCAGAAACTTATTTGAGATGTGTGTACTCAACTAAGAGAATTGAACCACCGTTTTGAAGGAGCAGTTTTGAAACACTCTTTTTCTGGAATCTGCAAGTGGATATTTGGCTAGCTTTGGGGATTTCGCTGGAAGCGGGAATACATATAAAAAGCACACAGCAGCGTTCTGAGAAACTGCTTTCTGATGTTTGCATTCAAGTCAAAAGTTGAACACTCCCTTTCATAGAGCAGTCTTGAAACACCCCTTTTGTAGTATCGGGAACTGGACATTTGGAGCGCTTTCAGGGCTAAGGTGAAAAAGGAACTATCTTCCCATAAAAACTGGACAGAAGCATTCTCAGAAACTTGTTTATGCTGTATCTACTCAACTAACAAAGTTGAACCTTTCTTTTGATAGAGCAGTTTTGAAATGCTCTTTTTGTGGAATCTGCAAGTGGATATTTGGCTAGGTTTGAGGATTTCGTTGGAAGCGGGAATTCATACAAATTGCAGACTGCAGCGTTGTGAGAAACATCTTTGTGATGTTTGTATTCAGGACACAGAGTTGAACATTCCCTATCATAGAGCAGGTTGGAATCACTCCTTTTGTAGTATCTGGAAGTGGACATTTGGAGGGCTTTCAGGCCTATGTTGAAAAAGGAAATATCTTCCCATAACAACTAGGCAGAAGCATTCTCAGAAACTTGTTTGTGATGTGTGCCCTCTACTGACACAGTTGATCCTTTCTTTTCATAGAGCAGTTTCGAAACACTCTTTTTGTAGAATCTGCAAGAGGATATTTGCATAGCTTTGAGGATTTCGTGGGAAACGGGATTGTCTTCAGGTAAAATCTAGACAGAAGCATTCTCAGAAACTTCTTTGGGATGTTTGCATTCAAGTCACAGAGTAGAACATTTACTTTGATAGAGCAGGTTTGAAACACTCTTTTTGTAGTGTGTGTAAGTGGACATTTGGAGCGCTTTCAGGCCTACGTTGGAAAAGCAAATGTCTTCCCATAACAACTAGACAGAAGCATTCTCAGAAACTAGTTTCTGATGTGTGTCCTCAACTAACACAGTTGAACTTTTCTTTAGACAGAACAGTTTTGAAACACTCTTTTTGTGGAATCTGCAAGTGGCTATTTGGCTAGATTTGAGGATTTCGTTGGAAACGGGATTACATATAAAAAGCAGTCAGCAGCATTCTCAGAAAGTTCTTTGTGATGATTGCATTCAAGTCACAGAATTGAACATTCCCTTTCACAGAGCAGGTTTGAAACACTCTTTTTGTAGTGTGTGTAAGTGGACATTTGGAGCACTTACCGGCCTAAGGTGAAAAAGGAAATATCTTCCCATAAAAACTAGACAGAAGCATTCTCAGAAACTTACTCGTGATGTGTGTCCTCAACTAAAGTAGTAGAACCTTTCTTTTCATAGAGAAGTTTTGAAACGCTCTTTTTGTGGAATCTGCAAGTGGATATTTGGCTAGTTTTGAGGATTTCGTTGGAAGCGGGAATTCATACAAATTGCAGACTGCAGCGTTATGAGAAACATCTTTGTGATGTTTGTATTCAGGACACAGAGTTGAACATTCCCTATCATAGAGCAGGTTTGAATCACTCCTTTTGTAGTATCTGGAAGTGGACATTTGGAGCGCTTTCAGGCCTATGTTGGAAAAGGAAATATCTTCCCATAACAACTAGACAGAAGCATTCTCAGAAACTTATTTGAGATGTGTCTACTCAACTAAGAGAATTGAACCACCGTTTTGAAGGAGCAGTTTTGAAACACTCTTTTTCTGGAATCTGCAAGTGGATATTTGGCTAGCTTTGGGGATTTCGCTGGAAGCGGGAATACATATAAAAAGCACACAGCAGCGTTCTGAGAAACTGCTTTCTGATGTTTGCATTCAAGTCAAAAGTTGAACACTCCCTTTCATAGAGCAGTCTTGAAACACCCCTTTTGTAGTATCTGGAACTGGACTTTTGGAGCGATTTTAGGGCTAAGGTGAAAAAGGAAATATCTTCCCATAAAAACTGGACAGAAGCATTCTCAGAAACTTGTTTATGCTGTATCTACTCAACTAACAAAGTTGAACCTTTCTTTTGATAGAGCAGTTTTGAAATGGTCTTTTTGTGGAATCTGCAAGTGGATATTTGGCTAGTTTTGAGGATTTCGTTGGAAGCGGGAATTCATACAAATTGCAGACTGCAGCGTTATGAGAAACATCTTTGTGATGTTTGTATTCAGGACACAGAGTTGAACATTCCCTATCATAGAGCAGGTTGGAATCACTCCTTTTGTAGTATCTGGAAGTGGACATTTGGAGCGCTTTCAGGCCTATTTTGGACAGGGAAATATCTTCCCATAACAACTATGCAGAAGCATTCTCAGAAACTTGTTTGTGATGTGTGCCCTCTACTGACAGAGTTGAACCTTTCTTTTCATAGAGCAGTTTTGAAACACTCTTTTTGTAGAATCTGCAAGAGGATATTTGCATAGCTTTGAGGATTTCGTGGGAAACGGGATTGTCTTCAGGTAAAATCTAGACAGAAGCATTCTCAGAAACTTCTTTGGGATGTTTGCATTCAAGTCACAGAGTAGAACATTCCCTTTGGTAGAGCAGGTTTGAAACACTCTTTTTGTAGTATCTGGAAGTGGACATTTGGAGCGCTTTCAGGCCCATGTTGGAAAGGGAAATATCTTCCCGTAACAACTAGGCAGAAGCATTCTCAGAAACTTATTTGAGATGTGTGTACTCAACTAAGAGAATTGAACCACCGTTTTGAAGGAGCAGTTTTGAAACACTCTTTTTCTGGAATCTGCAAGAGTATATTTGCCTAGCCTTGAGGATTTCGTTGGAAACGGGATTGTCTTCAGAGAAAATCTAGACAGAAGCATTCTCAGAAACTTCTTTGGGATGCTTGCATTCAAGTCACAGAGTAGAACATTCCCTTTGGTAGAGCAGGTTTGAAACACTCTTTTTGTAGTATCTGGAAGTGGACATTTGGAGCGCTTTCAGGCCTACGTTGGAAAAGGAAATATCTTCCCATAACAACTAGACAGAAGCATTCTCAGAAACTAGTTTCTGATGTGTGTCCTCAACTAACACAGTTGAACATTTCTTTAGACAGAACAGTTTTGAAACACTCTTTTTGTGGAATCTGCAAGTGGCTATTTGGCTAGATTTGAGGATTTCGTTGGAAACGGGATTACATATAAAAAGCAGTCAGCGGCATTCTCAGAAAGTTCTTTGTGATGATTGCATTCAAGTCACAGTAATTGAACATTCCCTTTCACAGAGCAGGTTTGAAACACTCTTTTTGTAGTGTGTGTAAGTGGACATTTGGAGCACTTACCGGCCTAAGGTGAAAAAGGAAATAATCTTCCCATAAAAACTAGACAGAAGCATTCTCAGAAACTTACTCGTGATGTGTGTCCTCAACTAAAGGAGTAGAACCTTTCTTTTCATAGAGAAGTTTTGAAACGCTCTTTTTGTGGAATCTGCAAGTGGATATTTGGCTAGTTTTGAGGATTTCGTTGGAAGCGGGAATTCATACAAATTGCAGACTGCAGCGTTCTGAGAAACATCTTTGTGATGTTTGTATTCAGGACACAGAGTTGAACATCCCCTATCATAGAGCAGGTTTGAATCACTCCTTTTGTAGTATCTGGAAGTGGACATTTGGAGCGCTTTCAGGCCTATGTTGGAAAAGGAAATATCTTCCCATAACAACTAGACAGAAGCATTCTCAGAAACTTATTTGAGATGTGTGTACTCAACTAAGAGAATTGAACCACCGTTTTGAAGGAGCAGTTTTGAAACACTCTTTTTCTGGAATCTGCAAGTGGCTATTTGGCTAGCTTTGGGGATTTCGCTGGAAGCGGGAATACATATAAAAAGCACACAGCAGCGTTCTGAGAAACTGCTTTCTGATGTTTGCATTCAAGTCAAAAGTTGAACACTCCCTTTCATAGAGCAGTCCTGAAACACTCCTTTTGTAGTATCTGGAACTGGACTTTTGGAGCGCTTTCAGGGCTAAGGTGAAAAAGGAAATATCTTCCCATAAAAACTGGACAGAAGCATTCTCAGAAACTTGTTTATGCTGTATCTACTCAACTAACAAAGTTGAACCTTTCTTTTGATAGAGCAGTTTTGAAATGCTCTTTTTGTGGAATCTGCAAGTGGATATTTGGCTAGTTTTGAGGATTTCGTTGGAAGCGGGAATTCATACAAATTGCAGACTGCAGCGTTCTGAGAAACATCTTTGTGATGTTTGTATTCAGGACAGAGAGTTGAACATTCCCTATCATAGAGCAGGTTGGAATCACTCCTTTTGTAGTATCTGGAAGTGGACATTTGGAGCGCTTTCAGGCCTATGTTGAAAAAGGAAATATCTTCCCATAACAACTAGACACAAGCATTCTCAGAAACTTGTTTGTGATGTGTGCCCTCTACTGACAGAGTTGAACCTTTCTTTTCATAGAGCAGTTTTGAAACACTCTTTTTGTAGAATCTGCAAGAGGATATTTGCATAGCTTTGAGGATTTCGTGGGAAACGGGATTGTCTTCAGGTAAAATCTAGACAGAAGCATTCTCAGAAACTTCTTTGGGATGTTTGCATTCAAGTCACAGAGTAGAACATTCCCTTTGGTAGAGCAGGTTTGAAACACTCTTTTTGTAGTATCTGGAAGTGGACATTTGGAGCGCTTTCAGGCCTATGTTGGAAAGGGAAATATCTTCCCGTAACAACTAGGCAGAAGCATTCTCAGAAACTTATTTGAGATGTGTGTACTCAACTAAGAGAATTGAACCACCGTTTTGAAGGAGCAGTTTTGAAACACTCTTTTTCTGGAATCTGCAAGAGGATATTTGCCTAGCCTTGAGGATTTCGTTGGAAACGGGATTGTCTTCAGATCAAATCTAGACAGAAGCATTCTCAGAAACTTCTTTGGGATGTTTGCATTCAAGTCACAGAGTAGAACATTCCCTTTGGTAGAGCAGGTTTGAAACACTCTTTTTTTAGTATATGGAAGTGGACATTTGGAGCGCTTTCAGGCCTACGTTGGAAAAGGAAATATCTTCCCATAACAACTAGACAGAAGCATTCTCAGAAACTAGTTTCTGATGTGTGTCCTCAACTAACACAGTTGAACATTTCTTTAGACAGAACAGTTTTGAAACACTCTTTTTGTGGAATCTGCAAGTGGCTATTTGGCTAGATTTGAGGATTTCGTTGGAAACGGGATTACATATAAAAAGCAGACAGCAGCATTCTCAGAAACTTCTTTGTGATGATTGCATTCAAGTCACAGAATTGAACATTCCCTTTCACAGAGCAGGTTTGAAACACTCTTTTTGTAGTGTGTGTAAGTGGACATTTGGAGCACTTTCCGGCCTAAGGTGAAATAGGAAATATCTTCCCATAAAAACTAGACAGAAGCATCTCAGAAACTTACTCGTGATGTGTGTCCTCAACTAAAGGAGTAGAACCTTTCTTTTCATAGAGAAGTTTTGAAACGCTCTTTTTGTGGAATCTGCAAGTGGATATTTGGCTAGTTTTGAGGATTTCGTTGGAAGCGGGAATTCATACAAATTGCAGACTGCAGCGTTCTGAGAAACATCTTTGTGATGTTTGTATTCAGGACACAGAGTTGAACATTCCCTATCATAGAGCAGGTTTGAATCACTCCTTTTGTAGTATCTGGAAGTGGACCTTTGGAGCGCTTTCAGGCCTATGTTGGAAAAGGAAATATCTTCCCATAACAACTAGACAGAAGCATTCTCAGAAACTTATTTGAGATGTGTGTACTCAACTAAGAGAATTGAACCACCGTTTTGAAGGAGCAGTTTTGAAACACTCTTTTTCTGGAATCTGCAAGTGGATATTTGGCTAGCTTTGGGGATTTCGCTGGAAGCGGGAATACATATAAAAAGCACACAGCAGCGTTCTGAGAAACTGCTTTCTGATGTTTGCATTCAAGTCAAAAGTTGAACACTCCCTTTCATAGAGCAGTCCTGAAACACTCCTTTTGTAGTATCTGGAACTGGACTTTTGGAGCGCTTTCAGGGCTAAGGTGAAAAAGGAAATATCTTCCCATAAAAACTGGACAGAAGCATTCTCAGAAACTTACTCGTATTGTGTGTCCTCAACTAAAGGAGTAGAACCTTTCTTTTCATAGAGAAGTTTTGAAACGCTCTTTTTGTGGAATCTGCAAGTGGATATTTGGCTAGTTTTGAGGATTTCGTTGGAAGCGGGAATTCATACAAATTGCAGACTGCAGCGTTCTGAGAAACTGCTTTCTGATGTTTGCATTCAAGTCAAAAGTTGAACACTCCCTTTCATAGAGCAGTCCTGAAACACCCCTTTTGTAGTATCTGGAACTGGACTTTTGGAGCGATTTCAGGGCTAAGGTGAAAAAGGAAATATCTTCCCATAAAAACTGGACAGAAGCATTCTCAGAAACTTGTTTATGCTGTATCTACTCTACTAAAAAAGTTGAACCTTTCTTTTGATAGAGCAGTTTTGAAATGCTCTTTTTGTGGAATCTGCAAGTGGATATTTGGCTAGATTTGAGGATTTCGTTGGAAGCTGGAATACATACAAATTGCAGACTGCAGCGTTCTGAGAAACATCTTTGTGATGTTTGTATTCAGGACACAGAGTTGAACATTCCCTATCATAGAGCAGGTTGGAATCACTCCTTTTGTAGTATCTGGAAGTGGACATTTGGAGCGCTTTCAGGCCTATGTTGAAAAAGGAAATATCTTCCCATAACAACTAGACACAAACATTCTCAGAAACTTGTTTGTGATGTGTGCCCTCTACTGACAGAGTTGAACCTTTCTTTTCATAGAGCAGTTTTGAAACACTCTTTTTGTAGAATCTGCAAGAGGATATTTGCATAGCTTTGAGGATTTCGTGGGAAACGGGATTGTCTTCAGGTAAAATCTAGACAGAAGCATTCTCAGAAACTTCTTTGGGATGTTTGCATTCAAGTCACAGAGTAGAACATTCCCTTTGGTAGAGTAGGTTTGAAACACTCTTTTTGTAGTATCTGGAAGTGGACATTTGGAGCGCTTTCAGGCCCATGTTGGAAAGGGAAATATCTTCCCGTAACAACTAGGCAGAAGCATTCTCAGAAACTTATTTGAGATGTGTGGACTCAACTAAGAGAATTGAACCACCGTTTTGAAGGAGCAGTTTTGAAACCCTCTTTTTCTGGAATCTGCAAGAGTATATTTGCCTAGCCTTGAGGATTTCGTTGGAAACGGGATTGTCTTCAGATAAAATCTAGACAGAAGCATTCTCAGAAACTTCTTTGGGATGTTTGCATTCAAGTCACAGAGTAGAACATTCCCTTTGGTAGAGCAGGTTTGAAACACTCTTTTTTTAGTATATGGAAGTGGACATTTGGAGCGCTTTCAGGCCTACGTTGGAAAAGGAAATATCTTCCCATAACAACTAGACAGAAGCATTCTCAGAAACTAGTTTCTGATGTGTGTCCTCAACTAACACAGTTGAACATTTCTTTAGACAGAACAGTTTTGAAACACTCTTTTTGTGGAATCTGCAAGTGGCTATTTGGCTAGATTTGAGGATTTCGTTGGAAACGGGATTACATATAAAAAGCAGTCAGCAGCATTCTCAGAAAGTTCTTTGTGATGATTGCATTCAAGTCACAGAATTGAACATTCCCTTTCACAGAGCAGGTTTGAAACACTCTTTTTGTAGTGTGTGTAAGTGGACATTTGGAGCACTTACCGGCCTAAGGTGAAAAAGGAAATATCTTCCCATAAAAACTAGACAGAAGCATTCTCAGAAACTTACTCGTGATGTGTGTCCTCAACTAAAGGAGTAGAACCTTTCTTTTCATAGAGAAGTTTTGAAACGCTCTTTTTGTGGAATCTGCAAGTGGATATTTGGCTAGTTTTGAGGATTTCGTTGGAAGCGGGAATTCATACAAATTGCAGACTGCAGCGTTCTGAGAAACATCTTTGTGATGTTTGTATTCAGGACACAGAGTTGAACATTCCCTATCATAGAGCAGGTTTGAATCACTCCTTTTGTAGTATCTGGAAGTGGACATTTGGAGCGCTTTCAGGCCTATGTTGGAAAAGGAAATATCTTCCCATAACAACTAGACAGAAGCATTCTCAGAAACTTATTTGAGATGTGTGTACTCAACTAAGAGAATTGAACCACCGTTTTGAAGGAGCAGTTTTGAAACACTCTTTTTCTGGAATCTGCAAGTGGATATTTGGCTAGCTTTGGGGATTTCGCTGGAAGCGGGAATACATATAAAAAGCACACAGCAGCGTTCTGAGAAACTGCTTTCTGATGTTTGCATTCAAGTCAAAAGTTGAACACTCCCTTTCATAGAGCAGTCCTGAAACACTCCTTTTGTAGTATCTGGAACTGGACTTTTGGAGCGCTTTCAGGGCTAAGGTGAAAAAGGAAATATCTTCCCATAAAAACTGGACAGAAGCATTCTCAGAAACTTGTTTATGCTGTATCTACTCAACTAACAAAGTTGAACCTTTCTTTTGATAGAGCAGTTTTGAAATGCTCTTTTTGTGGAATCTGCAAGTGGATATTTGGCTAGTTTTGAGGATTTCGTTGGAAGCGGGAATTCATACAAATTGCAGACTGCAGCGTTCTGAGAAACATCTTTGTGATGTTTGTATTCAGGACAGAGAGTTGAACATTCCCTATCATAGAGCAGGTTGGAATCACTCCTTTTGTAGTATCTGGAAGTGGACATTTGGAGCGCTTTCAGGCCTATGTTGAAAAAGGAAATATCTTCCCATAACAACTAGACACAAGCATTCTCAGAAACTTGTTTGTGATGTGTGCCCTCTACTGACAGAGTTGAACCTTTCTTTTCATAGAGCAGTTTTGAAACACTCTTTTTGTAGAATCTGCAAGAGGATATTTGCATAGCTTTGAGGATTTCGTGGGAAACGGGATTGTCTTCAGGTAAAATCTAGACAGAAGCATTCTCAGAAACTTCTTTGGGATGTTTGCATTCAAGTCACAGAGTAGAACATTCCCTTTGGTAGAGCAGGTTTGAAACACTCTTTTTGTAGTATCTGGAAGTGGACATTTGGAGCGCTTTCAGGCCTATGTTGGAAAGGGAAATATCTTCCCGTAACAACTAGGCAGAAGCATTCTCAGAAACTTATTTGAGATGTGTGTACTCAACTAAGAGAATTGAACCACAGTTTTGAAGGAGCAGTTTTGAAACACTCTTTTTCTGGAATCTGCAAGAGGATATTTGCCTAGCCTTGAGGATTTCGTTGGAAACGGGATTGTCTTCAGATCAAATCTAGACAGAAGCATTCTCAGAAACTTCTTTGGGATGTTTGCATTCAAGTCACAGAGTAGAACATTCCCTTTGGTAGAGCAGGTTTGAAACACTCTTTTTTTAGTATATGGAAGTGGACATTTGGAGCGCTTTCAGGCCTACGTTGGAAAAGGAAATATCTTCCCATAACAACTAGACAGAAGCATTCTCAGAAACTAGTTTCTGATGTGTGTCCTCAACTAACACAGTTGAACATTTCTTTAGACAGAACAGTTTTGAAACTCTCTTTTTGTGGAATCTGCAAGTGGCTATTTGGCTAGATTTGAGGATTTCGTTGGAAACGGGATTACATATAAAAAGCAGACAGCAGCATTCTCAGAAAGTTCTTTGTGATGATTGCATTCAAGTCACAGAATTGAACATTCCCTTTCACAGAGCAGATTTGAAACACTCTTTTTGTAGTGTGTGTAAGTGGACATTTGGAGCACTTTCCGGCCTAAGGTGAGAAAGGAAATATCTTCCCATAAAAACTAGACAGAAGAATTCTCAGAATCTTACTCGTGATGTGTGTCCTCAACTAAAGGAGTAGAACCTTTCTATTCATAGAGAAGTTTTCAAACGCTCTTTTTGTGGAATCTCCAAGTGGATATTTGGCTAGTTTTGAGGATTTCGTTGGAAGCGGGAATTCATACAAATTGCATACTGCAGCGTTCTGAGAAACATCTTTGTGATGTTTGTATTCAGGACACAGAGTTGAACATTCCCTATCATAGAGCAGGTTGGAATCACTCCTTTTGTAGTATCTGGAAGTGGACATTTGGAGCGCTTTCAGGCCTATGTTGGAAAAGGAAATATCTTCCCATAACAACTAGACAGAAGCATTCTCAGAAACTTATTTGAGATGTGTGTACTCAACTAAGAGAATTGAACCACCGTTTTGAAGGAGCAGTTTTGAAACTCTCTTTTTCTGGAATCTGCAAGTGGATATTTGGCTAGCTTTGGGGATTTCGCTGGAAGCGGGAATACATATAAAAAGCACACAGCAGCGTTCTGAGAAACTGCTTTCTGATGTTTGCATTCAAGTCAAAAGTTGAACACTCCCTTTCATAGAGCAGTCTTGAAACACCCCTTTTGTAGTATCTGGAACTGGACTTTTGGAGCGATTTCAGGGCTAAGGTGAAAAAGGAAATATCTTCCCATAAAAACTGGACAGAAGCATTCTCAGAAACTTGTTTATGCTGTATCTACTCAACTAACAAAGTTGAACCTTTCTTTTGATAGAGCAGTTTTGAAATGGTCTTTTTGTGGAATCTGCAAGTGGATATTTGGCTAGTTTTGAGGATTTCGTTGGAAGCGGGAATTCATACAAATTGCAGACTGCAGCGTTCTGAGAAACATCTTTGTGATGTTTGTATTCAGGACACAGAGTTGAACATTCCCTATCATAGAGCAGGTTGGAATCACTCCTTTTGTAGTATCTGGAAGTGGACATTTGGAGCGCTTTCAGGCCTATGTTGGAAAGGGAAATATCTTCCCGTAACAGCTATGCAGAAGCATTCTCAGAAACTTGTTTGTGATGTGTGCCCTCTACTGACAGAGTTGAACCTTTCTTTTCATAGAGCAGTTTTGAAACACTCTTTTTGTAGAATCTGCAAGAGGATATTTGCATAGCTTTGAGGATTTCGTGGGAAACGGGATTGTCTTCAGGTAAAATCTAGACAGAAGCATTCTCAGAAACTTCTTTGGGATGTTTGCATTCAAGTCACAGAGTAGAACATTCCCTTTGGTAGAGCAGGTTTGAAACACTCTTTTTGTAGTATCTGGAAGTGGACATTTGGAGCGCTTTCAGGCCCATGTTGGAAAGGGAAATATCTTCCCGTAACAACTAGGCAGAAGCATTCTCAGAAACTTATTTGAGATGTGTGTACTCAACTAAGAGAATTGAACCACCGTTTTGAAGGAGCAGTTTTGAAACACTCTTTTTCTGGAATCTGCAAGAGTATATTTGCCTAGCCTTGAGGATTTCGTTGGAAACGGGATTGTCTTCAGAGAAAATCTAGACAGAAACATTCTCAGAAACTTCTTTGGGATGCTTGCATTCCAGTCACAGAGTAGAACATTCCCTTTGGTAGAGCAGGTTTGAAACACTCTTTTTGTAGTATCTGGAAGTGGACATTTGGAGCGCTTTCAGGCCTACGTTGGAAAAGGAAATATCTTCCCATAACAACTAGACAGAAGCATTCTCAGAAACTAGTTTCTGATGTGTGTCCTCAACTAACACAGTTGAACATTTCTTTAGACAGAACAGTTTTGAAACACTCTTTTTGTGGAATCTGCAAGTGGCTATTTGGCTAGATTTGAGGATTTCGTTGGAAACGGGATTACATATAAAAAGCAGTCAGCAGCATTCTCAGAAAGTTCTTTGTGATGATTGCATTCAAGTCACAGAATTGAACATTCCCTTTCACAGAGCAGGTTTGAAACACTCTTTTTGTAGTGTGTGTAAGTGGACATTTGGAGCACTTACCGGCCTAAGGTGAAAAAGGAAATAATCTTCCCATAAAAACTAGACAGAAGCATTCTCAGAAACTTACTCGTGATGTGTGTCCTCAACTAAAGGAGTAGAACCTTTCTTTTCATAGAGAAGTTTTGAAACGCTCTTTTTGTGGAATCTGCAAGTGGATATTTGGCTAGTTTTGAGGATTTCGTTGGAAGCGGGAATTCATACAAATTGCAGACTGCAGCGTTCTGAGAAACATCTTTGTGATGTTTGTATTCAGGACACAGAGTTGAACATTCCCTATCATAGAGCAGGTTTGAATCACTCCTTTTCTAGTATCTGGAAGTGGACATTTGGAGCGCTTTCAGGCCTATGTTGGAAAAGGAAATATCTTCCCATAACAAATAGACAGAAGCATTCTCAGAAACTTATTTGAGATGTGTGTACTCAACTAAGAGAATTGAACCACCGTTTTGAAGGAGCAGTTTTGAAACACTCTTTTTCTGGAATCTGCAAGTGGATATTTGGCTAGCTTTGGGGATTTCGCTGGAAGCGGGAATACATATAAAAAGCACACAGCAGCGTTCTGAGAAACTGCTTTCTGATGTTTGCATTCAAGTCAAAAGTTGAACACTCCCTTTCATAGAGCAGTCCTGAAACACTCCTTTTGTAGTATCTGGAACTGGACTTTTGGAGCGCTTTCAGGGCTAAGGTGAAAAAGGAAATATCTTCCCATAAAAACTGGACAGAAGCATTCTCAGAAACTTGTTTATGCTGTATCTACTCAACTAACAAAGTTGAACCTTTCTTTTGATAGAGCAGTTTTGAAATGCTCTTTTTGTGGAATCTGCAAGTGGATATTTGGCTAGTTTTGAGGATTTCGTTGGAAGCGGGAATTCATACAAATTGCAGACTGCAGCGTTCTGAGAAACATCTTTGTGATGTTTGTATTCAGGACAGAGAGTTGAACATTCCCTATCATAGAGCAGGTTGGAATCACTCCTTTTGTAGTATCTGGAAGTGGACATTTGGAGCGCTTTCAGGCCTATGTTGAAAAAGGAAATATCTTCCCATAACAACTAGACACAAGCATTCTCAGAAACTTGTTTGTGATGTGTGCCCTCTACTGACAGAGTTGAACCTTTCTTTTCATAGAGCAGTTTTGAAACACTCTTTTTGTAGAATCTGCAAGAGGATATTTGCATAGCTTTGAGGATTTCGTGGGAAACGGGATTGTCTTCAGGTAAAATCTAGACAGAAGCATTCTCAGAAACTTCTTTGGGATGTTTGCATTCAAGTCACAGAGTAGAACATTCCCTTTGGTAGAGCAGGTTTGAAACACTCTTTTTGTAGTATCTGGAAGTGGACATTTGGAGCGCTTTCAGGCCTATGTTGGAAAAGGAAATATCTTCCCATAACAACTAGACAGAAGCATTCTCAGAAACTAGTTTCTGATGTGTGTCCTCAACTAACACAGTTGAACATTTCTTTAGACAGAACAGTTTTGAAACACTCTTTTTGTGGAATCTGCAAGTGGCTATTTGGCTAGATTTGAGGATTTCGTTGGAAACGGGATTACATATAAAAAGCAGACAGCAGCATTCTCAGAAAGTTCTTTGTGATGATTGCATTCAAGTCACAGAATTGAACATTCCCTTTCACAGAGCAGGTTTGAAACACTCTTTTTGTAGTGTGTGTAAGTGGACATTTGGAGCACTTTCCGGCCTAAGGTGAAAAAGGAAACATCTTCCCATAAAAACTAGACAGAAGCACTCTCAGAAACTTACTCGTGATGTGTGTCCTCAACTAAAGGAGTAGAACCTTTCTTTTCATAGAGAAGTTTTGAAACGCTCTTTTTGTGGAATCTGCAAGTGGATATTTGGCTAGTTTGGAGGATTTCGTTGGAAGCGGGAATTCATACAAATTGCAGACTGCAGCGTTCTGAGAAACATCTTTGTGATGTTTGTATTCAGGACACAGAGTTGAACATTCCCTATCATAGAGCAGGTTGGAATCACTCCTTTTGTAGTATCTGGAAGTGGACATTTGGAGCGCTTTCAGGCCTATGTTGGAAAAGGAAATATCTTCCCATAACAACTAGACAGAAGCATTCTCAGAAACTTATTTGAGATGTGTGTACTCAACTAAGAGAATTGAACCACCGTTTTGAAGGAGCAGTTTTGAAACACTCTTTTTCTGGAATCTGCAAGTGGATATTTGGCTAGCTTTGGGGATTTCGCTGGAAGCGGGAATACATATAAAAAGCACACAGCAGCGTTCTGAGAAACTGCTTTCTGATGTTTGCATTCAAGTCAAAAGTTGAACACTCCCTTTCATAGAGCAGTCCTGAAACACTCCTTTTGTAGTATCTGGAACTGGACTTTTGGAGCGCTTTCAGGGCTAAGGTGAAAAAGGAAATATCTTCCCATAAAAACTGGAGAGAATCATTCTCAGAAACTTGTTTATGCTGTATCTACTCAACTAACATAGTTGAACCTTTCTTTTGATAGAGCAGTTTTGAAATGCTCTTTTTGTGGAATCTGCAAGTGGATATTTGGCTAGTTTGGAGGATTTCGTTGGAAGCGGGAATTCATACAAATTGCAGACTGCAGCGTTCTGAGAAACTGCTTTCTGATGTTTGCATTCAAGTCAAAAGTTGTACACTCCCTTTCATAGAGCAGTCTTGAAACACCCCTTTTGTAGTATCTGGAACTGGAAATTTGGAGCGCTTTCAGGGCTAAGGTGAAAAAGGAAATATCTTCCCATAAAAACTGGACAGAAGCATTCTCAGAAACTTATTTGAGATGTGTGTACTCAACTAAGAGAATTGAACCACCGTTTTGAAGGAGCAGTTTTGAAACACTCTTTTTCTGGAATCTGCAAGTGGATATTTGGCTAGCTTTGGGGATTTCGCTGGAAGCGGGAATACATATAAAAAGCACACAGCAGCGTTCTGAGAAACTGCTTTCTGATGTTTGCATTCAAGTCAAAAGTTGAACACTCCCTTTCATAGAGCAGTCCTGAAACACTCCTTTTGTAGTATCTGGAACTGGACTTTTGGAGCACTTTCAGGGCTAAGGTGAAAAAGGAAATATCTTCCCATAAAAACTGGACAGAAGCATTCTCAGAAACTTGTTTATGCTGTATCTACTCAACTAACAAAGTTGAACCTTTCTTTTGATAGAGCAGTTTTGAAATGCTCTTTTTGTGGAATCTGCAAGTGGATATTTGGCTAGTTTTGAGGATTTCGTTGGAAGCGGGAATTCATACAAATTGCAGACTGCAGCGTTCTGAGAAACATCTTTGTGATGTTTGTATTCAGGACAGAGAGTTGAACATTCCCTATCATAGAGCAGGTTGGAATCACTCCTTTTGTAGTATCTGGAAGTGGACATTTGGAGCGCTTTCTGGCCTATTTTGGAAAGGGAAATATCTTCCCGTAACAACTATGCAGAAGCATTCTCAGAAACTTGTTTGTGATGTGTGCCCTCTACTGACAGAGTTGAACCTTTCTTTTCATAGAGCAGTTTTGAAACACTCTTTTTGTAGAATCTGCAAGAGGATATTTGCATAGCTTTGAGGATTTCGTGGGAAACGGGATTGTCTTCAGGTAAAATCTAGACAGAAGCATTCTCAGAAACTTCTTTGGGATGTTTGCATTCAAGTCACAGAGTAGAACATTCCCTTTGGTAGAGCAGGTTTGAAACCCACTTTTTGTAGTATCTGGAAGTGGACATTTGGAGCGCATTCAGGCCCATGTTGGAAAGGGAAATATCTTCCCGTAACAACTAGGCAGAAGCATTCTCAGAAACTTATTTGAGATGTGTGTACTCAACTAAGAGAATTGAACCACCGTTTTGAAGGAGCAGTTTTGAAACACTCTTTTTCTGGAATCTGCAAGAGGATATTTGCCTAGCCTTGAGGATTTCGTTGGAAACGGGATTGTCTTCAGATAAAATCTAGACAGAAGCATTCTCAGAAACTTCTTTGGGATGTTTGCATTCAAGTCACAGAGTAGAACATTCCCTTTGGTAGAGCAGGTTTGAAACACTCTTTTTTTAGTATATGGAAGTGGACATTTGGAGCACTTTCAGGCCTACGTTGGAAAAGGAAATATCTTCCCATAACAACTAGACAGAAGCATTCTCAGAAACTAGTTTCTGATGTGTGTCCTCAACTAACACAGTTGAACTTTTCTTTAGACAGAACAGTTTTGAAACACTCTTTTTGTGGAATCTGCAAGTGGATATTTGGCTAGATTTGAGGATTTCGTTGGAAACGGGATTACGTATAAAAAGCAGACAGCAGCATTCTCAGAAAGTTCTTTGTGATGACTGCATTCAAGTCACAGAATTGAACATTCCCTTTCACAGAGCAGGTTTGAAACACTCTTTTTGTAGTGTGTGTAAGTGGACATTTGGAGCGCTTTCCGGCCTAAGGTGAAAAAGGAAATATCTTCCCATAAAAACTAGACAGAAGCATTCTCAGAAACTTACTCGTGATGTGTGTCCTCAACTAAAGGAGTAGAAGCTTTCTATTCATAGAGAAGTTTTGAAACGCTCTTTTTGTGGAATCTCCAAGTGGATATTTGGCTAGTTTTGAGGATTTCGTTGGAAGCGGGAATTCATACAAATTGCAGACTGCAGCGTTCTGAGAAACATCTTTGTGATGTTTGTATTCAGGACACAGAGATGAACATTCCCTATCATAGAGCAGGTTGGAATCACTCCTTTTGTAGTATCTGGAAGTGGACATTTGGAGCGCTTTCAGGCCTATGTTGAAAAAGGAAATATCTTCCCATAACAACTAGACACAAGCATTCTCAGAAACTTGTTTGTGATGTGTGCCCTCTACTGACAGAGTTGAACCTTTCTTTTCATAGAGCAGTTTTGAAACACTCTTTTTGTAGAATCCGCAAGAGGATATTTGCATAGCTTTGAGGATTTCGTGGGAAACGGGATTGTCTTCAGGTAAAATCTAGAAAGAAGCATTCTCAGAAACTTCTTTGGGATGTTTGCATTCAAGTCACAGAGTAGAACATTCCCTTTGGTAGAGCAGGTTTGAAACACTCTTTTTGTAGTATCTGGAAGTGGACATTTGGAGCGCTTTCAGGCCCATGTTGGAAAGGGAAATATCTTCCCGTAACAACTAGGCAGAAGCATTCTCAGAAACTTATTTGAGATGTGTGTACTCAACTAAGAGAATTGAACCACCGTTTTGAAGGAGCAGTTTTGAAACACTCTTTTTCTGGAATCTGCAAGAGTATATTTGCCTAGCCTTGAGGATTTCGTTGGAAACGGGATTGTCTTCAGATAAAATCTAGACAGAAGCATTCTCAGAAACTTCTTTGGGATGTTTGCATTCAAGTCACAGAGTAGAACATTCCCTTTGGTAGAGCAGGTTTGAAACACTCTTTTTTTAGTATATGGAAGTGGACATTTGGAGCGCTTTCAGGCCTACGTTGGAAAAGGAAATATCTTCCCATAACAACTAGACAGAAGCATTCTCAGAAACTAGTTTCTGATGTGTGTCCTCAACTAACACAGTTGAACTTTTCTTTAGACAGAACAGTTTTGAAACACTCTTTTTGTGGAATCTGCAAGTGGATATTTGGCTAGATTTGAGGATTTCGTTGGAAACGGGATTACATATAAAAAGCAGACAGCAGCATTCTCACAAAGTTCTTTGTGATGATTGCATTCAAGTCACAGAATTGAACATTCCCTTTCACAGAGCAGGTTTGAAACACTCTTTTTGTAGTGTGTGTAAGTGGACATTTGGAGCGCTTTCCGGCCTAAGGTGAAAAAGGAAATATCTTCCCATAAAAACTAGACAGAAGCATTCTCAGAAACTTACTCGTGATGTGTGTCCTCAACTAAAGGTGTAGAACCTTTCTTTTCATAGAGAAGTTTTGAAACGCTCTTTTTGTGGAATCTCCAAGTGGATATTTGGCTAGTTTTGAGGATTTCGTTGGAAGCGGGAATTCATACAAATTGCAGACTGCAGCGTTCTGAGAAACATCTTTGTGATGTTTGTATTCAGGACACAGAGAGGAACATTCCCTATCATAGAGCAGGTTGGAATCACTCCTTTTGTAGTATCTGGAAGTGGACATTTGGAGCGCTTTCAGGCCTATGTTGAAAAAGGAAATATCTTCCCATAACAACTAGACACAAGCATTCTCAGAAACTTGTTTGTGATGTGTGCCCTCTACTGACAGAGTTGAACCTTTCTTTTCATAGAGCAGTTTTGAAACACTCTTTTTGTAGAATCTGCAAGAGGATATTTGCATAGCTTTGAGGATTTCGTGGGAAACGGGATTGTCTTCAGGAAAAATCTAGACAGAAGCATTCTCAGAAACTTCTTTGGGATGTTTACATTCAAGTCACAGAGTAGAACATTCCCTTTGGTAGAGCAGGTTTGAAACCCTCTTTTTGTAGTATCTGGAAGTGGACATTTGGAGCGCTTTCTGGCCCATGTTGCTAAGGGAAATATCTTCCCGTAACAACTAGGCAGAAAGCATTCTCTGAAACTTTTTTGAGATGTGTGTACGCAACTAAGAGAATTGAACCACCGTTTTGAAGGAGCAGTTTTGAAACACTCTTTTTCTGGAATCTGCTAGACGATATTTGCCTAGCCTTGAGGATTTCGTTGGAAACGGGATTGTCTTCAGATAAAATCTAGACAGAAGCATTCTCAGAAACTTCTTTGGGATGTTTGCATTCAAGTCACAGAGTAGAACATTCCCTTTGGTAGAGCAGGTTTGAAACACTCTTTTTTTAGTATATGGAAGTGGACATTTGGAGCGCTTTCAGGCCTACGTTGGAAAAGGAAATATCTTCCCATAACAACTAGACAGAAGCATTCTCAGAAACTAGTTTCTGATGTGTGTCCTCAACTAACACAGTTGAACATTTCTTTAGACAGAACAGTTTTGAAACACTCTTTTTGTGGAATCTGCAAGTGGCTATTTGGCTAGATTTGAGGATTTCGTTGGAAACGGGATTACATATAAAAAGCAGACAGCAGCATTCTCAGAAAGTTCTTTGTGATGATTGCATTCAAGTCACAGAATTGAACATTCCCTTTCACAGGGCTGGTTTGAAACACTCTTTTTGTAGTGTGTGTAAGTGGACATTTGGAGCACTTTCCGGCCTAAGGTGAAAAAGGAAATATCTTCCCATAAAAACTAGACAGAAGCATTCTCAGAAACTTACTCGTGATGTGTGTCCTCAACTAAAGGAGTAGAACCTTTCTTTTCATAGAGCCGTTTTGAAGCGCTCTTTTTGTGGAATCTGCAAGTGGATATTTGGCTAGTTTGGAGGATTTCGTTGGAAGCGGGAATTCATACAAATTGCAGACTGCAGCGTTCTGAGAAACATCTTTGTGATGTTTGTATTCAGGACACAGAGTTGAACATTCCCTATCATAGAGCAGGTTTGAATCACTCCTTTTGTAGTATCTGGAAGTGGACATTTGGAGCGCTTTCAGGCCTATGTTGGAAAAGGAAATATCTTCCCATAACAACTAGACAGAAGCATTCTCAGAAACTTATTTGAGATGTGTGTACTCAACTAAGAGAATTGAACCACCGTTTTGAAGGAGCAGTTTTGAAACACTCTTTTTCTGGAATCTGCAAGTGGATATTTGGCTAGCTTTGGGGATTTCGCTGGAAGCGGGAATACATATAAAAAGCACACAGCAGCGTTCTGAGAAACTGCTTTCTGATGTTTGCATTCAAGTCAAAAGTTGAACACTCCCTTTCATAGAGCAGTCCTGAAACACTCCTTTTGTAGTATCTGGAACTGGACTTTTGGAGCGCTTTCAGGGCTAAGGTGAAAAAGGAAATATCTTCCCATAAAAACTGGACAGAAGCATTCTCAGAAACTTGTTTATGCTGTATCTACTCAACTAACAAAGTTGAACCTTTCTTTTGATAGAGCAGTTTTGAAATGCTCTTTTTGTGGAATCTGCAAGTGGATATTTGGCTAGTTTTGAGGATTTCGCTGGAAGCGGGAATTCATACAAATTGCAGACTGCAGCGTTCTGAGAAACATCTTTGTGATGTTTGTATTCAGGACAGAGAGTTGAACATTCCCTATCATAGAGCAGGTTGGAATCACTCCTTTTGTAGTATCTGGAAGTGGACATTTGGAGCGCTTTCAGGCCTATGTTGAAAAAGGAAATATCTTCCCATAACAACTAGACACAAGCATTCTCAGAAACTTGTTTGTGATGTGTGCCCTCTACTGACAGAGTTGAACCTTTCTTTTCATAGAGCAGTTTTGAAACACTCTTTTTGTAGAATCTGCAAGAGGATATTTGCATAGCTTTGAGGATTTCGTGGGAAACGGGATTGTCTTCAGGTAAAATCTAGACAGAAGCATTCTCAGAAACTTCTTTGGGATGTTTGCATTCAAGTCACAGAGTAGAACATTCCCTTTGGTAGAGCAGGTTTGAAACACTCTTTTTGTAGTATCTGGAAGTGGACATTTGGAGCGCTTTCAGGCCTATGTTGGAAAGGGAAATATCTTCCGGTAACAACTAGGCAGAAGCATTCTCAGAAACTTATTTGAGATGTGTGTACTCAACTAAGAGAATTGAACCACCGTTTTGAAGGAGCAGTTTTGAAACACTCTTTTTCTGGAATCTGCAAGAGGATATTTGCCTAGCTTTGAGGATTTCGTTGGAAACGGGATTGTGTTCAGATCAAATCTAGACAGAAGCATTCTCAGAAACTTCTTTGGGATGTTTGCATTCAAGTCACAGAGTAGAACATTCCCTTTGGTAGAGCAGGTGTGAAACACTCTTTTTTTAGTATATGGAAGTGTACATTTGGAGCGCTTTCAGGCCTACGTTGGAAAACGAAATATCTTCCCATAACAACTAGACAGAAGCATTCTCAGAAACTAGTTTCTGATGTGTGTCCTCAACTAACACAGTTGAACATTTCTTTAGACAGAACAGTTTTGAAACTCTCTTTTTGTGGAATCTGCAAGTGGCTATTTGGCTAGATTTGAGGATTTCGTTGGAAACGGGATTACATATAAAAAGCAGACACCAGCATTCTCAGAAAGTTCTTTGTGATGATTGCATTCAAGTCACAGAATTGAACATTCCCTTTCACAGAGCAGGTTTGAAACACTCTTTTTGTAGTGTGTGTAAGTGGACATTTGGAGCACTTTCCGGCCTAAGGTGAAAAAGGAAATATCTTCCCATAAAAACTAGACAGAAGCATTCTCAGAAACTTACTCGTGATGTGTGTCCTCAACTAAAGGAGTAGAACCTTTCTTTCATAGAGAAGTTTTGAAACGCTCTTTTTGTGGAATCTGCAAGTGGATATTTGGCTAGTTTGGAGGATTTCGTTGGAAGCGGGAATTCATACAAATTGCAGACTGCAGCGTTCTGAGAAACATCTTTGTGATGTTTGTATTCAGGACACAGAGTTGAACATTCCCTATCATAGAGCAGGTTTGAATCACTCCTTTTGTAGTATCTGGAAGTGGACATTTGGAGCGCTTTCAGGCCTATGTTGGAAAAGGAAATATCTTCCCATAACAACTAGACAGAAGCATTCTCAGAAACTTATTTGAGATGTGTGTACTCAACTAAGAGAATTGAACCACCGTTTTGAAGGAGCAGTTTTGAAACACTCTTTTTCTGGAATCTGCAAGTGGATATTTGGCTAGCTTTGGGGATGTCGCTGGAGGCGGGAATACATATAAAAAGCACACAGCAGCGTTCTGAGAAACTGCTTTCTGATGTTTGCATTCAAGTCAAAAGTTGAACACTCCCTTTCATAGAGCAGTCCTGAAACACTCCTTTTGTAGTATCTGGAACTGGACTTTTGGAGCGCTTTCAGGGCTAAGGTGAAAAAGGAAATATCTTCCCATAAAAACTGGACAGAAGCATTCTCAGAAACTTGTTTATGCTGTATCTACTCAACTAACAAAGTTGAACCTTTCTTTTGATAGAGCAGTTTTGAAATGCTCTTTTTGTGGAATCTGCAAGTGGATATTTGGCTAGTTTTGAGGATTTCGTTGGAAGCGGGAATTCATACAAATTGCAGACTGCAGCGTTCTGAGAAACATCTTTGTGATGTTTGTATTCAGGACAGAGAGTTGAACATTCCCTATCATAGAGCAGGTTGGAATCACTCCTTTTGTAGTATCTGGAAGTGGACATTTGGAGCGCTTTCAGGCCTATGTTGAAAAAGGAAATATCTTCCCATAACAACTAGACACAAGCATTCTCAGAAACTTGTTTGTGATGTGTGCCCTCTACTGACAGAGTTGAACCTTTCTTTTCATAGAGCAGTTTTGAAACACTCTTTTTGTAGAATCTGCAAGAGGATATTTGCATAGCTTTGAGGATTTCGTGGGAAACGGGATTGTCTTCAGGTAAAATCTAGACAGAAGCATTCTCAGAAACTTCTTTGGGATGTTTGCATTCAAGTCACAGAGTAGAACATTCCCTTTGGTAGAGCAGGTTTGAAACACTCTTTTTGTAGTATCTGGAAGTGGACATTTGGAGCGCTTTCAGGCCTATGTTGGAAAGGGAAATATCTTCCCGTAACAACTAGGCAGAAGCATTCTCAGAAACTTATTTGAGATGTGTGTACTCAACTAAGAGAATTGAACCACCGTTTTGAAGGAGCAGTTTTGAAACACTCTTTTTCTGGAATCTGCAAGAGGATATTTGCCTAGCCTTGAGGATTTCGTTGGAAACGGGATTGTCTTCAGATCAAATCTAGACAGAAGCATTCTCAGAAACTTCTTTGGGATGTTTGCATTCAAGTCACAGAGTAGAACATTCCCTTTGGTAGAGCAGGTTTGAAACACTCTTTTTTTAGTATATGGAAGTGGACATTTGGAGCGCTTTCAGGCCTACGTTGGAAAAGGAAATATCTTCCCATAACAACTAGACAGAAGCATTCTCAGAAACTAGTTTCTGATGTGTGTCCTCAACTAACACAGTTGAACATTTCTTTAGACAGAACAGTTTTGAAACACTCTTTTTGTGGAATCTGTAAGTGGCTATTTGGCTAGATTTGAGGATTTCGTTGGAAACGGGATTACATATAAAAAGCAGACAGCAGCATTCTCAGAAAGTTCTTTGTGATGATTGCATTCAAGTCACAGAATTGAACATTCCCTTTCACAGAACAGGTTTGAAACACTCTTTTTGTAGTGTGTGTAAGTGGACATTTGGAGCACTTTCCGGCCTAAGGTGAAAAAGGAAATATCTTCCCATAAAAACTAGACAGAAGCATTCTCAGAAACTTACTCGTGATGTGTGTCCTCAACTAAAGGAGTAGAACCTTTCTTTTCATAGAGAAGTTTTGAAACGCTCTTTTTGTGGAATCTGCAAGTGGATATTTGGCTAGTTTTGAGGATTTCGTTGGAAGCGGGAATTCATACAAATTGCAGACTGCAGCGTTCTGAGAAACATCTTTGTGATGTTTGTATTCAGGACACAGAGTTGAACATTCCCTATCATAGAGCAGGTTTGAATCACTCCTTTTGTAGTATCTGGAAGTGGACATTTGGAGCGCTTTCAGGCCTATGTTGGAAAAGGAAATATCTTCCCATAACAACTAGACAGAAGCATTCTCAGAAACTTATTTGAGATGTGTGTACTCAACTAAGAGAATTGAACCACCGTTTTGAAGGAGCAGTTTTGAAACACTCTTTTTCTGGAATCTGCAAGTGGATATTTGGCTAGCTTTGGGGATTTCGCTGGAAGCGGGAATACATATAAAAAGCACACAGCAGCGTTCTGAGAAACTGCTTTCTGATGTTTGCATTCAAGTCAAAAGTTGAACACTCCCTTTCATAGAGCAGTCCTGAAACACTCCTTTTGCAGTATCTGGAACTGGACTTTTGGAGCGCTTTCAGGGCTAAGGTGAAAAAGGAAATATCTTCCCATAAAAACTGGACAGAAGCATTCTCAGAAACTTGTTTATGCTGTATCTACTCAACTAACAAAGTTGAACCTTTCTTTTGATAGAGCAGTTTTGAAATGCTCTTTTTGTGGAATCTGCAAGTGGATATTTGGCTAGTTTTGAGGATTTCGTTGGAAGCGGGAATTCATACAAATTGCAGACTGCAGCGTTCTGAGAAACATCTTTGTGATGTTTGTATTCAGGACACAGAGTGGAACATTCCCTATCATAGAGCAGGTTGGAATCACTCCTTTTGTAGTATCTGGAAGTGGACATTTGGAGCGCTTTCAGGCCTATGTTGAAAAAGGAAATATCTTCCCATAACAACTAGACACAAAGCATTCTCAGAAACTTATTTGAGATGTGTGTACTCAACTAAGAGAATTGAACCACCGTTTTGAAGGAGCAGTTTTGAAACACTCTTTTTCTGGAATCTGCAAGTGGATATTTGGCTAGCTTTGGGGATTTCGCTGGAGGCGGGAATACATATAAAAAGCACACAGCAGCGTTCTGAGAAACTGCTTTCTGATGTTTGCATTCAAGTCAAAAGTTGAACACTCCCTTTCATAGAGCAGTCCTGAAACACCCCTTTTGTAGTATCTGGAACTGGACTTTTGGAGCGATTTCAGGGCTAAGGTGAAAAAGGAAATATCTTCCCATAAAAACTGGACAGAAGCATTCTCAGAAACTTGTTTATGCTGTATCTACTCAACTAACAAAGTTGAACCTTTCTTTTGATAGAGCAGTTTTGAAATGGTCTTTTTGTGGAATCTGCAAGTGGATATTTGGCTAGTTTTGAGGATTTCGTTGGAAGCGGGAATTCATACAAATTGCAGACTGCAGCGTTCTGAGAAACATCTTTGTGATGTTTGTATTCAGGACACAGAGTTGAACATTCCCTATCATAGAGCAGGTTGGAATCACTCCTTTTGTAGTATCTGGAAGTGGACATTTGGAGCGCTTTCAGGCCTATTTTGGAAAGGGAAATATCTTCCCGTAACAACTATGCAGAAGCATTCTCAGAAACTTGTTTGTGATGTGTGCCCTCTACTGACAGAGTTGAACCTTTCTTTTCATAGAGCAGTTTTGAAACACTCTTTTTGTAGAATCTGCAAGAGGATATTTGCATAGCTTTGAGGATTTCGTGGGAAACGGGATTGTCTTCAGGTAAAATCTAGACAGAAGCATTCTCAGAAACTTCTTTGGGATGTTTGCATTCAAGTCACAGAGTAGAACATTCCCTTTGGTAGAGCAGGTTTGAAACACTCTTTTTGTAGTATCTGGAAGTGGACATTTGGAGCGCTTTCAGGCCCATGTTGGAAAGGGAAATATCTTCCCGTAACAACTAGGCAGAAGCATTCTCAGAAACTTATTTGAGATGTGTGTACTCAACTAAGAGAATTGAACCACCGTTTTGAAGGAGCAGTTTTGAAACACTCTTTTTCTGGAATCTGCAAGAGTATATTTGCCTAGCCTTGAGGATTTCGTTGGAAACGGGATTGTCTTCAGAGAAAATCTAGACAGAAGCATTCTCAGAAACTTCTTTGGGATGTTTGCATTCAAGTCACAGAGTAGAACATTCCCTTTGGTAGAGCAGGTTTGAAACACTCTTTTTTTAGTATATGGAAGTGGACATTTGGATCGCTTTCAGGCCTACGTTGGAAAAGGAAATATCTTCCCATAACAACTAGACAGAAGCATTCTCAGAAACTAGTTTCTGATGTGTGTCCTCAACTAACACAAGTTGAACATTTCTTTAGACAGAACAGTTTTGAAACACTCTTTTTGTGGAATCTGCAAGTGGCTATTTGGCTAGATTTGAGGATTTCGTTGGAAACGGGATTACATATAAAAAGCAGTCAGCAGCATTCTCAGAAAGTTCTTTGTGATGATTGCATTCAAGTCACAGAATTGAACATTCCCTTTCACAGAGCAGGTTTGAAACACTCTTTTTGTAGTGTGTGTAAGTGGACATTTGGAGCACTTACCGGCCTAAGGTGAAAAAGGAAATATCTTCCCATAAAAACTAGACAGAAGCATTCTCAGAAACTTACTCGTGATGTGTGTCCTCAACTAAAGGAGTAGAACCTTTCTTTTCATAGAGAAGTTTTGAAACGCTCTTTTTGTGGAATCTGCAAGTGGATATTTGGCTAGTTTTGAGGATTTCGTTGGAAGCGGGAATTCATACAAATTGCAGACTGCAGCGTTCTGAGAAACATCTTTGTGATGTTTGTATTCAGGACACAGAGTTGAACATTCCCTATCATAGAGCAGGTTGGAATCACTCCTTTTGTAGTATCTGGAAGTGGACATTTGGAGCGCTTTCAGGCCTATGTTGGAAAAGGAAATATCTTCCCATAACAACTAGACAGAAGCATTCTCAGAAACTTATTTGAGATGTGTGTACTCAACTAAGAGAATTGAACCACCGTTTTGAAGGAGCAGTTTTGAAACACTCTTTTTCTGGAATCTGCAAGTGGATATTTGGCTAGCTTTGGGGATTTCGCTGGAAGCGGGAATACATATAAAAAGCACACAGCAGCGTTCTGAGAAACTGCTTTCTGATGTTTGCATTCAAGTCAAAAGTTGAACACTCCCTTTCATAGAGCAGTCCTGAAACACTCCTTTTGTAGTGTCTGGAACTGGACTTTTGGAGCGCTTTCAGGGCTAAGGTGAAAAAGGAAATATCTTCCCATAAAAACTGGACAGAAGCATTCTCAGAAACTTGTTTATGCTGTATCTACTCAACTAACAAAGTTGAACCTTTCTTTTGATAGAGCAGTTTTGAAATGCTCTTTTTGTGGAATCTGCAAGTGGATATTTGGCTAGTTTTGAGGATTTCGTTGGAAGCGGGAATTCATACAAATTGCAGACTGCAGCGTTCTGAGAAACATCTTTGTGATGTTTGTATTCAGGACAGAGAGTTGAACATTCCCTATCATAGAGCAGGTTGGAATCACTCCTTTTGTAGTATCTGGAAGTGGACATTTGGAGCGCTTTCAGGCCTATGTTGAAAAAGGAAATATCTTCCCATAACAACTAGACACAAGCATTCTCAGAAACTTGTTTGTGATGTGTGCCCTCTACTGACAGAGTTGAACCTTTCTTTTCATAGAGCAGTTTTGAAACACTCTTTTTGTAGAATCTGCAAGAGGATATTTGCATAGCTTTGAGGATTTCGTGGGAAACGGGATTGTCTTCAGGTAAAATCTAGACAGAAGCATTCTCAGAAACTTCTTTGGGATGTTTGCATTCAAGTCACAGAGTAGAACATTCCCTTTGGTAGAGCAGGTTTGAAACACTCTTTTTGTAGTATCTGGAAGTGGACATTTGGAGCGCTTTCAGGCCTATGTTGGAAAAGGAAATATCTTCCCATAACAACTAGACAGAAGCATTCTCAGAAACTAGTTTCTGATGTGTGTCCTCAACTAACACAGTTGAACATTTCTTTAGACAGAACAGTTTTGAAACACTCTTTTTGTGGTATCTGCAAGTGGCTATTTGGCTAGATTTGAGGATTTCGTTGGAAACGGGATTACATATAAAAAGCAGACAGCAGCATTCTCAGAAACTTCTTTGTGATGATTGCATTCAAGTCACAGTATTGAATATTCCCTTTCACAGAGCAGGTTTGAAACACTCTTTGTATAGTGTGTGTAAGTGGACATTTGGAGCACTTTCCGGCCTAAGGTGAAAAAGGAAATATCTTCCCATAAAAACTAGACAGAAGCATTCTGAGAAACTTACTCGTGATGTGTGTCCTCAACTAAAGGAGTAGAACCTTTCTATTCATAGAGAAGTTTTGAAACGCTCTTTTTGTGGAATCTCCAAGTGGATATTTGGCTAGTGTTGAGGATTTCGTAGGAAGCGGGAATTCATCCAAATTGCAGACTGCAGCGTTGTGAGAAACATCTTTGTGATGTTTGTATTCAGGACACAGACATGAACATTCCCTATCATAGAGCAGGTTGGAATCACTCCTTTTGTAGTATCTGGAAGTGGACATTTGGAGCGCTTTCAGGCCTATGTTGAAAAAGGAAATATCTTCCCATAACAACTAGACACAAGCATTCTCAGAAACTTGTTTGTGATGTGTGCCCTCTACTGACAGAGTTGAACCTTTCTTTTCATAGAGCAGTTTTGAAACACTCTTTTTGTAGAATCCGCAAGAGGATATTTGCATAGCTTTGAGGATTTCGTGGGAAACGGGATTGTCTTCAGGTAAAATCTAGACAGAAGCATTCTCAGAAACTTCTTTGGGATGTTTGCATTCAAGTCACAGAGTAGAACATTCCCTTTGGTAGAGAAGGTTTGAAACACTCTTTTTGTAGTATCTGGAAGTGGACATTTGGAGCGCTTTCAGGCCCATGTTGGAAAGGGAAATATCTTCCCGTAACAACTAGGCAGAAGCATTCTCAGAAACTTTTTTGAGATGTGTGTACTCAACTAAGAGAATTGAACCACCGTTTTGAAGGAGCAGTTTTGAAACCCTCTTTTTCTGGAATCTGCAAGAGTATATTTGCCTAGCCTTGAGGATTTCGTTGGAAACGGGATTGTCTTCAGATAAAATCTAGACAGAAGCATTCTCAGAAACTTCTTTGGGATGTTTGCATTCAAGTCACAGAGTAGAATATTCCCTTTGGTAGAGCAGGTTTGAAACACTCTTTTTTTAGTATATGGAAGTGGACATTTGGAGCGCTTTCAGGCCTACGTTGGAAAAAGAAATATCTTCCCATAACAACTAGACAGAAGCATTCTCAGAAACTAGTTTCTGATGTGTGTCCTCAACTAACACAGTTGAACATTTCTTTAGACAGAACAGTTTTGAAACACTCTTTTTGTGGAATCTGCAAGTGGCTATTTGGCTAGATTTGAGGATTTCGTTGGAAACGGGATTACATATAAAAAGCAGACAGCAGCATTCTCAGAAAGTTCTTTGTGATGATTGCATTCAAGTCACAGAATTGAACATTCCCTTTCACAGAGCAGGTTTGAAACACTCTTTTTGTAGTGTGTGTAAGTGGACATTTGGAGCACTTTCCGGCCTAAGGTGAAAAAGGAAATATCTTTCCATAAAAACTAGACAGAAGCATTCTCAGAAACTTACTCGTGATGTGTGTCCTCAACTAAAGGAGTAGAACCTTTCTTTTCATAGAGAAGTTTTGAAACGCTCTTTTTGTGGAATCTGCAAGTGGATATTTGGCTAGTTTTGAGGATTTCGTTGGAAGCGGGAATTCATACAAATTGCAGACTGCAGCGTTCTGAGAAACATCTTTGTGATGTTTGTATTCAGGACACAGAGTTGAACATTCCCTATCATAGAGCAGGTTTGAATCACTCCTTTTGTAGTATCTGGAAGTGGACATTTGGAGCGCTTTCAGGCCTATGTTGGAAAAGGAAATATCTTCCCATAACAACTAGACAGAAGCATTCTCAGAAACTTATTTGAGATGTGTGTACTCAACTAAGAGAATTGAACCACCGTTTTGAAGGAGCAGTTTTGAAACACTCTTTTTCTGGAATCTGCAAGTGGATATTTGGCTAGCTTTGGGGATTTCGCTGGAAGCGGGAATACATATAAAAAGCACACAGCAGCGTTCTGAGAAACTGCTTTCTGATGTTTGCATTCAAGTCAAAAGTTGAACACTCCCTTTCATAGAGCAGTCTTGAAACACCCCTTTTGTAGTATCTGGAACTGGACTTTTGGAGCGATTTCAGGGCTAAGGTGAAAAAGGAAATATCTTCCCATAAAAACTGGACAGAAGCATTCTCAGAAACTTGTTTATGCTGTATCTACTCAACTAACAAAGTTGAACCTTTCTTTTGATAGAGCAGTTTTGAAATGGTCTTTTTGTGGAATCTGCAAGTGGATATTTGGCTAGTTTTGAGGATTTCGTTGGAAGCGGGAATTCATACAAATTGCAGACTGCAGCGTTCTGAGAAACATCTTTGTGATGTTTGTATTCAGGACACAGAGTTGAACATTCCCTATCATAGAGCAGGTTGGAATCACTCCTTTTGTAGTATCTGGAAGTGGACATTTGGAGCGCTTTCAGGCCTATTTTGGAAAGGGAAATATCTTCCCGTAACAACTATGCAGAAGCATTCTCAGAAACTTGTTTGTGATGTGTGCCCTCTACTGACAGAGTTGAACCTTTCTTTTCATAGAGCAGTTTTGAAACACTCTTTTTGTAGAATCTGCAAGAGGATATTTGCATAGCTTTGAGGATTTCGTGGGAAACGGGATTGTCTTCAGGTAAAATCTAGACAGAAGCATTCTCAGAAACTTCTTTGGGATGTTTGCATTCAAGTCACAGAGTAGAACATTCCCTTTGGTAGAGCAGGTTTGAAACACTCTTTTTGTAGTATCTGGAAGTGGACATTTGGAGCGCTTTCAGGCCCATGTTGGAAAGGGAAATATCTTCCCGTAACAACTAGGCAGAAGCATTCTCAGAAACTTATTTGAGATGTGTGTACTCAACTAAGAGAATTGAACCACCGTTTTGAAGGAGCAGTTTTGAAACACTCTTTTTCTGGAATCTGCAAGAGTATATTTGCCTAGCCTTGAGGATTTCGTTGGAAACGGGATTGTCTTCAGAGAAAATCTAGACAGAAGCATTCTCAGAAACTTCTTTGGGATGTTTGTATTCAAGTCACAGAGTAGAACATTCCCTTTGGTAGAGCAGGTTTGAAACACTCTTTTTTTAGTATATGGAAATGGACATTTGGAGCGCTTTCAGGCCTACGTTGGAAAAGGAAATATCTTCCCATAACAACTAGACAGAAGCATTCTCAGAAACTAGTTTCTGATGTGTGTCCTCAACTAACACAGTTGAACTTTTCTTTAGACAGAACAGTTTTGAAACACTCTTTTTGTGGAATCTGCAAGTGGCTATTTGGCTAGATTTGAGGATTTCGTTGGAAACGGGATTACATATAAAAAGCAGTCAGCAGCATTCTCAGAAAGTTCTTTGTGATGATTGCATTCAAGTCACAGAATTGAACATTCCCTTTCACAGAGCAGGTTTGAAACACTCTTTTTGTAGTGTGTGTAAGTGGACATTTGGAGCACTTACCGGCCTAAGGTGAAAAAGGAAATATCTTCCCATAAAAACTAGACAGAAGCATTCTCAGAAACTTACTCGTGATGTGTGTCCTCAACTAAAGTAGTAGAACCTTTCTTTTCATAGAGAAGTTTTGAAACGCTCTTTTTGTGGAATCTGCAAGTGGATATTTGGCTAGTTTTGAGGATTTCGTTGGAAGCGGGAATTCATACAAATTGCAGACTGCAGCGTTCTGAGAAACATCTTTGTGATGTTTGTATTCAGGACACAGAGTTGAACATTCCCTATCATAGAGCAGGTTTGAATCACTCCTTTTGTAGTATCTGGAAGTGGACATTTGGAGCGCTTTCAGGCCTATGTTGGAAAAGGAAATATCTTCCCATAACAACTAGACAGAAGCATTCTCAGAAACTTATTTGAGATGTGTCTACTCAACTAAGAGAATTGAACCACCGTTTTGAAGGAGCAGTTTTGAAACACTCTTTTTCTGGAATCTGCAAGTGGATATTTGGCTAGCTTTGGGGATTTCGCTGGAAGCGGGAATACATATAAAAAGCACACAGCAGCGTTCTGAGAAACTGCTTTCTGATGTTTGCATTCAAGTCAAAAGTTGAACACTCCCTTTCATAGAGCAGTCTTGAAACACCCCTTTTGTAGTATCTGGAACTGGACTTTTGGAGCGATTTTAGGGCTAAGGTGAAAAAGGAAATATCTTCCCAGAAAAACTGGACAGAAGCATTCTCAGAAACTTGTTTATGCTGTATCTACTCAACTAACAAAGTTGAACCTTTCTTTTGATAGAGCAGTTTTGAAATGGTCTTTTTGTGGAATCTGCAAGTGGATATTTGGCTAGTTTTGAGGATTTCGTTGGAAGCGGGAATTCATACAAATTGCAGACTGCAGCGTTCTGAGAAACATCTTTGTGATGTTTGTATTCAGGACACAGAGTTGAACATTCCCTATCATAGAGCAGGTTGGAATCACTCCTTTTGTAGTATCTGGAAGTGGACATTTGGAGCGCTTTCAGGCCTATTTTGGAAAGGGAAATATCTTCCCGTAACAACTATGCAGAAGCATTCTCAGAAACTTGTTTGTGATGTGTGCCCTCTACTGACAGAGTTGAACCTTTCTTTTCATAGAGCAGTTTTGAAACACTCTTTTTGTAGAATCTGCAAGAGGATATTTGCATAGCTTTGAGGATTTCGTGGGAAACGGGATTGTCTTCAGGTAAAATCTAGACAGAAGCATTCTCAGAAACTTCTTTGGGATGTTTGCATTCAAGTCACAGAGTAGAACATTCCCTTTGGTAGAGCAGGTTTGAAACACTCTTTTTGTAGTATCTGGAAGTGGACATTTGGAGCGCTTTCAGGCCCATGTTGGAAAGGGAAATATCTTCCCGTAACAACTAGGCAGAAGCATTCTCAGAAACTTATTTGAGATGTGTGTACTCAACTAAGAGAATTGAACCACCGTTTTGAAGGAGCAGTTTTGAAACACTCTTTTTCTGGATTCTGCAAGAATATATTTGCCTAGCCTTGAGGATTTCGTTGGAAACGGGATTGTCTTCAGATAAAATCTAGACAGAAGCATTCTCAGAAACTTCTTTGGGATGTTTGCATTCAAGTCACAGAGTAGAACATTCTCTTTGGTAGAGCAGGTTTGAAACACTCTTTTTTTAGTATCTGGAAGTGGACATTTGGAGCGCTTTCAGGCCTACGTTGGAAAAGGAAATATCTTCCCATAACAACTAGACAGAAGCATTCTCAGAAACTAGTTTCTGATGTGTGTCCTCAACTAACACAGTTGTACATTTCTTTAGACAGAACAGTTTTGAAACACTCTTTTTGTGGAATCTGCAAGTGGATATTGGGCTAGATTTGAGGATTTCGTTGGAAACGGGATTACATATAAAAAGCAGTCAGCAGCATTCTCAGAAAGTTCTTTGTGATGATTGCATTCAAGTCACAGAATTGAACATTCCCTTTCACAGAGCAGGTTTGAAACACTCTTTTTGTAGTGTGTGTAAGTGGACATTTGGAGCGCTTTCCGGCCTAAGGTGAAAAAGGACATATCTTCCCATAAAAACTAGACAGAAGCATTCTCAGAAACTTACTCGTGATGTGTGTCCTCAACTAAAGGAGTAGAACCTTTCTATTCATAGAGAAGTTTTGAAACGCTCTTTTTGTGGAATCTCCAAGTGGATATTTGGCTAGTTTTGAGGATTTCGTTGGAAGCGGGAATTCATACAAATTGCAGACTGCAGCGTTCTGAGAAACATCTTTGTGATGTTTGTATTCAGGACACAGAGATGAACATTCCCTATCATAGAGCAGGTTGGAATCACTCCTTTTGTAGTATTTGGAAGTGGACATTTGGAGCGCTTTCAGGCCTATGTTGAAAAAGGAAATATCTTCCCATAACAACTAGACACAAGCATTCTCAGAAACTTGTTTGTGATGTGTGCCCTCTACTGACAGAGTTGAACCTTTCTTTTCATAGAGCAGTTTTGAAACACTCTTTTTGTAGAATCTGCAAGAGGATATTTGCATAGCTTTGAGGATTTCGTGGGAAACGGGATTGTCTTCAGGTAAAATCTAGACAGAAGCATTCTCAGAAACTTCTTTGGGATGTTTGCATTCAAGTCACAGAGTAGAACATTCCCTTTGGTAGAGCAGGTTTGAAACACTCTTTTTGTAGTATCTGGAAGTGGACATTTGGAGCGCGTTCAGGCCCATGTTGGAAAGGGAAATATCTTCCCGTAACAACTAGGCAGAAGCATTCTCAGAAACTTATTTGAGATGTGTGGACTCAACTAAGAGAATTGAACCACCGTTTTGAAGGAGCAGTTTTGAAACACTCTTTTTCTGGAATCTGCAAGAGTATATTTGCCTAGCCTTGAGAATTTCGTTGGAAACGGGATTGTCTTCAGATAAAATCTAGACAGAAGCATTCTCAGAAACTTCTTTGGGATGCTTGCATTCAAGTCACAGAGTAGAACATTCCCTTTGGTAGAGCAGGTTTGAAACACTCTTTTTGTAGTATCTGGAAGTGGACATTTGGAGCGCTTTCAGGCCTACGTTGGAAAAGGAAATATCTTCCCATAACAACTAGACAGAAGCATTCTCAGAAACTAGTTTCTGATGTGTGTCCTCAACTAACACAGTTGAACATTTCTTTAGACAGAACAGTTTTGAAACACTCTTTTTGTGGAATCTGCAAGTGGCTATTTGGCTAGATTTGAGGATTTCGTTGGAAACGGGATTACATATAAAAAGCAGTCAGCGGCATTCTCAGAAAGTTCTTTGTGATGATTGCATTCAAGTCACAGAATTGAACATTCCCTTTCACAGAGCAGGTTTGAAACACTCTTTTTGTAGTGTGTGTAAGTGGACATTTGGAGCACTTACCGGCCTAAGGTGAAAAAGGAAATAATCTTCCCATAAAAACTAGACAGAAGCATTCTCAGAAACTTACTCGTGATGTGTGTCCTCAACTAAAGGAGTAGAACCTTTCTTTTCATAGAGAAGTTTTGAAACGCTCTTTTTGTGGAATCTGCAAGTGGATATTTGGCTAGTTTTGAGGATTTCGTTGGAAGCGGGAATTCATACAAATTGCAGACTGCAGCGTTCTGAGAAACATCTTTGTGATGTTTGTATTCAGGACACAGAGTTGAACATTCCCTATCATAGAGCAGGTTGGAATCACTCCTTTTGTAGTATCTGGAAGTGGACATTTGGAGCGCTTTCAGGCCTATGTTGGAAAAGGAAATATCTTCCCATAACAACTAGACAGAAGCATTCTCAGAAACTTATTTGAGATGTGTGTACTCAACTAAGAGAATTGAACCACCGTTTTGAAGGAGCAGTTTTGAAACTCTCTTTTTCTGGAATCTGCAAGTGGATATTTGGCTAGCTTTGGGGATTTCGCTGGAAGCGGGAATACATATAAAAAGCACACAGCAGCGTTCTGAGAAACTGCTTTCTGATGTTTGCATTCAAGTCAAAAGTTGAACACTCCCTTTCATAGAGCAGTCCTGAAACACCCCTTTTGTAGTATCTGGAACTGGACTTTTGGAGCGATTTCAGGGCTAAGGTGAAAAAGGAAATATCTTCCCATAAAAACTGGACAGAAGCATTCTCAGAAACTTGTTTATGCTGTATCTACTCAACTAACAAAGTTGAACCTTTCTTTTGATAGAGCAGTTTTGAAATGGTCTTTTTGTGGAATCTGCAAGTGGATATTTGGCTAGTTTTGAGGATTTCGTTGGAAGCGGGAATTCATACAAATTGCAGACTGCAGCGTTCTGAGAAACATCTTTGTGATGTTTGTATTCAGGACACAGAGTTGAACATTCCCTATCATAGAGCAGGTTGGAATCACTCCTTTTGTAGTATCTGGAAGTGGACATTTGGAGCGCTTTCAGGCCTATTTTGGAAAGGGAAATATCTTCCCGTAACAACTATGCAGAAGCATTCTCAGAAACTTGTTTGTGATGTGTGCCCTCTACTGACAGAGTTGAACCTTTCTTTTCATAGAGCAGTTTTGAAACACTCTTTTTGTAGAATCTGCAAGAGGATATTTGCATAGCTTTGAGGATTTCGTGGGAAACGGGATTGTCTTCAGGTAAAATCTAGACAGAAAGCATTCTCAGAAACTTCTTTGGGATGTTTGCATTCAAGTCACAGAGTAGAACATTCCCTTTGGTAGAGCAGGTTTGAAACACTCTTTTTGTAGTATCTGGAAGTGGACATTTGGAGCGCTTTCAGGTCCATGTTGGAAAGGGAAATATCTTCCCGTAACAACTAGGCAGAGCATTCTCAGAAACTTATTTGAGATGTGTGTACTCAACTAAGAGAATTGAACCACCGTTTTGAAGGAGCAGTTTTGAAACACTCTTTTTCTGGAATCTGCAAGAGTATATTTGCCTAGCCTTGAGGATTTCGTTGGAAACGGGATTGTCTTCAGAGAAAATCTAGACAGAAGCATTCTCAGAAACTTCTTTGGGATGTTTGCATTCAAGTCACAGAGTAGAACATTCCCTTTGGTAGAGCAGGTTTGAAACACTCTTTTTTTAGTATATGGAAGTGGACATTTGGAGCGCTTTCAGGCCTACGTTGGAAAAGGAAATATCTTCCCATAACAACTAGACAGAAGCATTCTCAGAAACTAGTTTCTGATGTGTGTCCTCAACTAACACAGTTGAACATTTCTTTAGACAGAACAGTTTTGAAACACTCTTTTTGTGGAATCTGCAAGTGGCTATTTGGCTAGATTTGAGGATTTCGTTGGAAACGGGATTACATATAAAAAGCAGTCAGCAGCATTCTCAGAAAGTTCTTTGTGATGATTGCATTCAAGTCACAGAATTGAACATTCCCTTTCACAGAGCAGGTTTGAAACACTCTTTTTGTAGTGTGTGTAAGTGGACATTTGGAGCACTTACCGGCCTAAGGTGAAAAAGGAAATATCTTCCCATAAAAACTAGACAGAAGCATTCTCAGAAACTTACTCGTGATGTGTGTCCTCAACTAAAGGAGTAGAACCTTTCTTTTCATAGAGAAGTTTTGAAACGCTCTTTTTGTGGAATCTGCAAGTGGATATTTGGCTAGTTTTGAGGATTTCGTTGGAAGCGGGAATTCATACAAATTGCAGACTGCAGCGTTCTGAGAAACATCTTTGTGATGTTTGTATTCAGGACACAGAGTTGAACATTCCCTATCATAGAGCAGGTTTGAATCACTCCTTTTGTAGTATCTGGAAGTGGACATTTGGAGCGCTTTCAGGCCTATGTTGGAAAAGGAAATATCTTCCCATAACAACTAGACAGAAGCATTCTCAGAAACTTATTTGAGATGTGTGTACTCAACTAAGAGAATTGAACCACCGTTTTGAAGGAGCAGTTTTGAAACACTCTTTTTCTGGAATCTGCAAGTGGATATTTGGCTAGCTTTGGGGATTTCGCTGGAAGCGGGAATACATATAAAAAGCACACAGCAGCGTTCTGAGAAACTGCTTTCTGATGTTTGCATTCAAGTCAAAAGTTGAACACTCCCTTTCATAGTGCAGTCCTGGAACACTCCTTTTGTAGTATCTGGAACTGGACTTTTGGAGCGCTTTCAGGGCTAAGGTGAAAAAGGAAATATCTTCCCATAAAAACTGGACAGAAGCATTCTCAGAAACTTGTTTATGCTGTATCTACTCAACTAACAAAGTTGAACCTTTCTTTTGATAGAGCAGTTTTGAAATGCTCTTTTTGTGGAATCTGCAAGTGGATATTTGGCTAGTTTTGAGGATTTCGCTGGAAGCGGGAATTCATACAAATTGCAGACTGCAGCGTTCTGAGAAACATCTTTGTGATGTTTGTATTCAGGACACAGAGTTGAACATTCCCTATCATAGAGCAGGTTTGAATCACTCCTTTTGTAGTATCTGGAAGTGGACATTTGGAGCGCTTTCAGGCCCTATGTTGGAAAAGGAAATATCTTCCCATAACAACTAGACAGAAGCATTCCCAGAAACTTATTTGAGATGTGTGTACTCAACTAAGAGAATTGAACCACCGTTTTGAAGGAGCAGTTTGAAAACACTCTTTTTCTGGAATCTGCAAGTGGATATTTGGCTAGCTTTGGGGATTTCGCTGGAAGCGGGAATACATATAAAAAGCACACAGCAGCGTTCTGAGAAACTGCTTTCTGATGTTTGCATTCAAGTCAAAACTTGAACACTCCCTTTCATAGAGCAGTCTTGAAACACCCCTTTTGTAGTATCTGGAACTGGAAATTTGGAGCGCTTTCAGGGCTAAGGTGAAAAAGGAAATATCTTCCCATAAAAACTGGACAGAAGCATTCTCAGAAACTTGTTTATGCTGTATCTACTCAACTAACAAAGTTGAACCTTTCTTTTGATAGAGCAGTTTTGAAATGCTCTTTTTGTGGAATCTGCAAGTGGATATTTGGCTAGTTTTGAGGATTTCGTTGGAAGCGGGAATTCATACAAATTGCAGACTGCAGCGTTCTGAGAAACATCTTTGTGATGTTTGTATTCAGGACACAGAGTTGAACATTCCCTATCATAGAGCAGGTTGGGATCACTCCTTTTGTAGTATCTGGAAGTGGACATTTGGAGCGCTTTCAGGCCTATGTTGAAAAAGGAAAAATCTTCCCATAACAACTAGACAGAAGCATTCTCAGAAACTTGTTGGTGATGTGTTTCCTCTACTGACAGAGTTGAACCTTTCTTTTCATAGAGCAGTTTCGAAACACTCTTTTTGTAGAATCTGCAAGAGGATATTTGCATAGCTCTGAGGATTTCGTGGGAAACGGGATTGTCTTCAGGTAAAATCTAGACAGAAGCATTCTCAGAAACTTCTTCGGGATGTTTGCATTCAAGTCACAGAGTAGAACATTCCCTTTGGTAGAGCAGGTTTGAAACACTCTTTTTGTAGTATCTGGAAGTGGACATTTGTTGCGCTTTCAGGCCTATGTTGGAAAGGGAAATATCTTCCCGTAACAACTAGGCAGAAGCATTCTCAGAAACTTATTTGAGATGTGTGTACTCAACTAAGAGAATTGAACCACCGTTTTGAAGGAGCAGTTTGGAAACACTCTTTTTCTGGAATCTGCAAGAGGATATTTGCCTAGCTTTGAGGATTTCGTTGGAAAAGGGATTGTCTTCAGATCAAATCTAGACAGAAGCATTCTCAGAAACTTCTTTGGGATGTTTGCATTCAAGTCACAGAGTAGAACATTCCTTTGGTAGAGCAGGTTTGAAACACTCTTTTTTTAGTATATGGAAGTGGACATTTGGAGCGCTTTCAGGCCTACGTTGGAAAAGGAAATATCTTCCCATAACAACTAGACAGAAGCATTCTCAGAAACTAGTTTCTGATGTGTGTCCTCAACTAACACAAGTTGAACTTTTCTTTAGACAGAACAGTTTTGAAACACTCTTTTTGTGGAATCTGCAAGTGGATATTTGGCTAGATTTGAGGATTTCGTTGGAAACGGGATTACATATAAAAAGCAGACAGCAGCATTCTCAGAAAGTTCTTTGTGATGATTGCATTCAAGTCACAGAATTGAACATTCCGTTTCACAGAGCAGGTTTGAAACACTCTTTTTGTAGTGTGTGTAAGTGGACATTTGGAACCCTTACCGGCCTAAGGTGAAAAAGGAAATATCTTCCCATAAAAACTAGACAGAAGCATTCTCAGAAACTTACTCGTGATGTGTGTCCTCAACTAAAGGAGTAGAACCTTTCTTTTCATAGAGAAGTTTTGAAACGCTCTTTTTGTGGAATCTGCAAGTGGATATTTGGCTAGTTTTGAGGATTTCGTTGGAAGCGGGAATTCATACAAATTGCAGACTGCAGCGTTCTGAGAAACATCTTTGTGATGTTTGTATTCAGGACACAGAGTTGAACATTCCCTATCATAGAGCAGGTTTGAATCACTCCTTTTGTAGTATCTGGAAGTGGACATTTGGAGCGCTTTCAGGCCTATGTTGGAAAAGGAAATATCTTCCCATAACAACTAGACAGAAGCATTCTCAGAAACTTATTTGAGATGTGTGTACTCAACTAAGAGAATTGAACCACCGTTTTGAAGGAGCAGTTTTGAAACTCTCTTTTTCTGGAATCTGCAAGTGGATATTTGGCTAGCTTTGGGGATTTCGCTGGAAGCGGGAATACATATAAAAAGCACACAGCAGCGTTCTGAGAAACTGCTTTCTGATGTTTGCATTCAAGTCAAAAGTTGAACACTCCCTTTCATAGAGCAGTCTTGAAACACCCCTTTTGTAGTATCTGGAACTGGACTTTTGGAGCGATTTCAGGGCTAAGGTGAAAAAGGAAATATCTTCCCATAAAAACTGGACAGAAGCATTCTCAGAAACTTGGTTATGCTGTATCTACTCAACTAACAAAGTTGAACCTTTCTTTTGATAGAGCAGTTTTGAAATGGTCTTTTTGTGGAATCTGCAAGTGGATATTTGGCTAGTTTTGAGGATTTCGTTGGAAGCGGGAATTCATACAAATTGCAGACTGCAGCGTTCTGAGAAACATCTTTGTGATGTTTGTATTCAGGACAGAGAGTTGAACATTCCCTATCATAGAGCAGGTTGGAATCACTCCTTTTGTAGTATCTGGAAGTGGACATTTGGAGCGCTTTCAGGCCTATTTTGGAAAGGGAAATATCTTCCCGTAACAACTATGCAGAAGCATTCTCAGAAACTTGTTTGTGATGTGTGCCCTCTACTGACAGAGTTGAACCTTTCTTTTCATAGAGCAGTTTTGAAACACTCTTTTTGTAGAATCTGCAAGAGGATATTTGCATAGCTTTGAGGATTTCGTGGGAAACGGGATTGTCTTCAGGTAAAATCTAGACAGAAGCATTCTCAGAAACTTCTTTGGGATGTTTGCATTCAAGTCACAGAGTAGAACATTCCCTTTGGTAGAGCAGGTTTGAAACACTCTTTTTGTAGTATCTGGAAGTGGACATTTGGAGCGCTTTCAGGCCCATGTTGGAAAGGGAAATATCTTCCCGTAACAACTAGGCAGAAGCATTCTCAGAAACTTATTTGAGATGTGTGTACTCAACTAAGAGAATTGAACCACCGTTTTGAAGGAGCAGTTTTGAAACACTCTTTTTCTGGAATCTGCAAGAGGATATTTGCCTAGCCTTGAGGATTTCGTTGGAAACGGGATTGTCTTCAGAGAAAATCTAGACAGAAGCATTCTCAGAAACTTCTTTGGGATGCTTGCATTCAAGTCACAGAGTAGAACATTCCCTTTGGTAGAGCAGGTTTGAAACACTCTTTTTTTAGTATCTGGAAGTGGACATTTGGAGCGCTTTCAGGCCTACGTTGGAAAAGGAAATATCTTCCCATAACAACTAGACAGAAGCATTCTCAGAAACTCGTTTCTGATGTGTGTCCTCAACTAACACAGTTGAACATTTCTTTAGACAGAACAGTTTTGAAACACTCTTTTTGTGGAATCTGCAAGTGGCTATTTGGCTAGATTTGAGGATTTCGTTGGAAACGGGATTACATATAAAAAGCAGTCAGCAGCATTCTCAGAAAGTTCTTTGTGATGATTGCATTCAAGTCACAGAATTGAACATTCCCTTTCACAGAGCAGGTTTGAAACACTCTTTTTGTAGTGTGTGTAAGTGGACATTTGGAGCACTTACCGGCCTAAGGTGAAAAAGGAAATATCTTCCCATAAAAACTAGACAGAAGCATTCTCAGAAACTTACTCGTGATGTGTGTCCTCAACTAAAGGAGTAGAACCTTTCTTTTCATAGAGAAGTTTTGAAACGCTCTTTTTGTGGAATCTGCAAGTGGATATTTGGCTAGTTTTGAGGATTTCGTTGGAAGCGGGAATTCATACAAATTGCAGACTGCAGCGTTCTGAGAAACATCTTTGTGATGTTTGTATTCAGGACACAGAGTTGAACATTCCCTATCATAGAGCAGGTTGGAATCACTCCTTTTGTAGTATCTGGAAGTGGACATTTGGAGCGCTTTCAGGCCTATGTTGGAAAAGGAAATATCTTCCCATAACAACTAGACAGAAGCATTCTCAGAAACTTATTTGAGATGTGTGTACTCAACTAAGAGAATTGAACCACCGTTTTGAAGGAGCAGTTTTGAAACACTCTTTTTCTGGAATCTGCAAGTGGATATTTGGCTAGCTTTGGGGATTTCGCTGGAAGCGGGAATACATATAAAAAGCACACAGCAGCGTTCTGAGAAACTGCTTTCTGATGTTTGCATTCAAGTCAAAAGTTGAACACTCCCTTTCATAGAGCAGTCTTGAAACACCCCTTTTGTAGTATCTGGAACTGGACATTTGGAGCGCTTTCAGGGCTAAGGTGAAAAAGGAAATATCTTCCCATAAAAACTGGACAGAAGCATTCTCAGAAACTTGTTTATGCTGTATCTACTCTACTAACAAAGTTGAACCTTTCTTTTGATAGAGCAGTTTTGAAATGCTCTTTTTGTGGAATCTGCAAGTGGATATTTGGCTAGTTTTGAGGATTTCGTTGGAAGCTGGAATTCATGCAAATTGCAGACTGCAGCGTTCTGAGAAACATCTTTGTGATGTTTGTATTCAGGACACAGAGTTGAACTTTCCCTATCATAGAGCAGGTTGGAATCACTCCTTTTGCAGTATCTGGAAGTGGACATTTGGAGCGCTTTCAGGCCTATTTTGGAAAGGGAAATATCTTCCCGTAACAACTAGGCAGAAGCATTCTCAGAAACTTATTTGAGATGTGTGTACTCAACTAAGAGAATTGAACCACCGTTTTGAAGGAGCAGATTTGAAACACTCTTTTTCTGGAATCTGCAAGAGTATATTTGCCTAGCCTTGAAGATTTCGTTGGAAACGGGATTGTCTTCAGATAAAATCTAGACAGAAGCATTCTCAGAAACTTCTTTGGGATGTTTGCATTCAAGTCACAGAGTAGAACATTCCCTTTGGTAGAGCAGGTTTGAAACACTCTTTTTTTAGTATATGGAAGTGGACATTTGGAGCGCTTTCAGGCCTACGTTGGAAAAGGAAATATCTTCCCATAACAACTAGACAGAAGCATTCTCAGAAACTAGTTTCTGATGTGTGTCCTCAACTAACACAGTTGAACTTTTCTTTAGACAGAACAGTTTTGAAACACTCTTTTTGTGGAATCTGCAAGTGGATATTTGGCTAGATTTGAGGATTTCGTTGGAAACGGGATTACATATAAAAAGCAGACAGCAGAATTCTCAGAAAGTTCTTTTTGATGATTGCATTCAAGTCACAGAATTGAACATTCCCTTTCACAGAGCAGGTTTGAAACACTCTTTTTGTAGTGTGTGTAAGTGGACATTTGGAGCGCTTTCCGGCCTAAGGTGAAAAAGGAAATATCTTCCCATAAAAACTAGACAGAAGCATTCTCAGAAACTTACTCGTGATGTGTGTCCTCAACTAAAGGAGTAGAACCTTTCTATTCATAGAGAAGTTTTGAAACGCTCTTTTTGTGGAATCTCCAAGTGGATATTTGGCTAGTTTTGAGGATTTCGTTGGAAGCGGGAATTCATACAAATTGCAGACTGCAGCGTTATGAGAAACATCTTTGTGATGTTTGTATTCAGGACACAGAGATGAACATTCCCTATCATAGAGCAGGTTGGAATCACTCCTTTTGTAGTATGTGGAATTGGACATTTGGAGCGCTTTCAGGCCTATGTTGAAAAAGGAAATATCTTCCCATAACAACTAGACACAAGCATTCTCAGAAACTTGTTTGTGATGTGTGCCCTCTACTGACAGAGTTGAACCTTTCTTTTCATAGAGCAGTTTTGAAACACTCTTTTTGTAGAATCTGCAAGAGGATATTTGCATAGCTTTGAGGATTTCGTGGGAAACGGGATTGTCTTCAGGTAAAATCTAGACAGAAGCATTCTCAGAAACTTCTTTGGGATGTTTGCATTCAAGTCACAGAGTAGAACATTCCCTTTGGTAGAGCAGGTTTGAAACACTCTTTTTGTAGTATCTGGAAGTGGACATTTGGAGCGCTTTCAGGCCCATGTTGGAAAGGGAAATATCTTCCCGTAACAACTAGGCAGAAGCATTCTCAGAAACTTATTTGAGATGTGTGTACTCAACTAAGAAAATTGAACCACCGTTTTGAAGGAGCAGTTTTGAAACACTCTTTTTCTGGAATCTGCAAGAGGATATTTGCCTAGCTTTGAGGATTTCGTTGGAAACGGGATTGTCTTCAGATCAAATCTAGACAGAAGCATTCTCAGAAACTTCTTTGGGATGTTTGCATTCAAGTCACAGAGTAGAACATTCCCTTTGGTAGAGCAGGTTTGAAACACTCTTTTTTTAGTATATGGAAGTGGACATTTGGAGCGCTTTCAGGCCTACGTTGGAAAAGGAAATATCTTCCCATAACAACTAGACAGAAGCATTCTCAGAAACTAGTTTCTGATGTGTGTCCTCAACTAACACAGTTGAACTTTTCTTTAGACAGAACAGTTTTGAAACACTCTTTTTGTGGAATCTGCAAGTGGATATTTGGCTAGATTTGAGGATTTCGTTGGAAACGGGATTACATATAAAAAGCAGACAGCAGCATTCTCAGAAAGTTCTTTGTGATGATTGCATTCAAGTCACAGAATTGAACATTCCCTTTCACAGAGCAGGGTTGAAACCCTCTTTTTGTAGTGTGTGTAAGTGGACATTTGGAGCGCTTTCCGGCCTAAGGTGAAAAAGGAAATATCTTCCCATAAAAACTAGACAGAAGCATTCTCAGAAACTTACTCGTGATGTGTGTCCTCAACTAAAGGAGTAGAACCTTTCTTTTCATAGAGAAGTTTTGAAACGCTCTTTTTGTGGAATCTGCAAGTGGATATTTGGCTAGTTTTGAGGATTTCGTTGGAAGCGGGAATTCATACAAATTGCAGACTGCAGCGTTCTGAGAAACATCTTTGTGATGTTTGTATTCAGGACACAGAGTTGAACATTCCCTATCATAGAGCAGGTTGGAATCACTCCTTTTGTAGTATCTGGAAGTGGACATTTGGAGCGCTTTCAGGCCTATGTTGGAAAAGGAAATATCTTCCCATAACAACTAGACAGAAGCATTCTCAGAAACTTATTTGAGATGTGTGTACTCAACTAAGAGAATTGAACCACCGTTTTGAAGGAGCAGTTTTGAAACTCTCTTTTTCTGGAATCTGCAAGTGGATATTTGGCTAGCTTTGGGGATTTCGCTGGAAGCGGGAATACATATAAAAAGCACACAGCAGCGTTCTGAGAAACTGCTTTCTGATGTTTGCATTCAAGTCAAAAGTTGAACACTCCCTTTCATAGAGCAGTCTTGAAACACCCCTTTTGTAGTATCTGGAACTGGACTTTTGGAGCGATTTCAGGGCTAAGGTGAAAAAGGAAATATCTTCCCATAAAAACTGGACAGAAGCATTCTCAGAAACTTGTTTATGCTGTATCTACTCAACTAACAAAGTTGAACCTTTCTTTTGATAGAGCAGTTTTGAAATGGTCTTTTTGTGGAATCTGCAAGTGGATATTTGGCTAGTTTTGAGGATTTCGTTGGAAGCGGGAATTCATACAAATTGCAGACTGCAGCGTTCTGAGAAACATCTTTGTGATGTTTGTATTCAGGACACAGAGTTGAACATTCCCTATCATAGAGCAGGTTGGAATCACTCCTTTTGTAGTATCTGGAAGTGGACATTTGGAGCGCTTTCAGGCCTATTTTGGAAAGGGAAATATCTTCCCGTAACAACTATGCAGAAGCATTCTCAGAAACTTGTTTGTGATGTGTGCCCTCTACTGACAGAGTTGAACCTTTCTTTACATAGAGCAGTTTTGAAACACTCTTTTTGTAGAATCCGCAAGAGGATATTTGCATAGCTTTGAGGATTTCGTGGGAAACGGGATTGTCTTCAGGTAAAATCTAGACAGAAGCATTCTCAGAAACTTCTTTGGGATGTTTGCATTCAAGTCACAGAGTAGAACATTCCCTTTGGTAGAGCAGGTTTGAAACACTCTTTTTGTAGTATCTGGAAGTGGACATTTGGAGCGCTTTCAGGCCCATGTTGGAAAGGGAAATATCTTCCCGTAACAACTAGGCAGAAGCATTCTCAGAAACTTATTTGAGATGTGTGTACTCAACTAAGAGAATTGAACCACCGTTTTGAAGGAGCAGTTTTGAAACACTCTTTTTCTGGAATCTGCAAGAGTATATTTGCCTAGCCTTGAGGATTTCGTTGGAAACGGGATTGTCTTCAGAGAAAATCTAGACAGAAGCATTCTCAGAAACTTCTTTGGGATGCTTGCATTCAAGTCACAGAGTAGAACATTCCCTTTGGTAGAGCAGGTTTGAAACACTCTTTTTGTAGTATCTGGAAGTGGACATTTGGAGCGCTTTCAGGCCTACGTTGGAAAAGGAAATATCTTCCCATAACAACTAGACAGAAGCATTCTCAGAAACTAGTTTCTGATGTGTGTCCTCAACTAACACAGTTGAACATTTCTTTAGACAGAACAGTTTTGAAACACTCTTTTTGTGGAATCTGCAAGTGGCTATTTGGCTAGATTTGAGGATTTCGTTGGAAACGGGATTACATATAAAAAGCAGTCAGCAGCATTCTCAGAAAGTTCTTTGTGATGATTGCATTCAAGTCACAGAATTGAACATTCCCTTTCACAGAGCAGGTTTGAAACACTCTTTTTGTAGTGTGTGTAAGTGGACATTTGGAGCACTTACCGGCCTAAGGTGAAAAAGGAAATATCTTCCCATAAAAACTAGACAGAAGCATTCTCAGAAACTTACTCGTGATGTGTGTCCTCAACTAAAGGAGTAGAACCTTTCTTTTCATAGAGAAGTTTTGAAACGCTCTTTTTGTGGAATCTGCAAGTGGATATTTGGCTAGTTTTGAGGATTTCGTTGGAAGCGGGAATTCATACAAATTGCAGACTGCAGCGTTCTGAGAAACATCTTTGTGATGTTTGTATTCAGGACACAGAGTTGAACATTCCCTATCATAGAGCAGGTTTGAATCACTCCTTTTGTAGTATCTGGAAGTGGACATTTGGAGCGCTTTCAGGCCTATGTTGGAAAAGGAAATATCTTCCCATAACAACTAGACAGAAGCATTCTCAGAAACTTATTTGAGATGTGTGTACTCAACTAAGAGAATTGAACCACCGTTTTGAAGGAGCAGTTTTGAAACACTCTTTTTCTGGAATCTGCAAGTGGATATTTGGCTAGCTTTGGGGATTTCGCTGGAAGCGGGAATACATATAAAAAGCACACAGCAGCGTTCTGAGAAACTGCTTTCTGATGTTTGCATTCAAGTCAAAAGTTGAACACTCCCTTTCATAGAGCAGTCCTGAAACACTCCTTTTGTAGTATCTGGAACTGGACTTTTGGAGCGCTTTCAGGGCTAAGGTGAAAAAGGAAATATCTTCCCATAAAAACTGGACAGAAGCATTCTCAGAAACTTGTTTATGCTGTATCTACTCAACTAACAAAGTTGAACCTTTCTTTTGATAGAGCAGTTTTGAAATGCTCTTTTTGTGGAATCTGCAAGTGGATATTTGGCTAGTTTTGAGGATTTCGTTGGAAGCGGGAATTCATACAAATTGCAGACTGCAGCGTTCTGAGAAACATGTTTGTGATGTTTGTATTCAGGACACAGAGATGAACATTCCCTATCATAGAGCAGGTTGGAATCACTCCTTTTGTAATATCTGGAAGTGGACATTTGGAGCGCTTTCAGGCCTATGTTGAAAAAGGAAATATCTTCCCATAACAACTAGACACAAGCATTCTCAGAAACTTGTTTGTGATGTGTGCCCTCTACTGACAGAGTTGAACCTTTCTTTTCATAGAGCAGTTTTGAAACACTCTTTTTGTAGAATCCGCAATAGGATATTTGCATAGCTTTGAGGATTTCGTGGGAAACGGGATTGTCTTCAGGTAAAATCTAGACAGAAGCATTCTCAGAAACTTCTTTGGGATGTTTGCACTCAAGTCACAGAGTAGAACATTCCCTTTGGTAGAGCAGGTTTGAAACACTCTTTTTGTAGTATCTGGAAGTGGACATTTGGAGCGCTTTCAGGCCCATGTTGGAAAGGGAAATATCTTCCCGTAACAACTAGGCAGAAGCATTCTCAGAAACTTATTTGAGATGTGTGTACTCAACTAAGAGAATTGAACCACCGTTTTGAAGGAGCAGTTTTGAAACACTCTTTTTCTGGAATCTGCAAGAGGATATTTGCCTAGCCTTGAGGATTTCGTTGGAAACGGGATTGTCTTCAGAGAAAATCTAGACAGAAGCATTCTCAGAAACTTCTTTGGGATGCTTGCATTCAAGTCACAGAGTAGAACATTCCCTTTGGTAGAGCAGGTTTGAAACACTCTTTTTGTAGTATCTGGAAGTGGACATTTGGAGCGCTTTCAGGCCTACGTTGGAAAAGGAAATATCTTCCCATAACAACTAGACAGAAGCATTCTCAGAAACTAGTTTCTGATGTGTGTCCTCAACTAACACAGTTGAACATTTCTTTAGACAGAACAGTTTTGAAACACTCTTTTTGTGGAATCTGCAAGTGGCTATTTGGCTAGATTTGAGGATTTCGTTGGAAACGGGATTACATATAAAAAGCAGTCAGCGGCATTCTCAGAAAGTTCTTTGTGATGATTGCATTCAAGTCACAGAATTGAACATTCCCTTTCACAGAGCAGGTTTGAAACACTCTTTTTGTAGTGTGTGTAAGTGGACATTTGGAGCACTTACCGGCCTAAGGTGAAAAAGGAAATATCTTCCCATAAAAACTAGACAGAAGCATTCTCAGAAACTTACTCGTGATGTGTGTCCTCAACTAAAGGGGTAGAACCTTTCTTTTCATAGAGAAGTTTTGAAACGCTCTTTTTGTGGAATCTGCAAGTGGATATTTGGCTAGTTTTGAGGATTTCGTTGGAAGCGGGAATTCATACAAATTGCAGACTGCAGCGTTCTGAGAAACATCTTTGTGATGTTTGTATTCAGGACACAGAGTTGAACATTCCCTATCATAGAGCAGGTTTGAATCACTCCTTTTGTAGTATCTGGAAGTGGACATTTGGAGCGCTTTCAGGCCTATGTTGGAAAAGGAAATATCTTCCCATAACAACTAGACAGAAGCATTCTCAGAAACTTATTTGAGATGTGTGTACTCAACTAAGAGAATTGAACCACCGTTTTGAAGGAGCAGTTTTGAAACTCTCTTTTTCTGGAATCTGCAAGTGGATATTTGGCTAGCTTTGGGGATTTCGCTGGAAGCGGGAATACATATAAAAAGCACACAGCAGCGTTCTGAGAAACTGCTTTCTGATGTTTGCATTCAAGTCAAAAGTTGAACACTCCCTTTCATAGGGCAGTCCTGAAACACCCCTTTTGTAGTATCTGGAACTGGACTTTTGGAGCGATTTCAGGGCTAAGGTGAAAAAGGAAATATCTTCCCATAAAAACTGGACAGAAGCATTCTCAGAAACTTGTTTATGCTGTATCTACTCAACTAACAAAGTTGAACCTTTCTTTTGATAGAGCAGTTTTGAAATGGTCTTTTTGTGGAATCTGCAAGTGGATATTTGGCTAGTTTTGAGGATTTCGTTGGAAGCGGGAATTCATACAAATTGCAGACTGCAGCGTTCTGAGAAACATCTTTGTGATGTTTGTATTCAGGACACAGAGTTGAACATTCCCTATCATAGAGCAGGTTGGAATCACTCCTTTTGTAGTATCTGGAAGTGGACATTTGGAGCGCTTTCAGGCCTATTTTGGAAAGGGAAATATCTTCCCGTAACAACTATGCAGAAGCATTCTCAGAAACTTGTTTGTGATGTGTGCCCTCTACTGACAGAGTTGAACCTTTCTTTTCATAGAGCAGTTTTGAAACACTCTTTTTGTAGAATCTGCAAGAGGATATTTGCATAGCTTTGAGGATTTCGTGGGAAACGGGATTGTCTTCAGGTAAAATCTAGACAGAAGCATTCTCAGAAACTTCTTTGGGATGTTTGCATTCAAGTCACAGAGTAGAACATTCCCTTTGGTAGAGCAGGTTTGAAACACTCTTTTTGTAGTATCTGGAAGTGGACATTTGGAGCGCTTTCAGGCCCATGTTGGAAAGGGAAATATCTTCCCGTAACAACTAGGCAGAAGCATTCTCAGAAACTTATTTGAGATGTGTGTACTCAACTAAGAGAATTGAACCACCGTTTTGAAGGAGCAGTTTTGAAACACTCTTTTTCTGGAATCTGCAAGAGTATATTTGCCTAGCCTTGAGGATTTCGTTGGAAACGGGATTGTCTTCAGAGAAAATCTAGACAGAAGCATTCTCAGAAACTTCTTTGGGATGCTTGCATTCAAGTCACAGAGTAGAACATTCCCTTTGGTAGAGCAGGTTTGAAACACTCTTTTTTTAGTATCTGGAAGTGGACATTTGGAGCGCTTTCAGGCCTACGTTGGAAAAGGAAATATCTTCCCATAACAACTAGACAGAAGCATTCTCAGAAACTAGTTTCTGATGTGTGTCCTCAACTAACACAGTTGAACATTTCTTTAGACAGAACAGTTTTGAAACACTCTTTTTGTGGAATCTGCAAGTGGCTATTTGGCTAGATTTGAGGATTTCGTTGGAAACGGGATTACATATAAAAAGCAGTCAGCGGCATTCTCAGAAAGTTCTTTGTGATGATTGCATTCAAGTCACAGAATTGAACATTCCCTTTCACAGAGCAGGTTTGAAACACTCTTTTTGTAGTGTGTGTAAGTGGACATTTGGAGCACTTACCGGCCTAAGGTGAAAAAGGAAATATCTTCCCATAAAAACTAGACAGAAGCATTCTCAGAAACTTACTCGTGATGTGTGTCCTCAACTAAAGGAGTAGAACCTTTCTTTTCATAGAGAAGTTTTGAAACGCTCTTTTTGTGGAATCTGCAAGTGGATATTTGGCTAGTTTTGAGGATTTCGTTGGAAGCGGGAATTCATACAAATTGCAGACTGCCAGCGTTCTGAGAAACATCTTTGTGATGTTTGTATTCAGGACACAGAGTTGAACATTCCCTATCATAGAGCACGTTTGAATCACTCCTTTTGTAGTATCTGGAAGTGGACATTTGGAGCGCTTTCAGGCCTATGTTGGAAAAGGAAATATCTTCCCATAACAACTAGACAGAGCATTCTCAGAAACTTATTTGAGATGTGTGTACTCAACTAAGAGAATTGAACCACCGTTTTGAAGGAGCAGTTTTGAAACACTCTTTTTCTGGAATCTGCAAGTGGATATTTGGCTAGCTTTGGGGATTTCGCTGGAAGCGGGAATACATATAAAAAGCACACAGCAGCGTTCTGAGAAACTGCTTTCTGATGTTTGCATTCAAGTCAAAAGTTGAACACTCCCTTTCATAGAGCAGTCCTGAAACACTCCTTTTGTAGTATCTGGAACTGGACTTTTGGAGCGCTTTCAGGGCTAAGGTGAAAAAGGAAATATCTTCCCATAAAAACTGGACAGAAGCATTCTCAGAAACTTACTCGTATTGTGTGTCCTCAACTAAAGGAGTAGAACCTTTCTTTTCATAGAGAAGTTTTGAAACGCTCTTTTTGTGGAATCTGCAAGTGGATATTTGGCTAGTTTTGAGGATTTCGTTGGAAGCGGGAATTCATACAAATTGCAGACTGCAGCATTCTCAGAAACTTATTTGAGATGTGTCTACTCAACTAAGAGAATTGAACCACCGTTTTGAAGGAGCAGTTTTGAAACACTCTTTTTCTGGAATCTGCAAGTGGATATTTGGCTAGCTTTGGGGATTTCGCTGGAAGCGGGAATACATATAAAAAGCACACAGCAGGGTTCTGAGAAACTGCTTTCTGATGTTTGCATTCAAGTCAAAAGTTGAACACTCCCTTTCATAGAGCAGTCTTGAAACACCCCTTTTGTAGTGTCTGGAACTGGACTTTTGGAGCGATTTTAGGGCTAAGGTGAAAAAGGAAATATCTTCCCATAAAAACTGGACAGAAGCATTCTCAGAAACTTGTTTATGCTGTATCTACTCAACTAACAAAGTTGAACCTTTCTTTTGATAGAGCAGTTTTGAAATGGTCTTTTTGTGGAATCTGCAAGTGGATATTTGGCTAGTTTTGAGGATTTCGTTGGAAGCGGGAATTCATACAAATTGCAGACTGCAGCGTTCTGAGAAACATCTTTGTGATGTTTGTATTCAGGACACAGAGTTGAACATTCCCTATCATAGAGCAGGTTGGAATCACTCCTTTTGTAGTATCTGGAAGTGGACATTTGGAGCGCTTTCAGGCCTATGTTGGAAAGGGAAATATCTTCCCATAACAACTAGACAGAAGCATTCTCAGAAACTTATTTGAGATGTGTGTACTCAACTAAGAGAATTGAACCACCGTTTTGAAGGAGCAGTTTTGAAACTCTCTTTTTCTGGAATCTGCAAGTGGATATTTGGCTAGCTTTGGGGATTTCGCTGGAAGCGGGAATACATATAAAAAGCACACAGCAGCGTTCTGAGAAACTGCTTTCTGATGTTTGCATTCAAGTCAAAAGTTGAACACTCCCTTTCATAGAGCAGTCCTGAAACACCCCTTTTGTAGTATCTGGAACTGGACTTTTGGAGCGATTTCAGGGCTAAGGTGAAAAAGGAAATATCTTCCCATAAAAACTGGACAGAAGCATTCTCAGAAACTTGTTTATGCTGTATCTACTCAACTAACAAAGTTGAACCTTTCTTTTGATAGAGCAGTTTTGAAATGCTCTTTTTGTGGAATCTGCAAGTGGATATTTGGCTAGTTTTGAGGATTTCGTTGGAAGCGGGAATTCATACAAATTTCAGACTGCAGCGTTCTGAGAAACATCTTTGTGATGTTTGTATTCAGGCACACAGAGTTGAACATTCCCTATCATAGAGCAGGTTTGAATCACTCCTTTTGTAGTATCTGGAAGTGGACATTTGGAGCGCTTTCAGGCCTATGTTGGAAAAGGAAATATCTTCCCATAACAACTAGACAGAAGCATTCTCAGAAACTTGTTTGTGATGTGTGCCCTCTACTGACAGAGTTGAACCTTTCTTTTCATAGAGCAGTTTTGAAACACTCTTTTTGTAGAATCCGCAAGAGGATATTTGCATAGCTTTGAGGATTTCGTGGGAAACGGGATTGTCTTCAGGTAAAATCTAGACAGAAGCATTCTCAGAAACTTCTTTGGGATGTTTGCATTCAAGTCACAGAGTAGAACATTCCCTTTGGTAGAGCAGGTTTGAAACACTCTTTTTGTAGTATCTGGAAGTGGACATTTGGAGCGCTTTCAGGCCCATGTTGGAAAGGGAAATATCTTCCCGTAACAACTAGGCAGAAGCATTCTCAGAAACTTATTTGAGATGTGTGGACTCAACTAAGAGAATTGAACCACCGTTTTGAAGGAGCAGTTTTGAAACACTCTTTTTCTGGAATCTGCAAGAGTATATTTGCCTAGCCTTGAGGATTTCGTTGGAAACGGGATTGTCTTCAGATAAAATCTAGACAGAAGCATTCTCAGAAACTTCTTTGGGATGTTTGCATTCAAGTCACAGAGTAGAACATTCCCTTTGGTAGAGCAGGTTTGAAACACTCTTTTTTTAGTATATGGAAGTGGACATTTGGAGCGCTTTCAGGCCTACGTTGGAAAAGGAAATATCTTCCCATAACAACTAGACAGAAGCATTCTCAGAAACTAGTTTCTGATGTGTGTCCTCAACTAAAACAGTTGTACATTTCTTTACACAGAACAGTTTTGAAACACTCTTTTTGTGGAATCTGCAAGTGGATATTGGGGTAGATTTGAGGATTTCGTTGGAAACGGGATTACATATAAAAAGCAGACAGCAGCATTCTCAGAAAGTTCTTTGTGATGATTGCATTCAAGTCACAGAATTGAACATTCCCTTTCACAGAGCAGGTTTGAAACACTCTTTTTGTAGTGTGTGTAAGTGGACATTTGGAGCGCTTTCCGGCCTAAGGTGAAAAAGGACATATCTTCCCATAAAAACTAGACAGAAGCATTCTCAGAAACTTACTCGTGATGTGTGTCCTCAACTAAAGGAGTAGAACATTTCTATTCATAGAGAAGTTTTGAAACGCTCTTTTTGTGGAATCTCCAAGTGGATATTTGGCTAGTTTTGAGGATTTCGTTGGAAGCGGGAATTCATACAAATTGCAGACTGCAGCGTTCTGAGAAACATCTTTGTGATGTTTGTATTCAGGACACAGAGATGAACATTCCCTATCATAGAGCAGGTTGGAATCACTCCTTTTGTAGTATCTGGAAGTGGACATTTGGAGCGCTTTCAGGCCTATGTTGAAAAAGGAAATATCTTCCCATAACAACTAGACACAAGCATTCTCAGAAACTTGTTTGTGATGTGTGCCCTCTACTGACAGAGTTGAACCTTTCTTTTCATAGAGCAGTTTTGAAACACTCTTTTATAGAATCCGCAAGAGGATATTTGCATAGCTTTGAGGATTTCGTGGGAAACGGGATTGTCTTCAGGTAAAATCTAGACAGAAGCATTCTCAGAAACTTCTTTGGGATGTTTGCATTCAAGTCACAGAGTAGAACATTCCCTTTGGTAGAGCAGGTTTGAAACACTCTTTTTGTAGTATCTGGAAGTGGACATTTGGAGCGCTTTCAGGCCCATGTTGGAAAGGGAAATATCTTCCCGTAACAACTAGGCAGAAGCATTCTCAGAAACTTATTTGAGATGTGTGTACTCAACTAAGAGAATTGAACCACCGTTTTGAAGGAGCAGTTTTGAAACCCTCTTTTTCTGGAATCTGCAAGAGTATATTTGCCTAGCCTTGAGGATTTCGTTGGAAACGGGATTGTCTTCAGATAAAATCTAGACAGAAGCATTCTCAGAAACTTCTTTGGGATGTTTGCATTCAAGTCACAGAGTAGAACATTCCCTTTGGTAGAGCAGGTTTGAAACACTCTTTTTTTAGTATATGGAAGTGGACATTTGGAGCGCTTTCAGGCCTACGTTGGAAAAGGAAATATCTTCCCATAACAACTAGACAGAAGCATTCTCAGAAACTAGTTTCTGATGTGTGTCCTCAACTAACACAGTTGTACATTTCTTTAGACAGAACAGTTTTGAAACACTCTTTTTGTGGAATCTGCAAGTGGATACTGGGCTAGATTTGAGGATTTCGTTGGAAACGGGATTACATATAAAAAGCAGTCAGCAGCATTCTCAGAAAGTTCTTTGTGATGATTGCATTCAAGTCACAGAATTGAACATTCCCTTTCACAGAGCAGGTTTGAAACACTCTTTTTGTAGTGTGTGTAAGTGGACATTTGGAGCGCTTTCCGGCCTAAGGTGAAAAAGGACATATCTTCCCATAAAAACTAGACAGAAGCATTCTCAGAAACTTACTCGTGATGTGTGTCCTCAACTAAAGGAGTAGAACATTTCTATTCATAGAGAAGTTTTGAAACGCTCTTTTTGTGGAATCTCCAAGTGGATATTTGGCTAGTTTTGAGGATTTCGTTGGAAGCGGGAATTCATACAAATTGCAGACTGCAGCGTTCTGAGAAACATCTTTGTGATGTTTGTATTCAAGACACAGAGATGAACATTCCCTATCATAGAGCAGGTTGGAATCACTCCTTTTGTAGTATCTGGAAGTGGACATTTGGAGCGCTTTCAGGCCTATGTTGAAAAAGGAAATATCTTCCCATAACAACTAGACACAAGCATTCTCAGAAACTTGTTTGTGATGTGTGCCCTCTACTGACAGAGTTGAACCTTTCTTTTCATAGAGCAGTTTTGAAACACTCTTTTTGTAGAATCCGCAAGAGGATATTTGCATAGCTTTGAGGATTTCGTGGGAAACGGGATTGTCTTCAGGTAAAATCTAGACAGAAGCATTCTCAGAAACTTCTTTGGGATGTTTGCATTCAAGTCACAGAGTAGAACATTCCCTTTGGTAGAGCAGGTTTGAAACACTCTTTTTGTAGTATCTGGAAGTGGACATTTGGAGCGCTTTCAGGCCCATGTTGGAAAGGGAAATATCTTCCCGTAACAACTAGGCAGAAGCATTCTCAGAAACTTATTTGAGATGTGTGTACTCAACTAAGAGAATTGAACCACCGTTTTGAAGGAGCAGTTTTGAAACACTCTTTTTCTGGAATCTGCAAGAGTATATTTGCCTAGCCTTGAGGATTTCGTTGGAAACGGGATTGTCTTCAGATAAAATCTAGACAGAAGCATTCTCAGAAACTTCTTTGGGATGTTTGCATTCAAGTCACAGAGTAGAACATTCCCTTTGGTAGAGCAGGTTTGAAACACTCTTTTTTTAGTATATGGAAGTGGACATTTGGAGCGCTTTCAGGCCTACGTTGGAAAAGGAAATATCTTCCCATAACAACTAGACAGAAGCATTCTCAGAAACTAGTTTCTGATGTGTGTCCTCAACTAACACAGTTGTACATTTCTTTAGACAGAATAGTTTTGAAACACTCTTTTTGTGGAATCTGCAAGTGGATATTGGGCTAGATTTGAGGATTTCGTTGGAAACGGGATTACATATAAAAAGCAGTCAGCAGCATTCTCAGAAAGTTCTTTGTGATGATTGCATTCAAGTCACAGAATTGAACATTCCCTTTCACAGAGCAGGTTTGAAACACTCTTTTTGTAGTGTGTGTAAGTGGACATTTGGAGCGCTTTCCGGCCTAAGGTGAAAAAGGACATATCTTCCCATAAAAACTAGACAGAAGCATTCTCAGTAAACTTACTCGTGATGTGTGTCCTCAACTAAAGGAGTGGAACCTTTCTATTCATGGAGAAGTTTTGAAACGCTCTTTTTGTGGAATCTCCAAGTGGATATTTGGCTAGTTTTGAGGATTTCGTTGGAAGCGGGAATTCATACAAATTGCAGACTGCAGCGTTCTGAGAAACATCTTTGTGATGTTTGTATTCAAGACACAGAGATGAACATTCCCTCTCATAGAGCATGTTGGAATCACTCCTTTTGTAGTATCTGGAAGTGGACATTTGGAGCGCTTTCAGGCCTATGTTGAAAAAGGAAATATCTTCCCATAACAACTAGACACAAGCATTCTCAGAAACTTGTTTGTGATGTGTGCCCTCTACTGACAGAGTTGAACCTTTCTTTTCATAGAGCAGTTTTGAAACACTCTTTTTGTAGAATCCGCAAGAGGATATTTGCATAGCTTTGAGGATTTCGTGGAAAACGGGATTGTCTTCAGGTAAAATCTAGACAGAAGCTTTCTCAGAAACTTCTTTGGGATGTTTGCATTCAAGTCACAGAGTAGAACATTCCCTTTGGTAGAGCAGGTTTGAAACACTCTTTTTGTAGTATCTGGAAGTGGACATTTGGAGCGCTTTCAGGCCTATGTTGGAAAGGGAAATATCTTCCCGTAACAACTAGGCAGAAGCATTCTCAGAAACTTATTTGAGATGTGTGTACTCAACTAAGAGAATTGAACCACCGTTTTGAAGGAGCAGTTTTGAAACACTCTTTTTCTGGAATCTGCAAGAGGATATTTGCCTAGCCTTGAGGATTTCGTTGGAAACGGGATTGTCTTCAGATCAAATCTAGACAGAAGCATTTTCAGAAACTTCTTTGGGATGTTTGCATTCAAGTCACGGAGTAGAACATTCCCTTTGGTAGAGCAGGTTTGAAACACTCTTTTTTTAGTATATGGAAGTGGACATTTGGAGCGCTTTCAGGCCTACGTTGGAAAAGGAAATATCTTCCCATAACAACTAGACAGAAGCATTCTCAGAAACTAGTTTCTGATGTGTGTCCTCAACTAACACAGTTGAACATTTCTTTAGACAGAACAGTTTTGAAACACTCTTTTTGTGGAATCTGCAAGTGGCTATTTGGCTAGATTTGAGGATTTCGTTGGAAACGGGATTACATATAAAAAGCAGACAGCAGCATTCTCAGAAACTTCTTTGTGATGATTGCATTCAAGTCACAGAATTGAACATTCCCTTTCACAGAGCAGGTTTGAAACACTCTTTTTGTAGTGTGTGTAAGTGGACATTTGGAGCACTTTCCGGCCTAAGGTGAAAAAGGAAATATCTTCCCATAAAAACTAGACAGAAGCATTCTCAGAAACTTACTCGTGATGTGTGTCCTCAACTAAAGGAGTAGAACCTTTCTTTTCATAGAGAAGTTTTGAAACGCTCTTTTTGTGGAATCTGCAAGTGGATATTTGGCTAGTTTGGAGGATTTCGTTGGAAGCGGGAATTCATACAAATTGCAGACTGCAGCGTTCTGAGAAACATCTTTGTGATGTTTGTATTCAGGACACAGAGTTGAACATTCCCTATCATAGAGCAGGTTGGAATCACTCCTTTTGTAGTATCTGGAAGTGGACATTTGGAGCGCTTTCAGGCCTATGTTGGAAAAGGAAATATCTTCCCATAACAACTAGACAGAAGCATTCTCAGAAACTTATTTCAGATGTGTGTACTCAACTAAGCGAATTGAACCACCGCTTTGAAGGAGCAGTTTTGAAACACTCTTTTTCTGGAATCTGCAAGTGGATATTTGGCTAGATTTGAGGATTTCGTTGGAAACGGGATTACATATAAAAAGCAGACAGCAGCAGTCTCAGAAAGTTCTTTTTGATGATTGCATTCAAGTCACAGAATTGAACATTCCCTTTCACAGAGCAGGTTTGAAACACTCTTTTTGTAGTGTGTGTAAGTGGACATTTGGAGCACTTTCCAGCCTAAGGTGAAAAAGGAAATATCTTCCCATAAAAACTAGACAGAAGCATTCTCAGAAACTTACTCGTGATGTGTGTCCTCAACTAAAGGTGTAGAACCTTTCTTTTCATAGAGAAGTTTTGAAACGCTCTTTTTGTGGAATCTGCAAGTGGATATTTGGCTAGTTTTGAGGATTTCGTTGGAAGCGGGAATTCATACAAATTGCAGACTGCAGCGTTCTGAGAAACATCTTTGTGATGTTTGTATTCAGGACACAGAGTTGAAGATTCCCTATCATAGAGCAGGTTGGAATCACTCCTTTTGTAGTATCTGGAAGTGGACATTTGGAGCGCTTTCAGGCCTATGTTGAAAAAGGAAATATCTTCCCATAACAACTAGACACAAGCATTCTCAGAAACTTGTTTGTGATGTGTGCCCTCTACTGACAGAGTTGAACCTTTCTTTTCATAGAGCAGTTTTGAAACACTCTTTTTGTAGAATCTGCAAGAGGATATTTGCATAGCTTCGAGGATTTCGTGGGAAACGGGATTGTCTTCAGGTAAAATCTAGACAGAAGCATTCTCAGAAACTTCTTTGGGATGTTTGCATTCAAGTCACAGAGTAGAACATTCCCTTTGGTAGAGCAGGTTTGAAACACTCTTTTTGTAGTATCTGGAAGTGGACATTTGGAGCGCTTTCAGGCCTATGTTGGTAAGGGAAATATCTTCCCGTAACAACTAGGCAGAAGCATTCTCAGAAACTTATTTGAGATGTGTGTACTCAACTAAGAGAATTGAACCACCGTTTTGAAGGAGCAGTTTTGAAACACTCTTTTTCTGGAATCTGCAAGAGGATATTTGCCTAGCTTTGAGGATTTCGTTGGAAACGGGATTGTCTTCAGATAAAATCTAGACAGAAGCATTCTCAGAAACTTCTTTGGGATGTTTGCATTCAAGTCACAGAGTAGAACATTCCCTTTGGTAGAGCAGGTTTGAAACACTCTTTTTTTAGCATATGGAAGTGGACATTTGGAGCGCTTTCAGGCCTACGTTGGAAAAGGAAATATCTTCCCATAACAACTAGACAGAAGCATTCTCAGAAACTGGTTTCTGATGTGTGTCCTCAACTAACACAGTTGTACATTTCTTTAGACAGAACAGTTTTGAAACACTCTTTTTGTGGAATCTGCAAGTGGATATTGGGCTAGATTTGAGGATTTCGTTGGAAACGGGATTACATATAAAAAGCAGACAGCAGCATTCTCAGAAAGTTCTTTGTGATGATTGCATTCAAGTCACAGAATTGAACATTCCCTTTCACAGAGCAGGTTTGAAACACTCTTTTTGTAGTGTGTGTAAGTGGACATTTGGAGCGCTTTCCGGCCTAAGGTGAAAAAGGAAATATCTTCCCATAAAAACTAGACAGAAGCATTCTCAGAAACTTACTCGTGATGTGTGTCCTCAACTAAAGGAGTAGAACCTTTCTATTCATAGAGAAGTTTTGAAACGCTCTTTTTGTGGAATCTCCAAGTGGATATTTGGCTAGTTTTGAGGATTTCGTTGGAAGCGGGAATTCATCCAAATTGCAGACTGCAGCGTTCTGAGAAACATCTTTGTGATGTTTGTATTCAGGACACAGAGATGAACATTCCCTATCATAGAGCAGGTTGGAATCACTCCTTTTGTAGTATCTGGAAGTGGACATTTGGAGCGCTTTCAGGCCTATGTTGAAAAAGGAAATATCTTCCCATAACAACTAGACCCAAGCATTCTCAGAAACTTGTTTGTGATGTGTGCCCTCTACTGACAGAGTTGAACCTTTCTTTTCATAGAGCAGTTTTGAAACACTCTTTTTGTAGAATCCGCAAGAGGATATTTGCATAGCTTTGAGGATTTCGTGGGAAACGGGATTGTCTTCAGGTAAAATCTAGACAGAAGCATTCTCAGAAACTTCTTTGGGATGTTTGCATTCAAGTCACAGAGTAGAACATTCCCTTTGGTAGAGCAGGTTTGAAACACTCTTTTTGTAGTATCTGGAAGTGGACATTTGGAGCGCTTTCAGGCCCATGTTGGAAAGGGAAATATCTTCCCGTAACAACTAGGCAGAAGCATTCTCAGAAACTTATTTGAGATGTGTGTACTCAACTAAGAGAATTGAACCACCGTTTTGAAGGAGCAGTTTTGAAACACTCTTTTTCTGGAATCTGCAAGAGTATATTTGCCTAGCCTTGAGGATTTCGTTGGAAACGGGATTGTCTTCAGATAAAATCTAGACAGAAGCATTCTCAGAAACTTCTTTGGGATGTTTGCATTCAAGTCACAGAGTAGAACATTCCCTTTGGTAGAGCAGGTTTGAAACACTCTTTTTTTAGTATATGGAAGTGGACATTTGGAGCGCTTTCAGGCCTACGTTGGAAAAGGAAATATCTTCCCATAACAACTAGACAGAAGCATTCTCAGAAACTAGTTTCTGATGTGTGTCCTCAACTAACACAGTTGAACTTTTCTTTAGACAGAACAGTTTTGAAACACTCTTTTTGTGGAATCTGCAAGTGGATATTTGGCTAGATTTGAGGATTTCGTTGGAAACGGGATTACATATAAAAAGCAGACAGCAGCATTCTCAGAAAGTTCTTTGTGATGATTGCATTCAAGTCACAGAATTGAACATTCCCTTTCACAGAGCAGGTTTGAAACACTCTTTTTGTAGTGTGTGTAAGTGGACATTTGGAGCGCTTTCCGGCCTAAGGTGAAAAAGGAAATATCTTCCCATAAAAACTAGACAGAAGCATTCTCAGAAACTTACTCGTGATGTGTGTCCTCAACTAAAGGAGTAGAACCTTTCTATTCATAGAGAAGTTTTGAAACGCTCTTTTTGTGGAATCTCCAAGTGGATATTTGGCTAGTTTTGAGGATTTCTTTGGAAGCGGGAATTCATACAAATTGCAGACTGCAGCGTTCTGAGAAACATCTTTGTGATGTTTGTATTCAGGACACAGAGATGAACATTCCCTATCATAGAGCAGGTTGGAATCACTCCTTTTGTAGTATCTGGAAGTGGACATTTGGAGCGCTTTCAGGCCTATGTTGAAAAAGGAAATATCTTCCCATAACAACTAGACACAAGCATTCTCAGAAACTTGTTTGTGATGTGTGCCCTCTACTGACAGAGTTGAACCTTTCTTTTCATAGAGCAGTTTTGAAACACTCTTTTTGTAGAATCTGCAAGAGGATATTTGCATAGCTTTGAGGATTTCGTGGGAAACGGGATTGTCTTCAGGTAAAATCTAGACAGAAGCATTCTCAGAAACTTCTTTGGGATGTTTGCATTCAAGTCACAGAGTAGAACATTCCCTTTGGTAGAGCAGGTTTGAAACCCTCTTTTTGTAGTATCTGGAAGTGGACATTTGGAGCGCTTTCAGGCCCATGTTGGAAAGGGAAATATCTTCCCGTAACAACTAGGCAGAAGCATTGTCAGAAACTTATTTGAGATGTGTGTACTCAACTAAGAGAATTGAACCACCGTTTTGAAGGAGCAGTTTTCAAACACTCTTTTTCTGGAATCTGCAAGAGTATATTTGCCTAGCCTTGAGGATTTCGTTGGAAACGGGATTGTCTTCACATAAAATCTAGACAGAAGCATTCTCAGAAACTTCTTTGGGATGTTTGCATTCAGGTCACAGACTAGAACATTCCCTTTGGTAGAGCAGTTTTGAAACACTCTTTTTTTAGTATATGGAAGTGGACATTTGGAGCGCTTTCAGGCCTACGTTGGAAAAGGAAATATCTTCCCATAACAACTAGACAGAAGCATTCTCAGAAACTAGTTTCTGATGTGTGTCCTCAACTAACACAGTTGAACTTTTCTTTAGACAGAACAGTTTTGAAACACTCTTTTTGTGGAATCTGCAAGTGGATATTTGGCTAGATTTGAGGATTTCGTTGGAAACGGGATTACATATAAAAAGCAGACAGCAAGCATTCTCAGAAAGTTCTTTGTGATGATTGCATTCAAGTCACAGAATTGAACATTCCCTTTCACAGAGCAGGTTTGAAACACTCTTTTTGTAGTGTGTGTAAGTGGACATTTGGAGCGCTTTCCGGCCTAAGGTGAAAAAGGACATATCTTCCCATAAAAACTAGACAGAAGCATTCTCAGAAACTTACTCGTGATGTGTGTCCTCAACTAAAGGAGTAGAACCTTTCTATTCATAGAGAAGTTTTGAAACGCTCTTTTTGTGGAATCTCCAAGTGGATATTTGGCTAGTTTTGAGGATTTCGTTGGAAGCGGGAATTCATACAAATTGCAGACTGCAGCGTTCTGAGAAACATCTTTGTGATGTTTGTATTCAGGACAGAGAGTTGAACATTCCCTATCATAGAGCAGGTTGGAATCACTCCTTTTGTAGTATCTGGAAGTGGACATTTGGAGCGCTTTCAGGCCTATGTTGAAAAAGGAAATATCTTCCCATAACAACTAGACACAAGCATTCTCAGAAACTTGTTTGTGATGTGTATCCTGTACTGACAGAGTTGAACCTTTCTTTTCATAGAGCAGTTTTGAAACACTCTTTTTGTAGAATCTGCAAGAGGATATTTGCATAGCTTTGAGGATTTCGTGGGAAACGGGATTGTCTTCAGGTAAAATCTAGACAGAAGCATTCTCAGAAACTTCTTTGGGATGTTTGCATTCAAGTCACAGAGTAGAACATTCCCTTTGGTAGAGCAGGTTTGAAACACTCTTTTTGTAGTATCTGGAAGTGGACATTTGGAGCGCTTTCAGGCCCATGTTGGAAAGGGAAATATCTTCCCGTAACAACTAGGCAGAAGCATTCTCAGAAACTTATTTGAGATGTGTGTACTCAACTAAGAGAATTGAACCACCGTTTTGAAGGAGCAGTTTTGAAACACTCTTTTTCTGGAATCTGCAAGAGTATATTTGCCTAGCCTTGAGGATTTCGTTGGAAACGGGATTGTCTTCAGAGAAAATCTAGACAGAAGCATTCTCAGAAACTTCTTTGGGATGCTTGCATTCAAGTCACAGAGTAGAACATTCCCTTTGGTAGAGCAGGTTTGAAACACTCTTTTTGTAGTATCTGGAAGTGGACATTTGGAGCGCTTTCAGGCCTACGTTGGAAAAGGAAATATTCTTCCCATAACAACTAGACAGAAGCATTCTCAGAAACTTATTTGAGATGTGTGTACTCAACTAAGAGAATTGAACCACCGTTTTGAAGGAGCAGTTGTGAAACACTCTTTTTCTGGAATCTGCTAGAGTATATTTGCCTAGCTTTGAGGATTTCGTTGGAAACGGGATTGTCTTCAGCTCAAATCTAGACAGAAGCATTCTCAGAAACTTCTTTGGGATGTTTGCATTCAAGTCACAGAGTAGAACATTCCCTTTGGTAGAGCAGGTTTGAAACACTCTTTTTTTAGTATATGGAAGTGGACATTTGGAGCGCTTTCAGGCCTACGTTGGAAAAGGAAATATCTTCCCATAACAACTAGACAGAAGCATTCTCAGAAACTAGTTTCTGATGTGTGTCCTCAACTAACACAGTTGTACATTTCTTTAGACAGAACAGTTTTGAAACACTCTTTTTGTGGAATCTGCAAGTGGATATTGGGCTAGATTTGAGGATTTCGTTGGAAACGGGATTACATATAAAAAGCAGTCAGCAGCATTCTCAGAAAGTTCTTTGTGATGATTGCATTCAAGTCACAGAATTGAACATTCCCTTTCACAGAGCAGGTTTGAAACACTCTTTTTGTAGTGTGTGTAAGTGGACATTTGGAGCGCTTTCCGGCCTAAGGTGAAAAAGGAAATATCTTCCCATAAAAACTAGACAGAAGCATTCTCAGAAACTTACTCGTGATGTGTGTCCTCAACTAAAGGAGTAGAACCTTTCTATTCATAGAGAAGTTTTGAAACGCTCTTTTTGTGGAATCTCCAAGTGGATATTTGGCTAGTGTTGAGGATTTCGTTGGAAGCGGGAATTCATACAAATTGCAGACTGCAGCGTTCTGAGAAACATCTTTGTGATGTTTGTATTCTGGACACAGAGATGAACATTCCCTATCATAGAGCAGGTTGGAATCACTCCTTTTGTAGTATCTGGAAGTGGACATTTGGAGCGCTTTCAGGCCTATGTTGAAAAAGGAAATATCTTCCCATAACAACTAGACACAAGCATTCTCAGAAACTTGTTTGTGATGTGTGCCCTCTACTGACAGAGTTGAACCTTTCTTTTCATAGAGCAGTTTTGAAACACTCTTTTTGTAGAATCCGCAAGAGGATATTTGCATAGCTTTGAGGATTTCGTGGGAAACGGGATTGTCTTCAGGTAAAATCTAGACAGAAGCATTGTCAGAAACTTCTTTGGGATGTTTGCATTCAAGTCACAGAGTAGAACATTCCCTTTGGTAGAGCAGGTTTGAAACACTCTTTTTGTAGTATCTGGAAGTGGACATTTGGAGCGCTTTCAGGCCCATGTTGGAAAGGGAAATATCTTCCCGTAACAACTAGGCAGAAGCATTCTCAGAAACTTATTTGAGATGTGTGGACTCAACTAAGAGAATTGAACCACCGTTTTGAAGGAGCAGTTTTGAAACACTCTTTTTCTGGAATCTGCAAGAGTATATTTGCCTAGCCTTGAGGATTTCGTTGGAAACGGGATTGTCTTCAGATAAAATCTAGACAGAAGCATTCTCAGAAACTTATTTGGGATGTTTGCATTCAAGTCACAGAGTAGAACATTCCCTTTGGTAGAGCAGGTTTGAAACACTCTTTTTTTAGTATATGGAAGTGGACATTTGGAGCGCTTACAGGCCTATGTTGGAAAAGGAAATATCTTCCCATAACAACTAGACACAAGCATTCTCAGAAACTAGTTTCTGATGTGTGTCCTCAACTAACACAGTTGAACATTTCTTTAGACAGAACAGTTTTGAAACTCTCTTTTTGTGGAATCTGCAAGTGGCTATTTGGCTAGATTTGAGGATTTCGTTGGAAACGGGATTACATATAAAAAGCAGACAGCAGCATTCTCAGAAAGTTCTTTGTGATGATTGCATTCAAGTCACAGAATTGAACATTCCCTTTCACAGAGCAGGTTTGAAACACTCTTTTTGTAGTGTGTGTAAGTGGACATTTGGAGCACTTTCCGGCCTAAGGTGAGAAAGGAAATATCTTCCCATAAAAACTAGACAGAAAGCATTCTCAGGAAACTTACTCGTGATGTGTGTCCTCAACTAAAGGAGTAGAACCTTTCTTTTCATAGAGAAGTTTTGAAACGCTCTTTTTGTGGAATCTGCAAGTGGATATTTGGCTAGTTTGGAGGATTTCGTTGGAAGCGGGAATTCATACAAATTGCAGACTGCAGCGTTCTGAGAAACATCTTTGTGATGTTTGTATTCAGGACACAGAGTTGAACATTCCCTATCATAGAGCAGGTTTGAATCACTCCTTTTGTAGTATCTGGAAGTGGACATTTGGAGCGCTTTCAGGCCTATGTTGGAAAAGGAAATATCTTCCCATAACAACTAGACAGAAGCATTCTCAGAAACTTATTTGAGATGTGTGTACTCAACTAAGAGAATTGAACCACCGTTTTGAAGGAGCAGTTTTGAAACACTCTTTTTCTGGAATCTGCAAGTGGATATTTGGCTAGCTTTGGGGATTTCGCTGGAAGCGGGAATACATATAAAAAGCACACAGCAGCGTTCTGAGAAACTGCTTTCTGATGTTTGCATTCAAGTCAAAAGTTGAACACTCCCTTTCATAGAGCAGTCTTGAAACACCCCTTTTGTAGTATCTGGAACTGGACTTTTGGAGCGCTTTCAGGGCTAAGGTGAAAAAGGAAATATCTTCCCATAAAAACTGGACAGAAGCATTCTCAGAAACTTGTTTATGCTGTATCTACTCAACTAACAAAGTTGAACCTTTCTTTTGATAGAGCAGTTTTGAAATGCTCTTTTTGTGGAATCTGCAAGTGGATATTTGGCTAGTTTTGAGGATTTCTTTGGAAGCGGGAATTCATACAAATTGCAGACTGCAGCGTTCTGAGAAACATCTTTGTGATGTTTGTATTCAGGACACAGAGTTGAACATTCCCTATCATAGAGCAGGTTGGAATCACTACTTTTGTAGTATCTGGAAGTGGACATTTGGAGCGCTTTCAGGCCTATGTTGAAAAAGGAAATATCTTCCCATAACAAGTAGACACAAGCATTCTCAGAAATTTGTTTGTGATGTGTGCCCTCTACTGACAGAGTTGAACCTTTCTTTTCATAGAGCAGTTTCGAAACACTCTTTTTGTAGAATCTGCAAGAGGATATTTGCATAGCTTTGAGGATTTCGTGGGAAACGGGATTGTCTTCAGGTAAAATCTAGACAGAAGCATTCTCAGAAAATTCTTCGGGATGTTTGCATTCAAGTCACAGAGTAGAACATTCCCTTTGGTAGAGCAGGTTTGAAACACTCTTTTTGTAGTATCTGGAAGTGGACATTTGGAGCGCTTTCAGGCCTATGTTGGAAAGGGAAATATCTTCCCGTAACAACTAGGCAGAAGCATTCTCAGAAACTTATTTGAGATGTGTGTACTGAACTAAGAGAATTGAACCACCGTTTTGAAGGAGCAGGTTTGAAACACTCTTTTTGTAGTATCTGGAAGTGGACATTTGGAGCGCTTTCAGGCCTATGTTGGAAAGGGAAATATCTTCCCGTAACAACTAGGCAGAAGCATTCTCAGAAACTTATTTGAGATGTGTGTACTCAACTAAGAGAATTGAACCACCGTTTTGAAGGAGCAGTTTTGAAACACTCTTTTTCTGGAATCTGCAAGAGGATATTTGCATAGATTTGAGGATTTCGTTGGAAACGGGATTGTCTTCAGATCCAATCTAGACAGAAGCATTCTCAGAAACTTCTTTGGGATGTTTGCATTCAAGTCACAGAGTAGAACATTCCCTTTGGTAGAGCAGGTTTGAAACACTCTTTTTTTAGTATATGGAAGTGGACATTTGGAGCACTTTCAGGCCTACGTTGGAAAAGGAAATATCTTCCCATAACAACTAGACAGAGAGCATTCTCAGAAACTTACTCGTGATGTGTGTCCTCAACTAAAGGAGTAGAACCTTTCTTTTCATAGAGAAGTTTTGAAACGCTCTTTTTGTGGAATCTGCAAGTGGATATTTGGCTAGTTTTGAGGATTTCGTTGGAAGCGGGAATTCATACAAATTGCAGACTGCAGCGTTCTGAGAAACATCTTTGTGATGTTTGTATTCAGGACACAGAGTTGAACATTCCCTATCATAGAGCAGGTTTGAATCACTCCTTTTGTAGTATCTGGAAGTGGACATTTGGAGCGCTTTCAGGCCTATGTTGGAAAAGGAAATATCTTCCCATAACAACTAGACAGAAGCATTCTCAGAAACTTATTTGAGATGTGTGTACTCAACTAAGAGAATTGAACCACCGTTTTGAAGGAGCAGTTTTGAAACTCTCTTTTTCTGGAATCTGCAAGTGGATATTTGGCTAGCTTTGGGGATTTCGCTGGAAGCGGGAATACATATAAAAAGCACACAGCAGCGTTCTGAGAAACTGCTTTCTGATGTTTGCATTCAAGTCAAAAGTTGAACACTCCCTTTCATAGGGCAGTCCTGAAACACCCCTTTTGTAGTATCTGGAACTGGACTTTTGGAGCGATTTCAGGGCTAAGGTGAAAAAGGAAATATCTTCCCATAAAAACTGGACAGAAGCATTCTCAGAAAGTTATTTGAGATGGGTGTACTCAACTAAGAGAATTGAACCACCGTTTTCAAGGAGCAGTTTTGAAACGCTCTTTTTCTGGAATCTGCAAGTGGATATTTGGCTAGCTTTGGGGATTTCGCTGGAAGCGGGAATACATATAAAAAACACACAGCAGCGTTCTGAGAAACTGCTTTCTGATGTTTGCATTCAAATCAAAAGTTGAACACTCCCTTTCATAGAGCAGTCTTGAAACAGCCCTTTTGTAGTATCTGGAACTGGACATTTGGGGCGCTTTCAGGGCTAAGGTGAAAAAGGAAATATCTTCCCATAAAAACTGGACAGAAGCATTCTCAGAAACTTGTTTATGCTGTATCTACTCAACTAACAAAGTTGAACCTTTCTTTTGATAGAGCAGTTTTGAAATGGTCTTTTTGTGGAATCTGCAAGTGGATATTTGGCTAGTTTTGAGGATTTCGTTGGAAGCGGGAATTCATACAAATTGCAGACTGCAGCGTTCTGAGAAACATCTTTGTGATGTTTGTATTCAGGACACAGAGTTGAACATTCCCTATCATAGAGCAGGTTGGAATCACTCCTTTTGTAGTATCTGGAAGTGGACATTTGGAGCGCTTTCAGGCCTATTTTGGAAAGGGAAATATCTTCCCGTAACAACTATGCAGAAGCATTCTCAGAAACTTGTTTGTGATGTGTGCCCTCTACTGACAGAGTTGAACCTTTCTTTTCATAGAGCAGTTTTGAAACACTCTTTTTGTAGAATCTGCAAGAGGATATTTGCATAGCTTTGAGGATTTCGTGGGAAACGGGATTGTCTTCAGGTAAAATCTAGACAGAAGCATTCTTAGAAACTTCTTTGGGATGTTTGCATTCAAGTCACAGAGTAGAACATTCCCTTTGGTAGAGCAGGTTTGAAACACTCTTTTTGTAGTATCTGGAAGTGGACATTTGGAGCGCTTTCAGGCCCATGTTGGAAAGGGAAATATCTTCCCGTAACAACTAGGCAGAAGCATTCTCAGAAACTTATTTGAGATGTGTGTACTCAACTAAGAGAATTGAACCATCGTTTTGAAGGAGTAGTTTTGAAACACTCTTTTTTTGGAATCTGCAAGAGAATATTTGCATAGCTTTGAGGATTTCGTTGGAAACGGGATTGTCTTCAGATAAAATCTAGACAGAAGCATTCTCAGAAACTTCTTTGGGATGTTTGCATTCAAGTCACAGAGTAGAACATTCCCTTTGGTAGAGCAGGTTTGAAACACTCTTTTTTTAGTATATGGAAGTGGACATTTGGAGCGCTTTCAGGCCTACGTTGGAAAAGGAAATATCTTCCCATAACAACTAGACAGAGAAGCATTCTCAGAAACTAGTTTCTGATGTGTGTCCTCAACTAACACAGTTGAACATTTCTTTAGACAGAACAGTTTTGAAACACTCTTTTTGTGGAATCTGCAAGTGGCTATTTGGCTAGATTTGAGGATTTCGTTGGAAACGGGATTACATATAAAAAGCAGACAGCAGCATTCTCAGAAAGTTCTTTGTGATGATTGCATTCAAGTCACAGAATTGAACATTCCCTTTCACAGAGCAGGTTTGAAACACTCTTTTTGTAGTGTGTGTAAGTGGACATTTGGAGCACTTACCGGCCTAAGGTGAAAAAGGAAATATCTTCCCATAAAAACTAGACAGAAGCATTCTCAGAAACTTACTCGTGATGTGTGTCCTCAACTAAAGGAGTAGAACCTTTCTTTTCATAGAGAAGTTTTGAAACGCTCTTTTTGTGGAATCTGCAAGTGGATATTTGGCTAGTTTTGAGGATTTCGTTGGAAGCGGGAATTCATACAAATTGCAGACTGCAGCGTTCTGAGAAACATCTTTGTGATGTTTGTATTCAGGACACAGAGTTGAACATTCCCTATCATAGAGCAGGTTTGAATCACTCCTTTTGTAGTATCTGGAAGTGGACATTTGGAGCGCTTTCAGGCCTATGTTGGAAAAGGAAATATCTTCCCATAACAACTAGACAGAAGCATTCTCAGAAACTTATTTGAGATGGGTGTACTCAACTAAGAGAATTGAACCACCGTTTTCAAGGAGCAGTTTTGAAACGCTCTTTTTCTGGAATCTGCAAGTGGATATTTGGCTAGCTTTGGGGATTTCGCTGGAAGCGGGAATACATATAAAAAACACACAGCAGCGTTCTGAGAAACTGCTTTCTGATGTTTGCATTCAAATCAAAAGTTGAACACTCCCTTTCATAGAGCAGTCTTGAAACACCCCTTTTGTAGTATCTGGAACTGGACATTTGGGGCGCTTTCAGGGCTAAGGTGAAAAAGGAAATATCTTCCCATAAAAACTGGACAGAAGCATTCTCAGAAACTTGTTTATGCTGTATCTACTCAACTAACAAAGTTGAACCTTTCTTTTGATAGAGCAGTTTTGAAATGCTCTTTTTGTGGAATCTGCAAGTGGATATTTGGCTAGTTTTGAGGATTTCGTTGGAAGCGGGAATTCATACAAATTGCAGACTGCAGCGTTCTGAGAAACGTCTTTGTGATGTTTGTATTCAGGACACAGAGTTGAACACTCCCTATCATAGAGAAGGCTGGAATCACTCCTTTTGTAGTATCTGGAAGTCGACATTTGGAGCGCTTTCAGGCCTATGTTGAAAAAGGAAATATCTTCCCATAACAACTAGGCAGAAGCATTCTCAGAAACTTATTTGAGATGTGTGTACTCAACTAAGAGAATTGAACCACCGTTTTGAAGGAGCAGTTTTGAAACACTCTTTTTCTGGAATCTGCAAGTGGATATTTGGCTAGCTTTGGGGATTTCGCTGGAAGCGGGAATACATATAAAAAGCACACAGCAGCGTTCTGAGAAACTGCTTTCTGATGTTTGCATTCAAGTCAAAAGTTGAACACTCCCTTTCATAGAGCAGTCCTGAAACACTCCTTTTGTAGTATCTGGAACTGGACTTTTGGAGCGCTTTCAGGGCTAAGGTGAAAAAGGAAATATCTTCCCATAAAAACTGGACAGAAGCATTCTCAGAAACTTGTTTATGCTGTATCTACTCAACTAACAAAGTTGAACCTTTCTTTTGATAGAGCAGTTTTGAAATGCTCTTTTTGTGGAATCTGCAAGTGGATATTTGGCTAGTTTTGAGGATTTCGTTGGAAGCGGGAATTCATACAAATTGCAGACTGCAGCGTTCTGAGAAACATCTTTGTGATGTTTGTATTCAGGACAGAGAGTTGAACATTCCCTATCATAGAGCAGGTTGGAATCACTCCTTTTGTAGTATCTGGAAGTGGACATTTGGAGCGCTTTCAGGCCTATGTTGAAAAAGGAAATATCTTCCCATAACAACTAGACACAAGCATTCTCAGAAACTTGTTTGTGATGTGTGCCCTCTACTGACAGAGTTGAACCTTTCTTTTCATAGAGCAGTTTTGAAACACTCTTTTTGTAGAATCTGCAAGAGGATATTTGCATAGCTTTGAGGATTTCGTGGGAAACGGGATTGTCTTCAGGTAAAATCTAGACAGAAGCATTCTCAGAAACTTCTTTGGGATGTTTGCATTCAAGTCACAGAGCAGAACATTCCCTTTGGTAGAGCAGGTTTGAAACACTCTTTTTGTAGTATCTGGAAGTGGACATTTGGAGCGCTTTCAGGCCTATGTTGGAAAGGGAAATATCTTCCCGTAACAACTAGGCAGAAGCATTCTCAGAAACTTATTTGAGATGTGTGTACTCAACTAAGAGAATTGAACCACCGTTTTGAAGGAGCAGTTTTGAAACACTCTTTTTCTGGACTCTGCAAGAGGATATTTGCCTAGCCTTGAGGATTTCGTTGGAAACGGGATTGTCTTCAGATCAAATCTAGACAGAAGCATTCTCAGAAACTTCTTTGGGATGTTTGCATTCATGTCACAGAGTAGAACATTCCCTTTGGTAGAGCAGGTTTGAAACACTCTTTTTTTAGTATATGGAAGTGGACATTTGGAGCGCTTTCAGGCCTACGTTGGAAAAGGAAATATCTTCCCATAACAACTAGACAGAAGCATTCTCAGAAACTAGTTTCTGATGTGTGTCCTCAACTAACACAGTTGAACATTTCTTTAGACAGAACAGTTTTGAAACACTCTTTTTGTGGAATCTGCAAGTGGCTATTTGGCTAGATTTGAGGATTTCGTTGGAAACGGGATTACATATAAAAAGCAGACAGCAGCATTCTCAGAAAGTTCTTTGTGATGATTGCATTCAAGTCACAGAATTGAACATTCCCTTTCACAGAGCAGGTTTGAAACACTCTTTTTGTAGTGTGTGTAAGTGGACATTTGGAGCACTTTCCGGCCTAAGGTGAAAAAGGAAATATCTTCCCTTAAAAACTAGACAGAAGCATTCTCAGAAACTTACTCGTGATGTGTGTCCTCAACTAAAGGAGTAGAACCTTTCTTTTCATAGAGAAGTTTTGAAACGCTCTTTTTGTGGAATCTGCAAGTGGATATTTGGCTAGTTTTGAGGATTTCGTTGGAAGCGGGAATTCATAGAAATTGCAGACTGCAGCGTTCTGAGAAACATCTTTGTGATGTTTGTATTCAGGACAGAGAGTTGAACATTCCCTATCATAGAGCAGGTTGGAATCACTCCTTTTGTAGTATCTGGAAGTGGACATTTGGAGCGCTTTCAAGCCTATGTTGAAAAAGGAAATATCTTCCCATAACAAGTAGACACAAGCATTCTCAGAAACTTATTTGAGATGTGTGTACTCAACTAAGAGAATTGAACCACCGTTTTGAAGGAGCAGTTTTGAAACTCTCTTTTTCTGGAATCTGCAAGTGGATATTTGGCTAGCTTTGGGGATTTCGCTGGAAGCGGGAATACATATAAAAAGCACACAGCAGCGTTCTGAGAAACTGCTTTCTGATGTTTGCATTCAAGTCAAAAGTTGAACACTCCCTTTCATAGAGCAGTCTTGAAACACCCCTTTTGTAGTATCTGGAACTGGACTTTTGGAGCGATTTCAGGGCTAAGGTGAAAAAGGAAATATCTTCCCATAAAAACTGGACAGAAGCATTCTCAGAAACTTGTTTATGCTGTATCTACTCAACTAACAAAGTTGAACCTTTCTTTTGATAGAGCAGTTTTGAAATGGTCTTTTTGTGGAATCTGCAAGTGGATATTTGGCTAGTTTTGAGGATTTCGTTGGAAGCGGGAATTCATACAAATTGCAGACTGCAGCGTTCTGAGAAACATCTTTGTGATGTTTGTATTCAGGACACAGAGTTGAACATTCCCTATCATAGAGCAGGTTGGAATCACTCCTTTTGTAGTATCTGGAAGTGGACATTTGGAGCGCTTTCAGGCCTATTTTGGAAAGGGAAATATCTTCCCGTAACAACTATGCAGAAGCATTCTCAGAAACTTGTTTGTGATGTGTGCCCTCTACTGACAGAGTTGAACCTTTCTTTTCATAGAGCAGTTTTGAAACACTCTTTTTGTAGAATCTGCAAGAGGATATTTGCATAGCTTTGAGGATTTCGTGGGAAACGGGATTGTCTTCAGGTAAAATCTAGACAGAAGCATTCTCAGAAACTTCTTTGGGATGTTTGCATTCAAGTCACAGAGTAGAACATTCCCTTTGGTAGAGCAGGTTTGAAACACTCTTTTTGTAGTATCTGGAAGTGGACATTTGGAGCGCTTTCAGGCCCATGTTGGAAAGGGAAATATCTTCCCGTAACAACTAGGCAGAAGCATTCTCAGAAACTTATTTGAGATGTGTGTACTCAACTAAGAGAATTGAACCACCCTTTTGAAGGAGCAGTTTTGAAACACTCTTTTTCTGGAATCTGCAAGAGTATATTTGCCTAGCCTTGAGGATTTCGTTGGAAACGGGATTGTCTTCAGATAAAATCTAGACAGAAGCATTCTCAGAAACTTCTTTGGGATGTTTGCATTCAAGTCACAGAGTAGAACATTCCCTTTGGTAGAGCAGGTTTGAAACACTCTTTTTTTAGTATATGGAAGTGGACATTTGGAGCGCTTTCAGGCCTACGTTGGAAAAGGAAATATCTTCCCATAACAACTAGACAGAAGCATTCTCAGAAACTAGTTTCTGATGTGTGTCCTCAACTAACACAGTTGAACATTTCTTTAGACAGAACAGTTTTGAAACACTCTTTTTGTGGAATCTGCAAGTGGCTATTTGGCTAGATTTGAGGATTTCGTTGGAAACGGGATTACATATAAAAAGCAGACAGCAGCATTCTCAGAAAGTTCTTTGTGATGATTGCATTCAAGTCACAGAATTGAACATTCCCTTTCACAGAGCAGGTTTGAAACACTCTTTTTGTAGTGTGTGTAAGTGGACATTTGGAGCACTTTCCGGCCTAAGGTGAAAAAGGAAATATCCTCCCTTAAAAACTAGACAGAAGCATTCTCAGAAACTTACTCGTGATGTGTGTCCTCAACTAAAGGAGTAGAACCTTTCTATTCATAGAGAAGTTTTGAAACGCTCTTTTTGTGGAATCTCCAAGTGGATATTTGGCTAGTTTTGAGGATTTCGTTGGAAGCGGGAATTCATACAAATTGCAGACTGCAGCGTTCTGAGAAACATCTTTGTGATGTTTGTATTCAGGACACAGAGATGAACATTCCCTATCATAGAGCAGGTTGGAATCACTCCTTTTGTAGTATCTGGAAGTGGACATTTGGAGCGCTTTCAGGCCTATGTTGAAAAAGGAAATATCTTCCCATAACAACTAGACACAAGCATTCTCAGAAACTTGTTTGTGATGTGTGCCCTCTACTGACAGAGTTGAACCTTTCTTTTCATAGAGCAGTTTTGAAACACTCTTTTTGTAGAATCTGCAAGAGGATATTTGCATAGCTTTGAGGATTTCGTGGGAAACGGGATTGTCTTCAGGTAAAATCTAGACAGAAGCATTCTCAGAAACTTCTTTGGGATGTTTGCATTCAAGTCACAGAGTAGAACATTCCCTTTGGTAGAGCAGGTTTGAAACCCTTTTTTTGTAGTATCTGGAAGTGGACATTTGGAGCGCTTTCAGGCCCATGTTGGAAAGGGAAATATCTTCCCGTAACAACTAGGCAGAAGCATTCTCAGAAACTAGTTTCTGATGTGTGTCCTCAACTAACACAGTTGAACTTTTCTTTAGACAGAACAGTTTTGAAACACTCTTTTTGTGGAATCTGCAAGTGGATATTTGGCTAGATTTGAGGATTTCGTTGGAAACGGGATTACATATAAAAAGCAGACAGCAGCATTCTCAGAAAGTTCTTTGTGATGATTGCATTCAAGTCACAGAATTGAACATTCCCTTTCACAGAGCAGGTTTGAAACACTCTTTTTGTAGTGTGTGTAAGTGGACATTTGGAGCGCTTTCCGGCCTAAGGTGAAAAAGGAAATATCTTCCCATAAAAACTAGACAGAAGCATTCTCAGAAACTTACTCGTGATGTGTGTCCTCAACTAAAGGAGTAGAACCTTTCTATTCATAGAGAAGTTTTGAAACGCTCTTTTTGTGGAATCTCCAAGTGGATATTTGGGTAGTTTTGAGGATTCCGTTGGAAGCGGGAATTCATACAAATTGCAGACTGCAGCGTTATGAGAAACATCTTTGTGATGTTTGTATTCAGGACACAGAGATGAACATTCCCTATCATAGAGCAGGTTGGAATCACTCCTTTTGTAGTATCTGGAAGTGGACATTTGGAGCGCTTTCAGGCCTATGTTGAAAAAGGAAATATCTTCCCATAACAACTAGACACAAGCATTCTCAGAAACTTGTTTGTGATGTGTGCCCTCTACTGACAGAGTTGAACCTTTCTTTTCATAGAGCAGTTTTGAAACACTCTTTTTGTAGAATCTGCAAGAGGATATTTGCATAGCTTTGAGGATTTCGTGGGAAACGGGATTGTCTTCAGGTAAAATCTAGACAGAAGCATTCTCAGAAACTTCTTTGTGATGTTTGCATTCAAGTCACAGAGTAGAACATTCCCTTTGGTAGAGCAGGTTTGAAACCCTCTTTTTGTAGTATCTGGAAGTGGACATTTGGAGCGCTATCAGGCCCATGTTGGAAAGGGAAATATCTTCCCGTAACAACTAGGCAGAAGCATTCTCAGAAACTTATTTGGGATGTGTGTACTCAACTAAGAGAATTGAACCACCGTTTTGAAGGAGCAGTTTTGAAACACTCTTTTTCTGGAATCTGCAAGAGTATATTTGCCTAGCCTTGAGGATTTCGTTGGAAACGGGATTGTCTTCAGATCAAATCTAGACAGAAGCATTCTCAGAAACTTCTTTGGGATGTTTGCATTCAAGTCACAGAGTAGAACATTCCCTTTGGTAGAGCAGGTTTGAAACACTCTTTTTTTAGTATATGGAAGTGGACATTTGGAGCGCTTTCAGGCCTACGTTGGAAAAGGAAATATCTTCCCATAACAACTAGACAGAAGCATTCTCAGAAACTAGTTTCTGATGTGTGTCCTCAACTAAAACAGTTGTACATTTCTTTACACAGAACAGTTTTGAAACACTCTTTTTGTGGAATCTGCAAGTGGATATTGGGGTAGATTTGAGGATTTCGTTGGAAACGGGATTACATATAAAAAGCAGACAGCAGCATTCTCAGAAAGTTCTTTGTGATGATTGCATTCAAGTCACAGAATTGAACATTCCCTTTCACAGAGCAGGTTTGAAACACTCTTTTTGTAGTGTGTGTAAGTGGACATTTGGAGCGCTTTCCGGCCTAAGGTGAAAAAGGACATATCTTCCCATAAAAACTAGACAGAAGCATTCTCAGAAACTTACTCGTGATGTGTGTCCTCAACTAAAGGAGTAGAACCTTTCTATTCATAGAGAAGTTTTGAAACGCTCTTTTTGTGGAATCTCCAAGTGGATATTTGGCTAGTTTTGAGGATTTCGTTGGAAGCGGGAATTCATACAAATTGCAGACTGCAGCGTTCTGAGAAACATCTTTGTGATGTTTGTATTCAGGACACAGAGATGAACATTCCCTATCATAGAGCATGTTGGAATCACTCCTTTTGTAGTATCTGGAAGTGGACATTTGGAGCGCTTTCAGGCCTATGTTGAAAAAGGAAATATCTTCCCATAACAACTAGACACAAGCATTCTCAGAAACTTGTTTGTGATGTGTGCCCTCTACTGACAGAGTTGAACCTTTCTTTTCATAGAGCAGTTTTGAAACACTCTTTTTGTAGAATCCGCAAGAGGATATTTGCATAGCTTTGAGGATTTCGTGGGAAACGGGATTGTCTTCAGGTAAAATCTAGACAGAAGCATTCTCAGAAACTTCTTTGGGATGTTTGCATTCAAGTCACAGAGAAGAACATTCCCTTTGGTAGAGCAGGTTTGAAACACTCTTTTTGTAGTATCTGGAAGTGGACATTTGGAGCGCTTTCAGGCCTACGTTGGAAAAGGAAATATCTTCCCATAACAACTAGACAGAAGCATTCTCAGAAACTAGTTTCTGATGTGTGTCCTCAACTAACACAGTTGAACTTTTCTTTAGACAGAACAGTTTTGAAACACTCTTTTTGTGGAATCTGCAAGTGCATATTGGGCTAGATTTGAGGATTTCGTTGGAAACGGGATTACATATAAAAAGCAGACAGCAGCATTCTCAGAAAGTTCTTTGTGATGATTGCATTCAAGTCACAGAATTGAACATTCCCTTTCACAGAGCAGGTTTGAAACACTCTTTTTGTAGTGTGTGTAAGTGGACATTTGGAGCGCTTTCCGGCCTAAGGTGAAAAAAGAAATATCTTCCCATAAAAACTAGACAGAAGCATCCTCCGAAACTTACTCGGGATGTGTTTCCTCAACTAAAGGAGTAGAACCTTTCTATTCATAGAGAAGTTTTGAAACGCTCTTTTTGTGGAATCTCCAAGTGGATATTTGGCTAGTTTTGAGGATTTCGTTGGAAGCGGGAATTCATACAAATTGCAGACTGCAGCGTTCTGAGAAACATCTTTGTGATGTTTGTATTCAGGACACAGAGATGAACATTCCCTATCATAGAGCAGGTTGGAATCACTCCTTTTGTAGTATCTGGAAGTGGACATTTGGAGCGCTTTCAGGCCTATGTTGAAAAAGGAAATATCTTCCCATAACAACTAGACACAAGCATTCTCAGAAACTTGTTTGTGATGTGTGCCCTCTACTGACAGAGTTGAACCTTTCTTTTCATAGAGCAGTTTTGAAACACTCTTTTTGTAGAATCTGCAAGAGGATATTTGCATAGCTTTGAGGATTTCGTGGGAAACGGGATTGTCTTCAGGTAAAATCTAGACAGAAGCATTCTCAGAAACTTCTTTGGGATGTTTGCATTCAAGTCACAGAGTAGAACATTCCCTTTGGTAGAGCAGGTTTGAAACCCTCTTTTTGTAGTATCTGGAAGTGGACATTTGGAGCGCTATCAGGCCCATGTTGGAAAGGGAAATATCTTCCCGTAACAACTAGGCAGAAGCATTCTCAGAAACTTATTTGAGATGTGTGTACTCAACTAAGAGAATTGAACCACCGTTTTGAAGGAGCAGTTTTGAAACACTCTTTTTCTGGAATCTGCAAGAGTATATTTGCCTAGCCTTGAGGATTTCGTTGGAAACGGGATTGTCTTCAGAGAAAATCTAGACAGAAGCATTCTCAGAAACTTCTTTGGGATGCTTGCATTCAAGTCACAGAGTAGAACATTCCCTTTGGTAGAGCAGGTTTGAAACACTCTTTTTGTAGTATCTGGAAGTGGACATTTGGAGCGCTTTCAGGCCTACGTTGGAAAAGGAAATATCTTCCCATAACAACTAGACAGAAGCATTCTCAGAAACTAGTTTCTGATGTGTGTCCTCAACTAACACAGTTGAACATTTCTTTAGACAGAACAGTTTTGAAACACTCTTTTTGTGGAATCTGCAAGTGGCTATTTGGCTAGATTTGAGGATTTCGTTGGAAACGGGATTACATATAAAAAGCAGTCAGCAGCATTCTCAGAAAGTTCTTTGTGATGATTGCATTCAAGTCACAGAATTGAACATTCCCTTTCACAGAGCAGGTTTGAAACACTCTTTTTGTAGTGTGTGTAAGTGGACATTTGGAGCACTTACCGGCCTAAGGTGAAAAAGGAAATAATCTTCCCATAAAAACTAGACAGAAGCATTCTCAGAAACTTACTCGTGATGTGTGTCCTCAACTAAAGGAGTAGAACCTTTCTTTTCATAGAGAAGTTTTGAAACGCTCTTTTTGTGGAATCTGCAAGTGGATATTTGGCTAGTTTTGAGGATTTCGTTGGAAGCGGGAATTCATACAAATTGCAGACTGCAGCGTTCTGAGAAACATCTTTGTGATGTTTGTATTCAGGACACAGAGTTGAACATTCCCTATCATAGAGCAGGTTGGAATCACTCCTTTTGTAGTATCTGGAAGTGGACATTTGGAGCGCTTTCAGGCCTATGTTGGAAAAGGAAATATCTTCCCATAACAACTAGACAGAAGCATTCTCAGAAACTTATTTGAGATGTGTGTACTCAACTAAGAGAATTGAACCACCGTTTTGAAGGAGCAGTTTTGAAACTCTCTTTTTCTGGAATCTGCAAGTGGATATTTGGCTAGCTTTGGGGATTTCGCTGGAAGCGGGAATACATATAAAAAGCACACAGCAGCGTTCTGAGAAACTGCTTTCTGATGTTTGCATTCAAGTCAAAAGTTGAACACTCCCTTTCATAGAGCAGTCTTGAAACACCCCTTTTGTAGTATCTGGAACTGGACTTTTGGAGCGATTTCAGGGCTAAGGTGAAAAAGGAAATATCTTCCCATAAAAACTGGACAGAAGCATTCTCAGAAACTTGGTTATGCTGTATCTACTCAACTAACAAAGTTGAACCTTTCTTTTGATAGAGCAGTTTTGAAATGGTCTTTTTGTGGAATCTGCAAGTGGATATTTGGCTAGTTTTGAGGATTTCGTTGGAAGCGGGAATTCATACAAATTGCAGACTGCAGCGTTCTGAGAAACATCTTTGTGATGTTTGTATTCAGGACACAGAGTTGAACATTCCCTATCATAGAGCAGGTTGGAATCACTCCTTTTGTAGTATCTGGAAGTGGACATTTGGAGCGCTTTCAGGCCTATTTTGGAAAGGGAAATATCTTCCCGTAACAACTATGCAGAAGCATTCTCAGAAACTTGTTTGTGATGTGTGCCCTCTACTGACAGAGTTGAACCTTTCTTTTCATAGAGCAGTTTTGAAACACTCTTTTTGTAGAATCTGCAAGAGGATATTTGCATAGCTTTGAGGATTTCGTGGGAAACGGGATTGTCTTCAGGTAAAATCTAGACAGAAGCATTCTCAGAAACTTCTTTGGGATGTTTGCATTCAAGTCACAGAGTAGAACATTCCCTTTGGTAGAGCAGGTTTGAAACACTCTTTTTGTAGTATCTGGAAGTGGACATTTGGAGCGCTTTCAGGCCCATGTTGGAAAGGGAAATATCTTCCCGTAACAACTAGGCAGAAGCATTCTCAGAAACTTATTTGAGATGTGTGTACTCAACTAAGAGAATTGAACCACCGTTTTGAAGCAGCAGTTTTGAAACACTCTTTTTCTGGAATCTGCAAGAGTATATTTGCCTAGCCTTGAGGATTTCGTTGGAAACGGGATTGTCTTCAGAGAAAATCTAGACAGAAGCATTCTCAGAAACTTCTTTGGGATGCTTGCATTCCAGTCACAGAGTAGAACATTCCCTTTGGTAGAGCAGGTTTGAAACACTCTTTTTGTAGTATCTGGAAGTGGACATTTGGAGCGCTTTCAGGCCTACGTTGGAAAAGGAAATATCTTCCCATAACAACTAGACAGAAGCATTCTCAGAAACTAGTTTCTGATGTGTGTCCTCAACTAACACAGTTGAACATTTCTTTAGACAGAACAGTTTTGAAACACTCTTTTTGTGGAATCTGCAAGTGGCTATTTGGCTAGATTTGAGGATTTCGTTGGAAACGGGATTACATATAAAAAGCAGTCAGCAGCATTCTCAGAAAGTTCTTTGTGATGATTGCATTCAAGTCACAGAATTGAACATTCCGTTTCACAGAGCAGGTTTGAAACACTCTTTTTGTAGTGTGTGTAAGTGGACATTTGGAGCACTTACCGGCCTAAGGTGAAAAAGGAAATATCTTCCCATAAAAACTAGACAGAAGCATTCTCAGAAACTTACTCGTGATGTGTGTCCTCAACTAAAGGAGTAGAACCTTTCTTTTCATAGAGAAGTTTTGAAACGCTCTTTTTGTGGAATCTGCAAGTGGATATTTGGCTAGTTTTGAGGATTTCGTTGGAAGCGGGAATTCATACAAATTGCAGACTGCAGCGTTCTGAGAAACATCTTTGTGATGTTTGTATTCAGGACACAGAGTTGAACATTCCCTATCATAGAGTAGGTTTGAATCACTCCTTTTGTAGTATCTGGAAGTGGACATTTGGAGCGCTTTCAGGCCTATGTTGGAAAAGGAAATATCTTCCCATAACAACTAGACAGAAGCATTCTCAGAAACTTATTTGAGATGTGTGTACTCAACTAAGAGAATTGAACCACCGTTTTGAAGGAGCAGTTTTGAAACACTCTTTTTCTGGAATCTGCAAGTGGATATTTGGCTAGCTTTGGGGATTTCGCTGGAAGCGGGAATACATATAAAAAGCACACAGCAGCGTTCTGAGAAACTGCTTTCTGATGTTTGCATTCAACTCAAAAGTTGAACACTCCCTTTCATAGAGCAGTCTTGAAACACCCCTTTTGTAGTATCTGGAACTGGACATTTGGAGCGCTTTCAGGGCTAAGGTGAAAAAGGAAATATCTTCCCATAAAAACTGGACAGAAGCATTCTCAGAAACTTGTTTATGCTGTATCTACTCTACTAACAAAGTTGAACCTTTCTTTTGATAGAGCAGTTTTGAAATGCTCTTTTTGTGGAATCTGCAAGTGGATATTTGGCTAGTTTTGAGGATTTCGTTGGAAGCTGGAATTCATGCAAATTGCAGACTGCAGCGTTCTGAGAAACATCTTTGTGATGTTTGTATTCAGGACACAGAGTTGAACTTTCCCTATCATAGAGCAGGTTGGAATCACTCCTTTTGCAGTATCTGGAAGTGGACATTTGGAGCGCTTTCAGGCCTATTTTGGAAAGGGAAATATCTTCCCGTAACAACTAGGCAGAAGCATTCTCAGAAACTTATTTGAGATGTGTGTACTCAACTAAGAGAATTGAACCACCGTTTTGAAGGAGCAGTTTTGAAACACTCTTTTTCTGGAATCTGCAAGAGTATATTTGCCTAGCCTTGAGGATTTCGTTGGAAACGGGATTGTCTTCAGATAAAATCTAGACAGAAGCATTCTCAGAAACTTCTTTGGGATGTTTGCATTCAAGTCACAGAGTAGAACATTCCCTTTGGTAGAGCAGGTTTGAAACACTCTTTTTTTAGTATATGGAAGTGGACATTTGGAGCGCTTTCAGGCCTACGTTGGAAAAGGAAATATCTTCCCATAACAACTAGACAGAAGCATTCTCAGAAACTAGTTTCTGATGTGTGTCCTCAACTAACACAGTTGTACATTTCTTTAGACAGAACAGTTTTGAAACACTCTTTTTGTGGAATCTGCAAGTGGATATTGGGCTAGATTTGAGGATTTCGTTGGAAACGGGATTACATATAAAAAGCAGACAGCAGCATTCTCAGAAAGTTCTTTGTGATGATTGCATTCAAGTCACAGAATTGAACATTCCCTTTCACAGAGCAGGTTTGAAACACTCTTTTTGTAATGTGTGTAAGTGGACATTTGGAGCGCTTTCCGGCCTAAGGTGAAAAAGGAAATATCTTCCCATAAAAACTAGACAGAAGCATTCTCAGAAACTTACTCGTGATGTGTGTCCTCAACTAAAGGAGTAGAACATTTCTATTCATAGAGAAGTTTTGAAACGCTCTTTTTGTGGAATCTCCAAGTGGATATTTGGCTAGTTTTGAGGATTTCGTTGGAAGCGGGAATTCATACAAATTGCAGACTGCAGCGTTCTGAGAATCATCTTTGTGATGTTTGTATTCAGGACACAGAGATGAACATTCCCTATCATAGAGCAGGTTGGAATCACTCCTTTTGTAGTATCTGGAAGTGGACATTTGGAGCGCTTTCAGTCCTATGTTGAAAAAGGAAATATCTTCCCATAACAACTAGACACAAGCATTCTCAGAAACTTGTTTGTGATGTGTGCCCTCTACTGACAGAGTTGAACCTTTCTTTTCATAGAGCAGTTTTGAAACACTCTTTTTGTAGAATCTGCAAGAGGATATTTGCATAGCTTTGAGGATTTCGTGGGAAACGGGATTGTCTTCAGGTAAAATCTAGACAGAAGCATTCTCAGAAACTTCTTTGGGATGTTTGCATTCAAGTCACAGAGTAGAACATTCCCTTTGGTAGAGCAGGTTTGAAACACTCTTTTTGTAGTATCTGCAAGTGGACATTTGCAGCACTTTCAGGCCCATGTTGGAAAGGGAAATATCTTCCCGTAACAACTAGGCAGAAGCATTCTCAGAAACTTATTTGAGATGTGTGTACTCAACTAAGAGAATTGAACCACCGTTTTGAAGGAGCAGTTTTGAAACACTCTTTTTCTGGAATCTGCTAGACGATATTTGCCTAGCCTTGAGGATTTCGTTGGAAACGGGATTGTCTTCAGAGAAAATCTAGACAGAAGCATTCTCAGAAACTTCTTTGGGATGTTTGTATTCAAGTCACAGAGTAGAACATTCCCTTTGATAGAGCAGGTTTGAAACACTCTTTTTTTAGTATATGGAAATGGACATTTGGAGCGCTTTCAGGCCTACGTTGGAAAAGGAAATATCTTCCCGTAACAACTAGACAGAAGCATTCTCAGAAACTAGTTTCTGATGTGTGTCCTCAACTAACACAGTTGAACTTTTCTTTAGACAGAACAGTTTTGAAACACTCTTTTTGTGGAATCTGCAAGTGGATATTTGGCTAGATTTGAGGATTTCGTTGGAAACGGGATTACATATAAAAAGCAGACAGCAGCATTCTCAGAAAGTTCTTTGTGATGATTGCATTCAAGTCACAGAATTGAACATTCCCTTTCACAGAGCAGGTTTGAAACACTCTTTTTGTAGTGTGTGTAAGTGGACATTTGGAGCACTTTCCGGCCTAAGGTGAAAAAGGAAATATCTTCCCATAAAAACTAGACAGAAGCATTCTCAGAAACTTACTCGTGATGTGTGTCCTCAACTAAAGGAGTAGAACCTTTCTTTTCATAGAGAAGTTTTGAAACGCTCTTTTTGTGGAATCTGCAAGTGGATATTTGGCTAGTTTGGAGGATTTCGTTGGAAGCGGGAATTCATACAAATTGCAGACTGCAGCGTTCTGAGAAACATCTTTGTGATGTTTGTATTCAGGACACAGAGTTGAACATTCCCTATCATAGAGCAGGTTGGAATCACTCCTTTTGTAGTATCTGGAAGTGGACATTTGGAGCGCTTTCAGGCCTATGTTGGAAAAGGAAATATCTTCCCATAACAACTAGACAGAAGCATTCTCAGAAACTTATTTGAGATGTGTGTACTCAACTAAGAGAATTGAACCACCGTTTTGAAGGAGCAGTTTTGAAACACTCTTTTTCTGGAATCTGCAAGTGGATATTTGGCTAGCTTTGGGGATTTCGCTGGAAGCGGGAATACATATAAAAAGCACACAGCAGCGTTCTGAGAAACTGCTTTCTGATGTTTGCATTCAAGTCAAAAGTTGAACACTCCCTTTCATAGTGCAGTCTGAAACACTCCTTTTGCAGTATCTGGAACTGGACTTTTGGAGCGCTTTCAGGGCTAAGGTGAAAAAGGAAATATCTTCCCATAAAAACTGGACAGAAGCATTCTCAGAAACTTGTTTATGCTGTATCTACTCAACTAACAAAGTTGAACCTTTCTTTTGATAGAGCAGTTTTGAAATGCTCTTTTTGTGGAATCTGCAAGTGGATATTTGGCTAGTTTTGAGGATTTCGTTGGAAGCGGGAATTCATACAAATTGCAGACTGCAGCGTTCTGAGAAACATCTTTGTGATGTTTGTATTCAGGACAGAGAGTTGAACATTCCCTATCATAGAGCAGGTTGGAATCACTCCTTTTGTAGTATCTGGAAGTGGACATTTGGAGCGCTTTCAGGCCTATGTTGAAAAAGGAAATATCTTCCCATAAAAACTAGACAGAAGCATTCTCAGAAACTTACTCGTGATGTGTGTCCTCAACTAAAGGAGTAGAACCTTTCTTTTCATAGAGAAGTTTTGAAACGCTCTTTTTGTGGAATCTGCAAGTGGATATTTGGCTAGTTTTGAGGATTTCGTTGGAAGCGGGAATTCATACAAATTGCAGACTGCAGCGTTCTGAGAAACATCTTTGTGATGTTTGTATTCAGGACACAGAGTTGAACGTTCCCTATCATAGAGCAGGTTTGAATCACTCCTTTTGTAGTATCTGGAAGTGGACATTTGGAGCGCTTTCCGGCCTCAGGTGAAAAAGGAAATATCTTCCCATAAAAACTAGACAGAAGCATTCTCAGAAACTTATTTGTGATGTGTGTCCTCAACTGACAGAGTTGAACATTTCTTTTGAGAGAGCAGTTTTGAAACACTCTTTTTGTGGAATCTGCAAGTGGATATTTGGCTGGCTTTGAGGATTTCGTTGGAAACGGGAATACATATAAAAAGCAGACAGCAGCATTCTCAGAAACTAGTTTCTGATGTGTGTCCTCAACTAACACAGTTGTACATTTCTTTAGACACAACAGTTTTGAAACACTCTTTTTGTGGAATCTGCAAGTGGATATTTGGCTAGATTTGAGCATTTCGTTGGAAACGGGATTACATACAAAAAGCAGACAGCGGCATTCTCAGAAAGTTCTTTGTGATGATTGCATTCAAGTCACAGAATTGAACATTCCCTTTCACAGAGCAGGTTTGAAACACTCTTTTTGTAGTGTGTGTAAGCGGACATTTGCAGCGATTTCCGGCCTAAGGTGAAAAAGGAAATATCTTCCCATAAAAACTAGACAGAAGCATTCTCAGAAACTTACTCGTGATGTGTGTACTCAACTAAAGGAGTAGAAACTTTCTTTTCATAGAGAAGTTTTGAAACGCTCTTTTTGTGGAATCTGCAAGTGGATATTTGGCTAGTTTTGAGGATTTCGTTGGAAGCGGGAATTCATACAAATTGCAGAATGCAGCGTTCTGAGAAACTTCTTTGTGATGTTTGTATTCAGGACACAGAGTTGAACATTCCCTATCATAGAGCAGGTTTGAATCACTCCTTTTGTAGTATCTGGAAGTGGACATTTGGAGCGCTTTCAGGCCTATGTTGGAAAAGGAAATATCTTCCCATAACAAATAGACAGAAGCATTCTCAGAAACTTATTTGAGATGTGTGTACTCAACTAAGAGAATTGAACCACCGTTTTGAAGGAGCAGTTTTGAAACACTCTTTTTCTGGAATCTGCAATTGGATATTTGGCTAGCTTTGGGGATTTCGCTGGAAGCGGGAATACATATAAAAAGCACACAGCAGCGTTCTGAGAAACTTCTTTCTGATGTTCGCATTCAAGTCAAAAGTTGAACACTCCCTTTCATAGAGCAGTCTTGAAACTCCCCTTTTGTGGTATCTGGAAGTGGACATTTGGAGTGCTTTCAGGGCTAAGGTGAAAAAGGAAATATCTTCCCATAAAAACTGGACAGAAGCATTCTCAGAAACTTGTTTATGCTGTATCTACTCAGCTAACAAAGTTGAACCTTTCTTTTGATAGAGCAGTTTTGAAATGCTCTTTTTGTGGAGTCTGCAAGTGGATATTTGGTTAGTTTTGAGGATTGCGTTGGAAGCGGGAATTCATACAAATTGCAGACTGCAGCGTTCTGAGAAACATCTTTGTGATGTTTGTATTCAGGACACAGAGTTGAACATTCCCTATCATAGAGGAGGTTGGAATCACTCCTTTTGTAGTATCTGGAAGTGGACATTTGGAGCGCTTTCAGGCCTATGTTGAAAAAGGAAATATCTTCCCATAACAAGTAGACACAAGCATTCTCAGAAACCTATTTGAGATGTGTGTACTCAACTAGGAGAATTGAGCCACCGTTTTGACGGAGCAGTTTTGAAACACTCGTTTTCTGGAATCTGCAAGTGGATATTTGGCTAGCTTTGGGGATTTCGCTGGAAGCGGGAATACATATAAAAAGCACACAGCAGCGTTCTGAGAAACTGCTTTCTGATGTTTGCATTCAAGTCAAAAGTTGAACACTCCCTTTCATAGAGCAGGCCTGAAACACCCCTTTTGTAGTATCTGGAAGTGGACATTGGGAGCGCTTTCAGGGCTAAGGTGAAAAAGGAAATATCTTCCCATAAAAACTGGACAGAAGCATTCTCAGAAACTTGTCCATGCTGTATCTACTCAACTAACAATGTTGAACCTTTCTTTTGATAGAGCAGTTTTGAAATGCTCTTTTTCTGGAATCTGCAAGTGGATATTTGGCTAGTTTTGAGGATTTCGTTGGAAGCGGGAATTCATACAAATTGCAGACTGCAGCGTTCTGAGAAACATCTTTGTGATGTTTGTATTCAGGACACAGAGTTGGACATTCCCTATCGTAGAGCAGGTTGGAATCACTCCTTTTGTAGTATCTGGAAGTGGACATTTGGAGCGCTTTCCGGCCTATGTTGAAAAAGGAAATATCTTCCCAAAACAACTAGACAGAAGCATTCTCAGAAACTTATTTGAGATGTGTGTACTCAACTAAGAGAATTGAACCACCGTTTTGAAGGAGCAGTTTTGAAACACTCTTTTTCTGGAATCTGCAAGTGGATATTTGGCTAGCTTTGGGGATTTCGCTGGAAGCGGGAATACATATAAAAAGCACACAGCAGCGTTCTGAGAAACTGCTTTCTGATGTTTGCATTCAAGTCAAAAGTTGAACACTCCCTTTCATAGAGCAGTCTTGAAACACCCCTTTTGTAGTATCTGGAACTGGACTTTTGGAGCGATTTCAGGGCTAAGGTGAAAAAGGAAATATCTTCCCATAAAAACTGGACAGAAGCATTCTCAGAAACTTGGTTATGCTGTATCTACTCAACTAACAAAGTTGAACCTTTCTTTTGATAGAGCAGTTTTGAAATGGTCTTTTTGTGGAATCTGCAAGTGGATATTTGGCTAGTTTTGAGGATTTCGTTGGAAGCGGGAATTCATACAAATTGCAGACTGCAGCGTTCTGAGAAACATCTTTGTGATGTTTGTATTCAGGACACAGAGTTGAACATTCCCTATCATAGAGCAGGTTGGAATCACTCCTTTTGTAGTATCTGGAAGTGGACATTTGGAGCGCTTTCAGGCCTATTTTGGAAAGGGAAATATCTTCCCGTAACAACTATGCAGAAGCATTCTCAGAAACTTGTTTGTGATGTGTGCCCTCTACTGACAGAGTTGAACCTTTCTTTTCATAGAGCAGTTTTGAAACACTCTTTTTGTAGAATCTGCAAGAGGATATTTGCATAGCTTTGAGGATTTCGTGGGAAACGGGATTGTCTTCAGGTAAAATCTAGACAGAAGCATTCTCAGAAACTTCTTTGGGATGTTTGCATTCAAGTCACAGAGTAGAACATTCCCTTTGGTAGAGCAGGTTTGAAACACTCTTTTTGTAGTATCTGGAAGTGGACATTTGGAGCGCTTTCAGGCCCATGTTGGAAAGGGAAATATCTTCCCGTAACAACTAGGCAGGAAGCATTCTCAGAAACTTATTTGAGATGTGTGTACTCAACTAAGAGAATTGAACCACTGTTTTGAAGGAGCAGTTTTGAAACACTCTTTTTCTGGAATCTGCAAGAGTATATTTGCCTAGCCTTGAGGATTTCGTTGGAAACGGGATTGTCTTCAGATGAAATCTAGACAGAAGCATTCTCAGAAACTTCTTTGGGATGTTTGCATTCAAGTCACAGAGTAGAACATTCCCTTTGGTAGAGCAGGTTTGAAACACTCTTTTTTTAGTATATGGAAGTGGACATTTGGAGCGCTTTCAGGCCTACGTTGGAAAAGGAAATATCTTCCCATAACAACTAGACAGAAGCATTCTCAGAAACTAGTTTCTGATGTGTGTCCTCAACTAACACAGTTGAACATTTCTTTAGACAGAACAGTTTTGAAACACTCTTTTTGTGGAATCTGCAAGGGGCTATTTGGCTAGATTTGAGGATTTCGTTGGAAACGGGATTACATATAAAAAGCAGACAGCAGCATTCTCAGAAAGTTCTTTGTGATGATTGCATTCAAGTCACAGAATTGAACATTCCCTTTCACAGAGCAGGTTTGAAACACTCTTTTTGTAGTGTGTGTAAGTGGACATTTGGAGCACTTTCCGGCCTAAGGTGAAAAAGGAAATATCTTCCCATAAAAACTAGACAGAAGCATTCTCAGAAACTTACTCGTGATGTGTGTCCTCAACTAAAGGAGTAGAACCTTTCTTTTCATAGAGAAGTTTTGAAACGCTCTTTTTGTGGAATCTGCAAGTGGATATTTGGCTAGTTTTGAGGATTTCGTTGGAAGCGGGAATTCATACAAATTGCAGACTGCAGCGTTCTGAGAAACATCTTTGTGATGTTTGTATTCAGGACACAGAGTTGAACAATCCCTATCATAGAGCAGGTTGGAATCACTCCTTTTGTAGTATCTGGAAGTGGACATTTGGAGCGCTTTCAGGCCTATGTTGGAAAAGGAAATATCTTCCCATAACAACTAGACAGAAGCATTCTCAGAAACTTATTTGAGATGTGTGTACTCAACTAAGAGAATTGAACCACCGTTTTGAAGGAGCAGTTTTGAAACACTCTTTTTCTGGAATCTGCAAGTGGATATTTGGCTAGCTTTGGGGATTTCGCTGGAAGCGGGAATACATATAAAAAGCACACAGCAGCGTTCTGAGAAACTGCTTTCTGATGTTTGCATTCAAGTCAAAAGTTGAACACTCCCTTTCATAGAGCAGTCCTGAAACACCCCTTTTGTAGTATCTGGAACTGGACTTTTGGAGCGCTTTCAGGGCTAAGGTGAAAAAGGAAATATCTTCCCATAAAAACTGGACAGAATCATTCTCAGAAACTTGTTTATGCTGTATCTACTCAACTAACATAGTTGAACCTTTCTTTTGATAGAGCAGTTTTGAAATGCTCTTTTTGTGGAATCTGCAAGTGGATATTTGGCTAGTTTGGAGGATTTCGTTGGAAGCGGGAATTCATACAAATTGCAGACTGCAGCGTTCTGAGAAACATCTTTGTGATGTTTGTATTCAGGACACAGAGTTGAAGATTCCCTATCATAGAGCAGGTTGGAATCACTCCTTTTGTAGTATCTGGAAGTGGACATTTGGAGCGCTTTCAGGCCTATGTTGAAAAAGGAAATATCTTCCCATAACAACTAGACACAAGCTTTCTCAGAAACTTGTTTGTGATGTGTGCCCTCTACTGACAGAGTTGAACCTTTCTTTTCATAGAGCAGTTTTGAAACACTCTTTTTGTAGAATCTGCAAGAGGATATTTGCATAGCTTCGAGGATTTCGTGGGAAACGGGATTGTCTTCAGGTAAAATCTAGACAGAAGCATTCTCAGAAACTTCTTTGGGATGTTTGCATTCAAGTCACAGAGTAGAACATTCCCTTTGGTAGAGCAGGTTTGAAACACTCTTTTTGTAGTATCTGGAAGTGGACATTTGGAGCGCTTTCAGGCCTATGTTGGAAAGGGAAATATCTTCCCGTAACAACTAGGCAGAAGCATTCTCAGAAACTTATTTGAGATGTGTGTACTCAACTAAGAGAATTGAACCACCGTTTTGAAGGAGCAGTTTTGAAACACTCTTTTTCTGGAATCTGCAAGAGGATATTTGCCTAGCCTTGAGGATTTCGTTGGAAACGGGATTGTCTTCAGATCAAATCTAGACAGAAGCATTCTCAGAAACTTCTTTGGGATGTTTGCATTCAAGTCACAGAGTAGAACATTCCCTTTGGTAGAGCAGGTTTGAAACACTCTTTTTTTAGTATATGGAAGTGGACATTTGGAGCGCTTTCAGGCCTACGTTGGAAAAGGAAATATCTTCCCATAACAACTAGACAGAAGCATTCTCAGAAACTAGTTTCTGATGTGTGTCCTCAACTAACACAGTTGAACATTTCTTTAGACAGAACAGTTTTGAAACACTCTTTTTGTGGAATCTGCAAGTGGCTATTTGGCTAGATTTGAGGATTTCGTTGGAAACGGGATTACATATAAAAAGCAGACAGCAGCATTCTCAGAAAGTTCTTTGTGATGATTGCATTCAAGTCACAGAATTGAACATTCCCTTTCACAGAGCAGGTTTGAAACACTCTTTTTGTAGTGTGTGTAAGTGGACATTTGGAGCGCTTTCCGGCCTAAGGTGAAAAAGGAAATATCTTCCCATAAAAACTAGACAGAAGCATTCTCAGAAACTTACTCGTGATGTGTGTCCTCAACTAAAGGAGTAGAACCTTTCTTTTCATAGAGAAGTTTTGAAACGCTCTTTTTGTGGAATCTGCAAGTGGATATTTGGCTAGTTTTGAGGATTTCGTTGGAAGCGGGAATTCATACAAATTGCAGACTGCAGCGTTCTGAGAATCATCTTTGTGATGTTTGTATTCAGGACACAGAGTTGAACATTCCCTATCATAGAGCAGGTTTGAATCACTCCTTTTGTAATATCTGGAAGTGGACATTTGGAGCGCTTTCAGGCCTATGTTGGAAAAGGAAATATCTTCCCATAACAACTAGACAGAAGCATTCTCAGAAACTTATTTGAGATGTGTGTACTCAACTAAGAGAATTGAACCACCGTTTTGAAGGAGCAGTTTTGAAACACTCTTTTTCTGGAATCTGCAAGTGGATATTTGGCTAGCTTTGGGGATTTCGCTGGGAAGCGGGAATACATATAAAAAGCACACAGCAGCGTTCTGAGAAACTGCTTTCTGATGTTTGCATTCAAGTCAAAAGTTGAACACTCCCTTTCATAGAGCAGTCTTGAAACACCCCTTTTGTAGTATCTGGAACTGGACTTTTGGAGCGATTTCAGGGCTAAGGTGAAAAAGGAAATATCTTCCCATAAAAACTGGACAGAAGCATTCTCAGAAACTTGGTTATGCTGTATCTACTCAACTAACAAAGTTGAACCTTTCTTTTGATAGAGCAGTTTTGAAATGGTCTTTTTGTGGAATCTGCAAGTGGATATTTGGCTAGTTTTGAGGATTTCGTTGGAAGCGGGAATTCATACAAATTGCAGACTGCAGCGTTCTGAGAAACATCTTTGTGATGTTTGTATTCAGGACAGAGAGTTGAACATTCCCTATCATAGAGCAGGTTGGAATCACTCCTTTTGTAGTATCTGGAAGTGGACATTTGGAGCGCTTTCAGGCCCATGTTGGAAAGGGAAATATCTTCCCGTAACAACTATGCAGAAGCATTCTCAGAAACTTGTTTGTGATGTGTGCCCTCTACTGACAGAGTTGAACCTTTCTTTTCATAGAGCAGTTTTGAAACACTCTTTTTGTAGAATCTGCAAGAGGATATTTGCATAGCTTTGAGGATTTCGTGGGAAACGGGATTGTCTTCAGGTAAAATCTAGACAGAAGCATTCTCAGAAACTTCTTTGGGATGTTTGCATTCAAGTCACAGTAGTAGAACATTCCCTTTGGTAGAGCAGGTTTGAAACACTCTTTTTGTAGTATCTGGAAGTGGACATTTGGAGCGCTTTCAGGCCTATGTTGGAAAGGGAAATATCTTCCGGTAACAACTAGGCAGAAGCATTCTCAGAAACTTATTTGAGATGTGTGTACTCAACTAAGAGAATTGAACCACCGTTTTGAAGGAGCAGTTTTGAAACACTCTTTTTCTGGAATCTGCAAGAGGATATTTGCCTAGCTTTGAGGATTTCGTTGGAAACGGGATTGTGTTCAGATCAAATCTAGACAGAAGCATTCTCAGAAACTTCTTTGGGATGTTTGCATTCAAGTCACAGAGTAGAACATTCCCTTTGGTAGAGCAGGTGTGAAACACTCTTTTTTTAGTATATGGAAGTGGACATTTGGAGCGCTTTCAGGCCTACGTTGGAAAAGGAAATATCTTCCCATAACAACTAGACAGAAGCATTCTCAGAAACTAGTTTCTGGTGTGTGTCCTCAACTAACACAGTTGAACATTTCTTTAGACAGAACAGTTTTGAAACTCTCTTTTTGTGGAATCTGCAAGTGGCTATTTGGCTAGATTTGAGGATTTCGTTGGAAACGGGATTACATATAAAAAGCAGACACCGGCATTCTCAGAAAGTTCTTTGTGATGATTGCATTCAAGTCACAGAATTGAACATTCCCTTTCACAGAGCAGGTTTGAAACACTCTTTTTGTAGTGTGTGTAAGTGGACATTTGGAGCACTTACCGGCCTAAGGTGAAAAAGGAAATATCTTCCCATAAAAACTAGACAGAAGCATTCTCAGAAACTTACTCGTGATGTGTGTCCTCAACTAAAGGAGTAGAACCTTTCTTTTCATAGAGAAGTTTTGAAACGCTCTTTTTGTGGAATCTGCAAGTGGATATTTGGCTAGTTTTGAGGATTTCGTTGGAAGCGGGAATTCATACAAATTGCAGACTGCAGCGTTCTGAGAAACATCTTTGTGATGTTTGTATTCAGGACACAGAGTTGAACATTCCCTATCATAGAGCAGGTTTGAATCACTCCTTTTGTAGTATCTGGAAGTGGACATTTGGAGCGCTTTCAGGCCTATGTTGGAAAAGGAAATATCTTCCCATAACAACTAGACAGAAGCATTCTCAGAAACTTATTTGAGATGTGTGTACTCAACTAAGAGAATTGAACCACCGTTTTGAAGGAGCAGTTTTGAAACTCTCTTTTTCTGGAATCTGCAAGTGGATATTTGGCTAGCTTTGGGGATTTCGCTGGAAGCGGGAATACATATAAAAAGCACACAGCAGCGTTCTGAGAAACTGCTTTCTGATGTTTGCATTCAAGTCAAAAGTTGAACACTCCCTTTCATAGAGCAGTCTTGAAACACCCCTTTTGTAGTATCTGGAACTGGACTTTTGGAGCGATTTCAGGGCTAAGGTGAAAAAGGAAATATCTTCCCATAAAAACTGGACAGAAGCATTCTCAGAAACTTGGTTATGCTGTATCTACTCAACTAACAAAGTTGAACCTTTCTTTTGATAGAGCAGTTTTGAAATGGTCTTTTTGTGGAATCTGCAAGTGGATATTTGGCTAGTTTTGAGGATTTCGTTGGAAGCGGGAATTCATACAAATTGCAGACTGCAGCGTTCTGAGAAACATCTTTGTGATGTTTGTATTCAGGACACAGAGTTGAACATTCCCTATCATAGAGCAGGTTGGAATCACTCCTTTTGTAGTATCTGGAAGTGGACATTTGGAGCGCTTTCAGGCCTATTTTGGAAAGGGAAATATCTTCCCGTAACAACTATGCAGAAGCATTCTCAGAAACTTGTTTGTGATGTGTGCCCTCTACTGACAGAGTTGAACCTTTCTTTTCATAGAGCAGTTTTGAAACACTCTTTTTGTAGAATCTGCAAGAGGATATTTGCATAGCTTTGAGGATTTCGTGGGAAACGGGATTGTCTTCAGGTAAAATCTAGACAGAAGCATTCTCAGAAACTTCTTTGGGATGTTTGCATTCAAGTCACAGAGTAGAACATTCCCTTTGGTAGAGCAGGTTTGAAACACTCTTTTTGTAGTATCTGGAAGTGGACATTTGGAGCGCTTTCAGGCCTACGTTGGAAAAGGAAATATCTTCCCATAACAACTAGACAGAAGCATTCTCAGAAACTAGTTTCTGATGTGTGTCCTCAACTAACACAGTTGAACATTTCTTTAGACAGAACAGTTTTGAAACACTCTTTTTGTGGAATCTGCAAGTGGCTATTTGGCTAGATTTGAGGATTTCGTTGGAAACGGGATTACATATAAAAAGCAGTCAGCAGCATTCTCAGAAAGTTCTTTGTGATGATTGCATTCAAGTCACAGAATTGAACATTCCCTTTCACAGAGCAGGTTTGAAACACTCTTTTTGTAGTGTGTGTAAGTGGACATTTGGAGCACTTACCGGCCTAAGGTGAAAAAGGAAATATCTTCCCATAAAAACTAGACAGAAGCATTCTCAGAAACTTACTCGTGATGTGTGTCCTCAACTAAAGGAGTAGAACCTTTCTTTTCATAGAGAAGTTTTGAAACGCTCTTTTTGTGGAATCTGCAAGTGGATATTTGGCTAGTTTTGAGGATTTCGTTGGAAGCGGGAATTCATACAAATTGCAGACTGCAGCGTTCTGAGAAACATCTTTGTGATGTTTGTATTCAGGACACAGAGTTGAACATTCCCTATCATAGAGCAGGTTTGAATCACTCCTTTTGTAGTATCTGGAAGTGGACATTTGGAGCGCTTTCAGGCCTATGTTGGAAAAGGAAATATCTTCCCATAACAACTAGACAGAAGCATTCTCAGAAACTTATTTGAGATGTGTGTACTCAACTAAGAGAATTGAACCACCGTTTTGAAGGAGCAGTTTTGAAACTCTCTTTTTCTGGAATCTGCAAGTGGATATTTGGCTAGCTTTGGGGATTTCGCTGGAAGCGGGAATACATATAAAAAGCACACAGCAGCGTTCTGAGAAACTGCTTTCTGATGTTTGCATTCAAGTCAAAAGTTGAACACTCCCTTTCATAGAGCAGTCTTGAAACACCCCTTTTGTAGTATCTGGAACTGGACTTTTGGAGCGATTTCAGGGCTAAGGTGAAAAAGGAAATATCTTCCCATAAAAACTGGACAGAAGCATTCTCAGAAACTTGGTTATGCTGTATCTACTCAACTAACAAAGTTGAACCTTTCTTTTGATAGAGCAGTTTTGAAATGGTCTTTTTGTGGAATCTGCAAGTGGATATTTGGCTAGTTTTGAGGATTTCGTTGGAAGCGGGAATTCATACAAATTGCAGACTGCAGCGTTCTGAGAAACATCTTTGTGATGTTTGTATTCAGGACACAGAGTTGAACATTCCCTATCATAGAGCAGGTTGGAATCACTCCTTTTGTAGTATCTGGAAGTGGACATTTGGAGCGCTTTCAGGCCTATTTTGGAAAGGGAAATATCTTCCCGTAACAACTATGCAGAAGCATTCTCAGGAAACTTGTTTGTGATGTGTGCCCTCTACTGACACAGTTGAACCTTTCTTTTCATAGAGCACTTTCGAAACACTCTTTTTGTAGAATCTGAAAGAGGATATTTGCATAGCTTTGAGGATTTCGTGGGAAACGGGATTGTCTTCAGGTAAAATCTAGACAGAAGCATTCTCAGAAACTTTTTTGGGATGTTTGCATTCAAGTCACAGAGTAGAACATTCCCTTTGGTAGAGCAGGTTTGAAACACTCTTTTTGTAGTATCTGGAAGTGGACATTTGGAGCACTATCAGGCCCATGTTGGAAAGGGAAATATCTTCCCGTAACAACTAGGCAGAAGCATTCTCAGAAACTTATTTGAGATGTGTGTACTCAACTAAGAGAATTGAACCACCGTTTTGAAGGAGCAGTTTTGAAACACTCTTTTTCTGGAATCTGCAAGAGTATATTTGCCTAGCCTTGAGGATTTCGTTGGAAACGGGATTGTCTTCAGAGAAAATCTAGACAGAAGCATTCTCAGAAACTTCTTTGGGATGTTTGCATTCAAGTCACAGAGTAGAACATTCCCTTTGGTAGAGCAGGTTTGAAACACTCTTTTTTTAGTATATGGAAGTGGACATTTGGATCGCTTTCAGGCCTACGTTGGAAAAGGAAATATCTTCCCATAACAACTAGACAGAAGCATTCTCAGAAACTAGTTTCTGATGTGTGTCCTCAACTAACACAGTTGAACATTTCTTTAGACAGAACAGTTTTGAAACACTCTTTTTGTGGAATCTGCAAGTGGCTATTTGGCTAGATTTGAGGATTTCGTTAGAAACGGGATTACATATAAAAAGCAGTCAGCAGCATTCTCAGAAAGTTCTTTGTGATGATTGCATTCAAGTCACAGAATTGAACATTCCCTTTCACAGAGCAGGTTTGAAACACTCTTTTTGTAGTGTGTGTAAGTGGACATTTGGAGCACTTACCGGCCTAAGGTGAAAAAGGAAATATCTTCCCATAAAAACTAGACAGAAGCATTCTCAGAAACTTACTCGTGATGTGTGTCCTCAACTAAAGGAGTAGAACCTTTCTTTTCATAGAGAAGTTTTGAAACGCTCTTTTTGTGGAATCTGCAAGTGGATATTTGGCTAGTTTTGAGGATTTCGTTGGAAGCGGGAATTCATACAAATTGCAGACTGCAGCGTTCTGAGAAACATCTTTGTGATGTTTGTATTCAGGACACAGAGTTGAACATTCCCTATCATAGAGCAGGTTGGAATCACTCCTTTTGTAGTATCTGGAAGTGGACATTTGGAGCGCTTTCAGGCCTATGTTGGAAAAGGAAATATCTTCCCATAACAACTAGACAGAAGCATTCTCAGAAACTTATTTGAGATGTGTGTACTCAACTAAGAGAATTGAACCACCGTTTTGAAGGAGCAGTTTTGAAACTCTCTTTTTCTGGAATCTGCAAGTGGATATTTGGCTAGCTTTGGGGATTTCGCTGGAAGCGGGAATACATATAAAAAGCACACAGCAGCGTTCTGAGAAACTGCTTTCTGATGTTTGCATTCAAGTCAAAAGTTGAACACTCCCTTTCATAGAGCAGTCTTGAAACACCCCTTTTGTAGTATCTGGAACTGGACTTTTGGAGCGATTTCAGGGCTAAGGTGAAAAAGGAAATATCTTCCCATAAAAACTGGACAGAAGCATTCTCAGAAACTTGGTTATGCTGTATCTACTCAACTAACAAAGTTGAACCTTTCTTTTGATAGAGCAGTTTTGAAATGGTCTTTTTGTGGAATCTGCAAGTGGATATTTGGCTAGTTTTGAGGATTTCGTTGGAAGCGGGAATTCATACAAATTGCAGACTGCAGCGTTCTGAGAAACATCTTTGTGATGTTTGTATTCAGGACACAGAGTTGAACATTCCCTATCATAGAGCAGGTTGGAATCACTCCTTTTGTAGTATCTGGAAGTGGACATTTGGAGCGCTTTCAGGCCTATTTTGGAAAGGGAAATATCTTCCCGTAACAACTATGCAGAAGCATTCTCAGAAACTTGTTTGTGATGTGTGCCCTCTACTGACAGAGTTGAACCTTTCTTTTCATAGAGCAGTTTTGAAACACTCTTTTTGTAGAATCTGCAAGAGGATATTTGCATAGCTTTGAGGATTTCGTGGGAAACGGGATTGTCTTCAGGTAAAATCTAGACAGAAGCATTCTCAGAAACTTCTTTGGGATGTTTGCATTCAAGTCACAGAGTAGAACATTCCCTTTGGTAGAGCAGGTTTGAAACACTCTTTTTGTAGTATCTGGAAGTGGACATTTGGAGCGCTTTCAGGCCCATGTTGGAAAGGGAAATATCTTCCCGTAACAACTAGGCAGAAGCATTCTCAGAAACTTATTTGAGATGTGTGTACTCAACTAAGAGAATTGAACCACCGTTTTGAAGGAGCAGTTTTGAAACACTCTTTTTCTGCAATCTGCAAGAGTATATTTGCCTAGCCTTGAGGATTTCGTTGGAAACGGGATTGTCTTCAGAGAAAATCTAGACAGAAGCATTCTCAGAAACTTCTTTGGGATGTTTGCATTCAAGTCACAGAGTAGAACATTCCCTTTGGTAGAGCAGGTTTGAAACACTCTTTTTGTAGTATATGGAAGTGGACATTTGGAGCGCTTTCAGGCCTACGTTGGAAAAGGAAATATCTTCCCATAACAACTAGACAGAAGCATTCTCAGAAACTAGTTTCTGATGTGTGTCCTCAACTAACACAGTTGAACATTTCTTTAGACAGAAAAGTTTTGAAACACTCTTTTTGTGGTATCTGCAAGTGGCTATTTGGCTAGATTTGAGGATTTCGTTGGAAACGGGATTACATATAAAAAGCAGACAGCAGCATTCTCAGAAACTTCTTTGTGATGATTGCATTCAAGTCACAGTATTGAACATTCCCTTTCACAGAGCAGGTTTGAAACACTCTTTGTATAGTGTGTGTAAGTGGACATTTGGAGCACTTTCCGGCCTAAGGTGAAAAAGGAAATATCTTCCCATAAAAACTAGACAGAAGCATTCTCAGAAAGTTACTCGTGATGTGTGTCCTCAACTAAAGAAGTAGAACCTTTCTTTTCATAGATAAGTTTTGAAACGCTCTTTTTGTGGAATCTGCAAGTGGATATTTGGCTAGTTTTGAGGATTTCGTTGGAAGCGGGAATTCATACAAATTGCAGACTGCAGCGTTCTGAGAAACATCTTTGTGATGTTTGTATTCAGGACAGAGAGTTGAACATTCCCTATCATAGAGCAGGTTGGAATCACTCCTTTTGTAGTATCTGGAAGTGGACATTTGGAGCGCTTTCAGGCCTATGTTGAAAAAGGAAATATCTTCCCATAACAACTAGACACAAGCATTCTCAGAAACTTGTTTGTGATGTGTGCCCTCTACTGACAGAGTTGAACCTTTCTTTTCATAGAGCAGTTTTGAAACACTCTTTTTGTAGAATCTGCAAGAGGATATTTGCATAGCTTTGAGGATTTCGTGGGAAACGGGATTGTCTTCAGGTAAAATCTAGACAGAAGCATTCTCAGAAACTTCTTTGGGATGTTTGCATTCAAGTCACAGAGTAGAACATTCCCTTTGGTAGAGCAGGTTTGAAACACTCTTTTTGTAGTATCTGGAAGTGGACATTTGGAGCGCTTTCAGGCCTATGTTGGAAAGGGAAATATCTTCCCGTAACAACTAGGCAGAAGCATTCTCAGAAACTTATTTGAGATGTGTGTACTCAACTAAGAGAATTGAACCACCGTTTTGAAGGAGCAGTTTTGAAACACTCTTTTTCTGGAATCTGCAAGAGTATATTTGCCTAGCCTTGAGGATTTCGTTGGAAACGGGATTGTCTTCAGATCAAATCTAGACAGAAGCATTCTCAGAAACTTCTTTGGGATGTTTGCATTCAAGTCACAGAGTAGAACATTCCCTTTGGTAGAGCAGGTTTGAAACACTCTTTTTTTAGTATATGGAAGTGGACATTTGGAGCGCTTTCAGGCCTACGTTGGAAAAGGAAATATCTTCCCATAACAACTAGACAGAAGCATTCTCAGAAACTAGTTTCTGATGTGTGTCCTCAACTAACACAGTTGAACATTTCTTTAGACAGAACAGTTTTGAAACACTCTTTTTGTGGAATCTGCAAGTGGCTATTTGGCTAGATTTGAGGATTTCGTTGGAAACGGGATTACATATAAAAAGCAGTCAGCAGCATTCTCAGAAAGTTCTTTGTGATGATTGCATTCAAGTCACAGAATTGAACATTCCCTTTCACAGAGCAGGTTTGAAACACTCTTTTTGTAGTGTGTGTAAGTGGACATTTGGAGCACTTACCGGCCTAAGGTGAAAAAGGAAATATCTTCCCATAAAAACTAGACAGAAGCATTCTCAGAAACTTACTCGTGATGTGTGTCCTCAACTAAAGGAGTAGAACCTTTCTTTTCATAGAGAAGTTTTGAAACGCTCTTTTTGTGGAATCTGCAAGTGGATATTTGGCTAGTTTTGAGGATTTCGTTGGAAGCGGGAATTCATACAAATTGCAGACTGCAGCGTTCTGAGAAACATCTTTGTGATGTTTGTATTCAGGACACAGAGTTGAACATTCCCTATCATAGAGCAGGTTTGAATCACTCCTTTTGTAGTATCTGGAAGTGGACATTTGGAGCGCTTTCAGGCCTATGTTGGAAAAGGAAATATCTTCCCATAACAACTAGACAGAAGCATTCTCAGAAACTTATTTGAGATGTGTGTACTCAACTAAGAGAATTGAACCACCGTTTTGAAGGAGCAGTTTTGAAACACTCTTTTTCTGGAATCTGCAAGTGGATATTTGGCTAGCTTTGGGGATTTCGCTGGAAGCGGGAATACATATAAAAAGCACACAGCAGCGTTCTGAGAAACTGCTTTCTGATGTTTGCATTCAAGTCAAAAGTTGAACACTCCCTTTCATAGAGCAGTCTTGAAACACCCCTTTTGTAGTATCTGGAACTGGACTTTTGGAGCGATTTCAGGGCTAAGGTGAAAAAGGAAATATCTTCCCATAAAAACTGGACAGAAGCATTCTCAGAAACTTGTTTATGCTGTATCTACTCAACTAACAAAGTTGAACCTTTCTTTTGATAGAGCAGTTTTGAAATGGTCTTTTTGTGGAATCTGCAAGTGGATATTTGGCTAGTTTTGAGGATTTCGTTGGAAGCGGGAATTCATACAAATTGCAGACTGCAGCGTTCTGAGAAACATCTTTGTGATGTTTGTATTCAGGACACAGAGTTGAACATTCCCTATCATAGAGCAGGTTGGAATCACTCCTTTTGTAGTATCTGGAAGTGGACATTTGGAGCGCTTTCAGGCCTATTTTGGAAAGGGAAATATCTTCCCGTAACAACTATGCAGAAGCATTCTCAGAAACTTGTTTGTGATGTGTGCCCTCTACTGACAGAGTTGAACCTTTCTTTTCATAGAGCAGTTTTGAAACACTCTTTTTGTAGAATCTGCAAGAGGATATTTGCATAGCTTTGAGGATTTCGTGGGAAACGGGATTGTCTTCAGGTAAAATCTAGACAGAAGCATTCTCAGAAACTTCTTTGGGATGTTTGCATTCAAGTCACAGAGTAGAACATTCCCTTTGGTAGAGCAGGTTTGAAACACTCTTTTTGTAGTATCTGGAAGTGGACATTTGGAGCGCTTTCAGGCCCATGTTGGAAAGGGAAATATCTTCCCGTAACAACTAGGCAGAAGCATTCTCAGAAACTTATTTGAGATGTGTGTACTCAACTAAGAGAATTGAACCACCGTTTTGAAGGAGCAGTTTTGAAACACTCTTTTTCTGGAATCTGCAAGAGTATATTTGCCTAGCCTTGAGGATTTCGTTGGAAACGGGATTGTCTTCAGAGAAAATCTAGACAGAAGCATTCTCAGAAACTTCTTTGGGATGTTTGCATTCAAGTCACAGAGTAGAACATTCCCTTTGGTAGAGCAGGTTTGAAACACTCTTTTTGTAGTATCTGGAAGTGGACATTTGGAGCGCTTTCAGGCCTACGTTGGAAAAGGAAATATCTTCCCATAACAACTAGACAGAAGCATTCTCAGAAACTAGTTTCTGATGTGTGTCCTCAACTAACACAGTTGAACATTTCTTTAGACAGAACAGTTTTGAAACACTCTTTTTGTGGAATCTGCAAGTGGCTATTTGGTTAGATTTGAGGATTTCGTTGGAAACGGGATTACATATAAAAAGCAGTCAGCAGCATTCTCAGAAAGTTCTTTGTGATGATTGCATTCAAGTCACAGAATTGAACATTCCCTTTCACAGAGCAGGTTTGAAAGACTCTTTTTGTAGTGTGTGTAAGTGGACATTTGGAGCACTTACCGGCCTAAGGTGAAAAAGGAAATATCTTCCCATAAAAACTAGACAGAAGCATTCTCAGAAACTTACTCGTGATGTGTGTCCTCAACTAAAGGAGTAGAACCTTTCTATTCATAGAGAAGTTTTGAAAAGCTCTTTTTGTGGAATCTCCAAGTGGATATTTGGCTAGTCTTGAGGATTTCGTTGGAAGCGGGAATTCATACAAATTGCAGACTGCAGCGTTCTGAGAAACATCTTTGTGATGTTTGTATTCAGGACACAGAGTTGAACATTCCCTATCATAGAGCAGGTTGGAATCACTCCTTTTGTAGTATCTGGAAGTGGACATTTGGAGCGCTTTCAGGCCTATGTTGGAAAAGGAAATATCTTCCCATAACAACTAGACAGAAGCATTCTCAGAAACTTATTTGAGATGTGTGTACTCAACTAAGAGAATTGAACCACCGTTTTGAAGGAGCAGTTTTGAAACTCTCTTTTTCTGGAATCTGCAAGTGGATATTTGGCTAGCTTTGGGGATTTCGCTGGAAGCGGGAATACATATAAAAAGCACACAGCAGCGTTCTGAGAAACTGCTTTCTGATGTTTGCATTCAAGTCAAAAGTTGAACACTCCCTTTCATAGAGCAGTCTTGAAACACCCCTTTTGTAGTATCTGGAACTGGACTTTTGGAGCGATTTCAGGGCTAAGGTGAAAAAGGAAATATCTTCCCATAAAAACTGGACAGAAGCATTCTCAGAAACTTGTTTATGCTGTATCTACTCAACTAACAAAGTTGAACCTTTCTTTTGATAGAGCAGTTTTGAAATGGTCTTTTTGTGGAATCTGCAAGTGGATATTTGGCTAGTTTTGAGGATTTCGTTGGAAGCGGGAATTCATACAAATTGCAGACTGCAGCGTTCTGAGAAACATCTTTGTGATGTTTGTATTCAGGACACAGAGTTGAACATTCCCTATCATAGAGCAGGTTGGAATCACTCCTTTTGTAGTATCTGGAAGTGGACATTTGGAGCGCTTTCAGGCCTATTTTGGAAAGGGAAATATCTTCCCGTAACAACTATGCAGAAGCATTCTCAGAAACTTGTTTGTGATGTGTGCCCTCTACTGACAGAGTTGAACCTTTCTTTTCATAGAGCAGTTTTGAAACACTCTTTTTGTAGAATCTGCAAGAGGATATTTGCATAGCTTTGAGGATTTCGTGGGAAACGGGATTGTCTTCAGGTAAAATCTAGACAGAAGCATTCTCAGAAACTTCTTTGGGATGTTTGCATTCAAGTCACAGAGTAGAACATTCCCTTTGGTAGAGCAGGTTTGAAACACTCTTTTTGTAGTATCTGGAAGTGGACATTTGGAGCGCTTTCAGGCCCATGTTGGAAAGGGAAATATCTTCCCGTAACAACTAGGCAGAAGCATTCTCAGAAACTTATTTGAGATGTGTGTACTCAACTAAGAGAATTGAACCACCGTTTTGAAGGAGCAGTTTTGAAACCCTCTTTTTCTGGAATCTGCAAGAGTATATTTGCCTAGCCTTGAGGATTTCGTTGGAAACGGGATTGTCTTCAGATAAAATCTAGACAGAAGCATTCTCAGAAACTTCTTTGGGATGTTTGCATTCAAGTCACAGAGTAGAACATTCCCTTTGGTAGAGCAGGTTTGAAACACTCTTTTTTTAGTATATGGAAGTGGACATTTGGAGCGCTTTCAGGCCTACGTTGGAAAAGGAAATATCTTCCCATAACAACTAGACAGAAGCATTCTCAGAAACTAGTTTCTGATGTGTGTCCTCAACTAACACAGTTGTACATTTCCTTAGACAGAACAGTTTTGAAACACTCTTTTTGTGGAATCTGCAAGTGGATATTGGGCTAGATTTGAGGATTTCGTTGGAAACGGGATTACATATAAAAAGCAGTCAGCAGCATTCTCAGAAAGTTCTTTGTGATGATTGCATTCAAGTCACAGAATTGAACATTCCCTTTCACAGAGCAGGTTTGAAACACTCTTTTTGTAGTGTGTGTAAGTGGACATTTGGAGTGCTTTCCGGCCTAAGGTGAAAAAGGACATATCTTCCCATAAAAACTAGACAGAAGCATTCTCAGAAACTTACTCGTGATGTGTGTCCTCAACTAAAGGAGTAGAACCTTTCTATTCATAGAGAAGTTTTGAAACGCTCTTTTTGTGGAAAATCCAAGTGGATATTTGGCTAGTTTTGAGGATTTCGTTGGAAGCGGGAATTCATACAAATTGCAGACTGCAGCGTTCTGAGAAACATCTTTGTGATGTTTGTATTCAAGACACAGAGATGAACATTCCCTATCATAGAGCATGTTGGAATCACTCCTTTTGTAGTATCTGGAAGTGGACATTTGGAGCGCTTTCAGGCCTATGTTGAAAAAGGAAATATCTTCCCATAACAACTAGACACAAGCATTCTCAGAAACTTGTTTGTGATGTGTGCCCTCTACTGACAGAGTTGAACCTTTCTTTTCATAGAGCAGTTTTGAAACACTCTTTTTGTAGAATCCGCAAGAGGATATTTGCATAGCTTTGAGGATTTCGTGGGAAACGGGATTGTCTTCAGGTAAAATCTAGACAGAAGCATTCTCAGAAACTTCTTTGGGATGTTTGCATTCAAGTCACAGAGTAGAACATTCCCTTTGGTAGAGCAGGTTTGAAACACTCTTTTTGTAGTATCTGGAAGTGGACATTTGGAGCGCTTTCAGGCCTATGTTGGAAAGGGAAATATCTTCCCGTAACAACTAGGCAGAAGCATTCTCAGAAACTTATTTGAGATGTGTGTACTCAACTAAGAGAACTGAACCACCGTTTTGAAGGAGCAGTTTTGAAACACTCTTTTTCTGGAATCTGCAAGAGAATATTTGCCTAGACTTGAGGATTTCGTTGGAAACGGGATTGTCTTCAGATAAAATCTAGACAGAAGCATTCTCAGAAACTTCTTTGGGATGTTTGCATTCAAGTCACAGAGTAGAACATTCTCTTTGGTAGAGCAGGTTTGAAACACTCTTTTTTTAGTATCTGGAAGTGGACATTTGGAGCGCTTTCAGGCCTACGTTGGAAAAGGAAATATCTTCCCATAACAACTAGACAGAAGCATTCTCAGAAACTAGTTTCTGATGTGTGTCCTCAACTAACACAGTTGTACATTTCTTTAGACAGAACAGTTTTGAAACACTCTTTTTGTGGAATCTGCAAGTGGATATTGGGCTAGATTTGAGGATTTCGTTGGAAACGGGATTACATATAAAAAGCAGTCAGCAGCATTCTCAGAAAGTTCTTTGTGATGATTGCATTCAAGTCACAGAATTGAACATTCCCCTTCACAGAGCAGGTTTGAAACACTCTTTTTGTAGTGTGTGTAAGTGGACATTTGGAGCGCTTTCCGGCCTAAGGTGAAAAAGGACATATCTTACCATAAAAACCAGACAGAAGCATTCTCAGAAACTTACTCGTGATGTGTGTCCTCAACTAAAGGAGTAGAAACTTTCTATTCATAGAGAAGTTTTGAAACGCTCTTTTTGTGGAATCTCCAAGTGGATATTTGGCTAGTTTTGAGGATTTCGTTGGAAGCGGGAATTCATACAAATTGCAGACTGCAGCGTTCTGAGAAACATCGTTGTGATGTTTGTATTCAGGACACAGAGTTGAACATTCCCTATCATAGAGCAGGTTTGAATCACTCCTTTTGTAGTATCTGGAAGTGGACATTTGGAGCGCTTTCAGGCCTATGTTGGAAAAGGAAATATCTTCCCATAACAACTAGACAGAAGCATTCTCAGAAACTTATTTGAGATGTGTGTACTCAACTAAGAGAATTGAACCACCGTTTTGAAGGAGCAGTTTTGAAACACTCTTTTTCTGGAATCTGCAAGTGGATATTTGGCTAGCTTGGGGATTTCGCTGGAAGCGGGAATACATATAAAAAGCACACAGC